>NC_000006.12:69580079-69883109 GCF_000001405.40 Homo sapiens | reverse complement strand
CCAGGTGTTCACGTGCCTTGCCCTCACACTGCCTTCATGCCTCTGCTTAAATGTCCAATTCTTCCAAAGGAAAATACCTAGTTAGAAGCTACATTATTTATCTAATCATTGTGAAGCTTTCCTCCACTTTCAAAATTTAGGAGTTACAAAGTACATTTGTCAATGAAGGATTTTTACATGGTACCAATGTTGAACACAAGAATTTCTTAAAAACACAAAATAAAATTCTCTATATAACAGCATACATTTTACTCTGAGTTTAAGCGTGAAGTGTTTGCCAACTAGTAAAAGCCACATTTTGGAATAATAGGTTTTTTTCCTTGTAATTCCTTGTAATTAATAGAAAACTACCTTAGAAGGGCTTATATGAATAGTTACAGGCCTAAATTTAAATTTATAATCAAGTCAATCTGGACACTTAAACTGAAGATTTATCATAATGAAAGGAAAATGTGTTATTTAAAAAGCATTCTGTCATTTCTATTTATTTAGCCTGTTTTTTTAAACTCTGGTTTTCTGTTTCTTATTGCTTTTTATGATGATATAGTACTTTTGCCTTAGAACAGATTAAAGAAAGTAGATGAAACTTTAATTATTTGATACATAGTCTATATTAGAGGAAAGAGTTTTAAGCAACTAATTAAAGCAAGTTTTGAGATTTTCTAGCATTGTATATATTTTAACACAATTCTCTTCCCCACCTTCTTTTGACAAGTAACTGAGCTGAAACTGCCACATTCAAATGGAAGTTCATTTGCAGTGGGAAAATAAACAAATATATCTTATCCCATGATCTCAATAGGCAAATTGACGAAAGAATATGAAATGACTGAATTCCTAATACCTTCAAAATTTTAAAATTCAAGTTATTATTGAATCTCTCCATATTACTCTTAAATTCTGTCCCAACTGTGACAATTCCAGGTAACTATTTAACATACCATAGAGTTAAGGTACAGCAATTAAAAGGTCCAATCTATCTGTCATATATTTAGGTTTAATAGTAAACTGTTGACAACTTCACAGACTCCAGCCCTGAAACCCTAGACTCTCTCTCAGATTTGTTATATTTTATTTTTAGATGTAATCACTTCCCTCCGGTAAATGGTTAGTGACCACACGCGCAGGTCTGCACATGAGGAAACTAAAAAGGGAACCTTGCGCTGTGAACCAGATACACAAGACACAAGAAGGGTCTCCTTCCAGGCCATGCCCAGCTTGTCATCTTCTTCAACAATCCCTTTGATAGTGCTGTGCTGACATTTTCAATTAATGCAAATGATACTTGAAGTTAAGCAATTTCCATCACACATTCAGTACGTGTTGCTTTACGAACACCCTCTACCAAATAGCATGATAAAAACAAACGTAATTTTTTCTTTTATTAATTTCCCTTAATGCTTCATGTTAAGTGAATCTTGTTAGGGTTCAGATTAATTTTGAATTCACATTGTTGGGAAAATCTTTCAAAAGATTAATTCAGCGAAGTAAATTGGATCAGAATATATGCATTTTGGTAGTCCTATACATCATGTAACCTGATTAAAGAGTTGAGATACTAGAGCTACAAAAGCAAACATTCAGGGGAATCCCAAGATGGGGAAGTGTTAGTTATGCAAGATGATTACGTTCTAGACATCTGCTGTATAGTACCGTGTTTATAATTAACAGTACTGTGTTATACACTTAAAAATTTGTTAAGAGGGCAGACTTCATGTTAAGTGTTCTTATCACAATTTTAAAAAGTTACTAAAAGCAAACAATAAAATAAAATAACAAAAAAAGGTAACCTTGGCATAAAATGGTGCATAAAATGCAAGGTAACCAGGTGAAAAGAAAAAAGAAAACCAAAATGTCTGTTAATTATCCCAAAGGTAAGTGTTTCTCTAAGAGTTTTCCTCAGATAATCCTGCATTAGATTCATCTGTGGAGCTTGTTAAAGATGTAAATTACCAAATCCCACCCCAGTACGACCTGCAAAATGGGAATATGCGATAGGAGGTCTCAGGAATCAAATACGTCAGGTGATTCTTTTTCATGTTAAAATTGGAGAACCATTTATTTAGGTCCTTCAAATCCTTGCTATCATCAAGAACATTTACTACCCACTAGCATGTGCCTAAAAACTGTCCCTATTCAACCAAAGATTCATTCTTCCTTCTAACTAAAAAAGTCCTGTCATATCAGATTAAATTGCAAAGCACATTACCTACTATATTTCTTTACAAAAAAGACAAATTCAGAAGAGTAGAAATCGTATCAGAATAAACTCCGCTGCTCTAACATCTCTTTTCCTTTTTTACATAGTTGTAGTTGCCATGAGTCACAGCTGATTAATTTCTCACTGAAGAAAGAGTTTCCCCCCCAAATTGTATGACAGCCACAGGATGTCTTTTGTACAATAACAGAATATTCAAACTTTCATGTGAATTATTTTAGGAAATGCACCTTCTGCCAAATAATAAAAAATCATAAAGACTTACATAACACTCTGAAAGACTACGATGTGTTAGATCTTTATGAGTAATTATATTTTATGTGTGCCTCAAACTCAAAAGTCTCTCTAGAGTGGGTTTATACTTGTTTAGCAAAAATTATTGAAAAAATATTCAAAACAATAGGCACAATAATACAGTCTCAGAGTACATAATCATATGTGATTATCATCAGAATACATTATATGTGATCGTTTGCATAGGAGAGATGAAGTTTCTCTTTCCCTAGCAAATGGCTTCTCCAATGTGCCTAATTCAACCTTGTAATATGAATTGCATTTAGCTAAGTAACTTATACACACTCAATGTTCAAGAAAAGTCTTCCAAATTAACCACATAATCAATTTAAAAAAGCAGAGATGAAGGTAAATATTTCAAATTGCCCTTAAGCCTTTTGGAAATATTTATGAAAAGACTGATACATTTAATAATTGCAAATATTGTCTATTTAGTTCAAAAGGTGCTCTAAAGATCTGTCAACCTTTTGTTTGCCTCATCTGAGATACTACAAAATGAACATATAATTAAACTACATTTCCTTTTATACCTCCTATCCGATTTTTCACTTTTTCCTAATTAAGATTAGATATGTCCTTGTTAATCCTAATTAGTAATGAGTTTCCATACTTATAACTTGAATAATTATTGAAGAGGAAAGGGAAAGATACATAATGTCATATATACACACAGAGGCACACATGCATGTATGTATACTTGTAAATATTGAAGATGAAAGGAAACATAGACTAATATACTATGCGTATGAAAAAAATGAGGTAATTTTAGGAATTCCTAATGTGCATCATGGGAAGATCAATGGAAGAAAGCAATGAATTGTAATTTATTCTGTTATAGTACATTAATCTATGGCCTTTTCAATCTTAACAAGATTTGTTTTAATGACTTAAAGGCTATAAATAACATTTGGTGATTAGGCAAAGAGTTGGCCTGGATACCTGTCTTGTCCCTAACGGTCACGGAAGTGGAAGCAGGAAGCAGAAATATTGACATCCAAAGCCAAAGTTTCCAAGGGCCAGTGAGTCTCATTGTGCCTTGAAACCATGTGAACGGCCACGGATCTGCAACAGAAAAAAAAAAATTTGAATAAAGTTTATTGTATGCAGCTCCTTTCAACATCTCCAGAAAATGTTACCAAAGCAAAACCAATCAACGTTACATCATATATCATCATATAACAGGAAATATGATTATATATGCAATGGTGTATCTCAATATATACCTTAATCTGTATGATAAGGGCTCTGAAAAGATTTTCAGATTAGTTTCTAGTTAGTTATTGATGTTGATACAGCTTCTTATCAGTTAAATTTTCTCTGCTTTTAAATTTTTTTAAGCAACTACACTTAAACTGACACTTTTTTATTTTTAAACATTGTGGTCAAATACACACAATATAAAATTTATGTTCATAACCATTTTTAAATACAAAGTTCAGTGGAATTAAATAAATTTATATTGCTGTGCAACCATCCCCGCCATCTGCAGAACTTTTTTCATTTTGCAAAACTGAAACTCTGTGCTCATTAAAAAATAATTTCCCATTTTCCTCTCCCCCAACTCCAAGCAGCCTTCATTCTACTTTCTTTCTCTATGATTTTGACTAATCTAGGTACTTCATATAAGTGGAATCATTCAGTATTTGTATCTGTATGACTTTATTTCACTTAACATATGTCCTAAAGGTTCATCATTTTGTACATTGTTTCAGAACTTCCTCCTCTTTTAAAGCTGAATAATATTTCATTGTATGTATATACCACATTTTGTCTGTTCATCCATCAATGGACATTTGGGTTGCTCCCATCTTTTGGCTATTGTGAATACTACTACTATGAACATGGATATACAAATATCTGTTTGAGTCCCTGCTTTCAATTCTTTTGGGTATATAGAATCAGAAGTAAAATTGCTAACAATACAATACAATACAATAATTCTATTTTTAATTTTCTGAGAAACCAGACTACTGTTTTCTATAACAGCTGCACGATTTTCATTCTTACTAACAATGCACAAGGGCTCCAATTTCTCCATATCCTAGATAATGCTTGCTATTTTGTCTTTTAAAAAATATATATATAGGCCGAGCGTGGTGGCTCATGCCTGTAATCCCAGCACTTTGGAAGGCCGAGGCGGGCGATCACGAGGTAAAGAGATTGAGACCATCCTGGCCAATATGGAGAAACCCCTTCTCTACTAAAAATATAAAAAAATTAGTCAGGCACGGTGGCGGGCACCTGTAGTCCCAGCTACTCGGAAGGCTGAGGCAGGAGAATCACTTGAACCTGGGAGGTGGAGGTTGCAGTGAGCTGAGATTGTGCCACTGAACTCCAGCCTGGGTGACAGAGCAACACTCCATCTCAAAAATAAATAAATAAATAAAAGAAATAAATATATATATATATAATTACTATCCTAATGGGTGTCAGATGGTATCTCACTGTGCATTTGATTTGCATCTCCCTAAGTATTAGTGATGTTGAACATCTTTTCAGGTGCTTACCAATCATTTGTGTATCTTCTTTGGAGACATGTCTATTCAACTCCTTTGCCCTTTGCCCTTTTATTTATTTATTTATTTTGGAGACAGAGTTTTGCTCTGTAGCCCAGGCTAGAGTGCAGTGGCGCGATCTCGGCTCACTGCAACCTCCACTTCCCAGGTCCTGGTTCAAGCAATTCTCCTGCCTCAGTCTCTCGAGTAGCTGGGATTACAGGCACTTGCCACTATGCCCAGCTAATTTTTGTATTTTTAGTAGAGATGGGGCCAGGATGGTCTTGAACTCCTGACCTCGTGATCTGCCCACCTTGGCCTCCCAAAGTGCTGGGATTACAGGCATGAGCCACCATGCCCAGCCTCCTTTGCCCATTTTTTTAATCCAGTTGTTTAAGTTGCCTATGCTTTTTGCATTGTATAATATACAATGATTCATATTATTAAAATATAATTATATTATTCACAAGTCTGTTTTTCCTTCTGAATATTAGTTTTACATATTTTGGCTTAATTGATGTCATGTTTTCTATAAACTTAACTATGTTGTTATTGGATTGAATAATCACTGTTACTGAAGTGATTACTGCACATGTGAAAAGTAATCTTGCCTTATGTTTATAAAGAAAAAATGAATACGTGCAACGCCTACCTCACCTGAGCCTGCCATTGACATCATATTTAATATTAATGTATTACCTCCAATAATTGTCTTTCTGAATGTACACTTCTACTCCTTTGGTACTGAAATAAAAGATTTAGTAAATAGGACCCCTGTAATGGAAAACTTAAACATCATTTAAATTAATTTTTTTAGTGAAGCAACTAATGTGGAAATAAATTGCAAGTGAAAATATAATGGCTCCCTCAGTGTATTTGGTAATTGCAGTATTATTAAAATAGCTATTCTAAGAGGTCTAAATATGCAAATAAATGTCATATCACTTGGGTGCCATCATTCAAAGTTTAATCAAGAGTCAAATATAAAAGAATTCATTATACCAGTGTCTAAATTCTATCAGTAGACACTCTGGAAAAAAACTAAAGCCACCATCTTCTTTGGTATTCTGTGTGTGCCAAATACCCTAAGATCAGCATTTTAAAATTAATTCAAGATTTCAGATCTTTCTGGGTGAATAGCTAGAAGTGGCAATTGCAATATTAAAACTGTATGTGTCATTCTAAATATCAAACAGCTGGTTTTAAGCCTTATTTCTTTTGAATTCTCTCATCTAGATATAGTCCTAATCCTCATATGACTTTGCAAAATTATCCTAGCTATTATTTCAAGTCAGTTGGTAACTGTTAAAGAAATTAATTTTATTTCAAAGGAAGGAACTCATAAATATTGATCTTATTTTTAGAGAAATCCATGGTTATATTTTTAACCAAAAGTGATTTCTATTGGTTGACAAATTAGTAGTTTGGCACAGTGGTGACAATCATGGCTTCATGTCTGGACTCTGCTACTTGTGGAAAAGCTATGTACCTTCTCTAAGCCCTAATTTATTCATCTTCAAATTGGAAATAATACTAGGAATAAATTATTTAATGCATGTGTATTATATAGGGCCTTAACTTAGTCAATATTCAAAAGGTACCTGATATTATAATTGTTTGCTGTACATATTAATAAACAATAATTGGAAAAATTTAGTTGTACCTGTCTCTTAAGCTTGAGGTTGATATTGATATTTGGACAATGGAGAAGTGTCAAAGCAGCCTAGAAATTTATGTTCACCGAAGCTTTGGTCCCTGTTAAAACAACAAAGAACCAGAGGGCTACAAAGCTATAAGCATATGAATTCGACCTTGACATCTCCTAATTACTTCCTTGAGCCACTTAGCTTCTATCTCATTTATCCAAAGTATTTGCAGAATAAGATTTATGGCTAGTTGACTAAATGTTCTAGTTATCGAAGAATTGCCATTCTACTACTCTACTGAAATGCCTCTCACCAAGTTCAGCAGGAACTTGAAAGAAGAATCCGTTTCTCTTCCCTTCTTCAATTCTTGGTGGCACCTCCAATAGCCGACAATTCTTTCCTTCCTGAAACTCTCTTTTATTGGCCTCCCTGATCTGACACTCTCTCAGATTTCCTTTTAAATATTCTCAGACCTTTCTTCTATCTGATTTCTTAATACTGGGATCTGTGAGCCCTCCTTTCCTCTCTTTATAATGTCTCCTTAGATGACGTCACCATTCTCTTGGCTTTAAATATTATCTGTAAGATGGTTAATCTAAAATTTACATCTCCCATCCAGTCCTCTTGACTGAACTTTAGACTGTGTGTCCAGCTGCCTATTCAAAATTCTCTCTTAGATGTCACACAGATATCTATAACTTAATACATCCAGATAAATTCCTGATTTCCAACCACAAATTGTTCTTCTCATGCTCTTCCCAGTCTCAGTAATTACTACCCATCAAAATGATCAAACCAGAAACCCAAGGACCCCACTGATTCTTCTGTCTTCCTTATCCCCATCTCCTACTTCCAAACCATCAACAAGTCATGTCAGTGTTACCCCAAACACATCTCACATCCACTTATTTCTCTTATTTCTCTGCCACTATCCCAGTTCAGATCACCCTGGTCTAGACCCCTCAACAGCTTCCAATTAATTACTGAATTCATTCATTACTGAATTCTGACCACAGTTATTCTCTACATAGCAGTAGAGAACTTTTCTTAAAATGAGAGTTGGTTCATGTCACTTCCTTGCTTCAAGCTTTTTAATGGCTTCCCATTGTACTTTGAATGTAGTCCAAAAGCTGTTCTACAGCCTAGAAGTCCCAAATAACCAGGCCCCTAACCACATCTCCAGCCTCATATGGTACCATTCTTTCCAGTGATGAAATTGCCAGGCTGTTTTCAACCTCAAGGTTTTTGTGTATGTTATTTCCTCATCCTGGAACATTCTGTGTTCATCCTTCAGTTTTCAATTTAAATGTTACTATGCGCAAAAGCCCTTACCTGACCAAGAAGCACATTGGTCTCTAGCTTAGACATTATTTTTTCTGTATACGTATGTTTATTGCTCCCCACTCAATTCTAAGTTCCATGAGAGCAGGGACTATATCTGTCTTGTCCATCACTGTATCCTAGGTGCCTTGCACAGTACTTGGAAAATCAGAGACTCAATAAATATTTGTTGAATTTTTAAAAAGTAAGAGACTGCCAATTTACAAATCTTGAGATACAGTGAAATATACTTATTTTGGAATCTGTAGTGATAATTCAATATTTAAAAATAATTCTTAAGGCATTACAAGATCTTATAATCTTTCAAGGGTCATTATCATGAATATTATTTCTCTTTGCACACTTCTTTTTTTTTTATTTTTTTTGAGACAGAGTCTCGCTCTGTTGCCCAGGCTGGAGTGCAGTGGTGCGATCTCGGCTCACTGCAAGCTCCGCCTCCTGGGTTCACACCATTCTCCTGCCTCAGCCTCCCAAGTAGCTGGGACTACAGGCACCCACCACCATGCCCGGCTAATTTTTTGTATTTTTAGTAGAGATGGGGTTTCACCGTGTTAGCTAGGATGGTCTCGATCTCCTGACCTTGTGATCCGCCTGCCTTGGCCTCCCAAAGTGCTGGGATTACAGGTGTGAGCCACCACACCCAGCCTCTCTGCACATTTCTAAAATGTGTTCGCTATTTGAGGGTTCTATTATTCAGATCCTGATAAAATGGAAGTGTAGCCCATTCAGCTAGGAACATTTGAAAAACTTTTCATCAAGCTCTCAAAATAAATCCTTGTATATGTTTTAAAAACAAATTGTTCAGATTGTAAACCTTGCTGGAGGCACCGGTAGGTTGACCTCAACAAAACTGACAAGGGCAAAGTTTGCCTTGTGTCTTTCTGAACCTCTCCTTTTCCTGACCAGAAACCTCTCACCATTCCCTGACACCTGCGGTTCTCAGGCTTCTTCTTGATGCTCTGAACACATCTCTGGTACCTTCCCTGGATTTCTCAATTATTGGCTTTGTCCACAACCTCCTTGCTCATCAAAACTTGCCACATTTCCTTCCTGTCCCCACAGGTCCCAGCTAGGTGATTATCAAGATAGATTTACAAATGAACCAAGCCAATGTTGTCAGATTTTAATGTGTTGCTCCTCCCAGATAAAAGTTAAGCTATAATATAGATCTTTAATGCTTTCTCAATGGAGTGGCTAATGAAGAACCTCAAGCTAATATATGTGGATCCTGAGGTTTCTTAAGGCCCTCAAATTTTTTTCTCAAACTTGTCCAAAGATGGCTCACAGTACATATTAAGAAGGCTATGGAGAATATTGGTGCTATGATTTGAATGTGTTGCCCAAATTTCCTGTGTTAGAAACTTAATCCCCAATGTCACAGTATTAAGAGGTGGGGTCTTTAAGGCATTGGGTTAATTATTATGAGGGTGGGTACAGGGCAAGAGGTCTGCATACCATATGTTTAAATATTTGAAAGTTAAAATAAAGCTAATAACACTCATAAAAAATAATATGCTTTCTCATTTTTCTTCAGCAAATACCTTCATAAAGTCTTGAAAGTCCATGTCAAGTTAGAATGTAACAGAGCAGGTGATATGGGATGAGTTGGCCTCTGGCCTAAACCAAAGTTCATCCCTCATTTTTTTTCTTTCTTGGGTCCATCTGCAGCTTGAAAAGCCTCACACACGCATATGTAAATATGCCAGTAAGTCAAAGTTGTGTCCATAATGCCTGCAAACAGCTAACTCTTGACCATTCCTTGGGCCTAGGAGTGTTTACACCTGTGGTCTTTCCCTGGGAAGATGGACCCAACGACAGGGTCTGTTAGATGCTGCGGGGGATTAAGGATCGTTTTTTTTTTTCAGGGAATTTCAGGATCTTGATTATTCAGAGACTGGTCTAGAAGCTCAGGTTTTAGGTGGGCAGGTCCCCTTAGCTCTGTAAACTCCTAACTCTGAGAGCGGGTGCACATCCAGAGCAAGACTATAGTGGGGTGTTCTAAAATGTAGGGTCCAGAGCAGGCCTAATGTTGGTACTGAAGACAGGTATTATATCCGCATATTACACATAAAAAACACTAACGCTCATAGAATAATCCCAAAGCCTGGGATTCAAGTCCAAGTCTGCCTGACTAAAATGCTTTTACTGCTATATCATAATGTTTACTCTCAGGATGTGGGACAGACATATCACATTCCTACATGCATTCTCTTAAATTTTCAGCTATTTCTATCAAGATTCTGGCCAGACCCCAGAGTTCCCCAGTGCTACAAAGCACCAAAATCACAATGGTGAGTGTGCCCAGCACTGGCAGTCTTGAGTAGACAACATTGATGGAGCCTATAAAGTCTTAAAATCATTCAGACAGCCGTCCCTGTAATATATTTCTTATGGCAACAAAAAGATAATAAGTGGCTGAAGGCCTAGCCCTAACCTTTACCCCATTCCATTATTCTCACCATCATTTGCCATATGGAATAATTTTGGGTACCAGCTGGGTAAGTGAATTTTAAAACGCCATTGTCCCTTCAACTTTCTTAATCTAGCTCTTGAAATCATTAAGGCACCTATCGAAACCAAAGATATTTGAATAAGGATATAGATTTTTTTAAGTTCTTATTAATCTTTATTTGTATATAGAAAACACAAAATGAATAGAGAGGGACATTAAGAAACCTTAATCATTACTCATTACCATTAATCATAGGCATTAAGAAACCTCATCCTATCAATAGATATTCTATTGATATCTATTGATATCCTATTAATACCTGGCCTCTAGATAGCCTATTGATACCTATTGATAGGATGAGGTTCCACTATGTAACAATCACTGGGGATAAATCAGTGAGCCAAATAGGGAAAGTCCATTGTACCACTCTGGTCACAGAGCTCAAAAGTAAACAAACATCATGTTTTCTTTGAGAGACACTAAAGAGTTAAAATGAAAAACAAAAAACAAACAAAAAAACAAACAAAAAACAAAGAATAACATGTACAGCCAGGCATGGTGGCTCACGCCTGTAATCCCAGCACTTTGGGAGGCCAAGGCAGGCAGATTGCCTGATGTCAGGAGTTCGAGACAAGTCTGGCCAACATGGTGAAAACCCGTCTCTACCAAAAATACAAAAATTAGCCAGGTGTGGTGACAGGCACCTGTAGTCCCAGCTACTCAGGAGGCTGAGGCAGGAGAATCACTTGAACCTGGGAGGCGGAGGTTGCAGTGAGCCGAAAGATCACAGCACTGCACTCCAGCCTGGGCGACAGAGCAAGACTCCGTTTCAAAAAAAAAAAAAAAAAAAAAAATGGTGGACTTGCTAAATAAGATGGTCAGGAGCCTCTCAGCACCAGTTTTTGAGTGAGCCAAATCAAATCTGCCTGTGAAACATTAACATTTTTACTGTTAAGCCATCTAACAATTTAAAGTGTTCATTGTACATCTTTGAAACTTGGTGTTAGGTAAAAGGTCAGAGTGTTAAAGCCAACACCAAAATAGAAAATAATATGGAAAGGAACCATGAAAAAAGAGAGAAAGAGGAGGAAATAGAAAGAGAACACTTATTTGCTTTACATACGTTGTTACATTTAATGTACATGGCATCTCAACTCTCAAAAAAGTAGATTTAATTTGTTAAATGACTCAAAGAACTCATGTTTTCAGAGCATTTATTATAAAGGGAAATAATGTGTGACTGTGTAGGTTGATTTTTAAATCAAAACTTCTTGACCACCATCCAGTATGCCTATACATACGTAACTCCACCAGGAAAATCTGGTCATACTGTTATGAAGTGACACATTGTGTAAATAAGCAAAAACAACAGGTGTTACACATCTGTTCTTTCACCAATCTTTAGAATCTGTCTTTAGTGAAGCTATAGTAGAGTCTGTAAACTATTAGAGAAAACCAGCTGAAGAGCCAAGCCTATAGAGTAAAAAATTCAAGCCAATAATCAGGCAAAATATCCCTAAGAGTTTACGACTAGGTCTAGCATTATTCCTTAGTTTTATCAGTGGCTGGAGTAATTAAATTGAAGTAAGTTTGCAGATGTCTTTTGCAATTTAGGCAAAGTTTCTGCCCTCATTATATTCTACAGAAACCTCATGACCTACACATTTTAATTACAGGCATCATCATTAATTTAGGAACTCAAGTTAAAAATTTCAAAATCATCTTCAATTTATTCACCCTCACCCCATATCAAATCTCTGTCAAAGTCTATCAAATCTATTTGTAAACGTCTTTTGAATCCATACCAACTTTCTCATCCTCGCTGAAACTGCCTTAGTTCACGTTTTTACCATTCCTAATCTGGAAAATTGCAATAGACTCCTAACTGGATTCCTTTTCTCCATCTTGTTCCCTTTATTTCCACCTCCCTACTTCTCAAGAATTCTATTTCTAAAACAAAGACCTAGTCACTTAACTGCCCTGCTCAAAGTTTTCTGGTGGCTCTTCATTGCCCACTCCAAAGTGAGGCACTCAAGGCTCTTTTACAGTGGGGCCTCAACTCATCTGTCCAACCACCTGTCCTGCTACCTCCTTCCAAACACTCTCCGCCATCAAATTATTAACAATTCACAGGTTTCTGCATGTGCTTTTTTGGCTACTGGAAAGTCCTTCCAATCCTCTCCGATCTGGAAAACACTTAGTCTGCCTTCAACGTGTAGCTCAAATGCCATGTCCTCTGTGAAGTCTGTGAGAATCATACCAGGGAGAGTTCACTACTCACTGTCCTGTGATTCAACAGAGCTCAATACCCACTTATGCTTCTGCACACTTTATACTGCACTGCTATAACTCCTTTGCATTCTTTCTCTTCCCTATATTGAACATCTTGGAGAAAACAGATTGTATTTTATTTATCTGTGTCTTCTTTAAACTTGACATTTAGTAGGTATTCATGGGATCAATCTGTAGAATGATACAGTCTAAGGCAATACACTTGGACTAAAAATAAACAAATCAAAGGTTGGGAACCATTAAGTAATATAGACAGGTATGGGCTTAACATCTGTAGAATGATGGGCATAAAGAAAAGAATGATGGAGAAATAGAGTAAAAATTACTAAAAGAAAGCTCAGTGAACATAATTTCAGTTACTTAGTGGGACAAAAAAATAGTACTATTGAAGTTGCTCTCTGCCTCCACAGAAAGCATACTCCCTAGTTCCTAATGTTTGTACTACTTTGAAATATGTCCAACTCTATTACATTTCCTCAGTTTTGTTATTACTTCTGTTACTTCCAAACTAGTGTCTACATTCCAGAGGGTCTCAAACCTGGGATTCCCTTTGAGCACACTTAACCTATTCTCTCCATTCTCATCAACTTGTCTGTTTTACCGACTCACTTCTCTGAACTATGATTTGTTTCCATCAACTTTTCCGGTACCATTCTCAATTTCAACCATCACAACTGACCTACATTTTTTTCTGATTACAATTCTCTTGCTCTGTTGTGTTCCACAGATATATCTATATCAATGATCCAATATCATCTTAAATTAATATATAATATATGGCCGTATTTTCAAATTCATCCTTTTTCCCATTTTTTTTCAATTTGAAGGGCTCTACTGGTTTTCTGATCTAATAATCTTAAAATTTCACAATTACTTTTGATTTCTCTTAAAAAGAGGAGGTCAGAAATCCTTTGTGCTTCATAACGTATGCATAGATAAGAGAGGCCTAATAGTCCACTCTGCATACATCATATTTCTATCGAATTTAATATGCAACTTGCTCACCTGATTATTTTATTATTGGCTTACAAAATAACACCCTAAAAAGCCTATTGCTTCTTAGCCAGTCCTTTCCAATCTCTCCTTGGCAGGTGCTATCTGCTCTACTCATCTCAGATTTCACCCCGCTTGGATTTTCTGTCTTACCAGGCACATGACTGTTTGCTCCTACCTCTAAGCCTTCACACATGCAATTTCTTCTGGCTGGAATGCCCTCCCTGCTGGATCTCTTCTGCTAAGCTAGTTATTCTCTGCCTGTTTAAGATGTACATCCTCAATGTGGCCTGCCTCAGATGACTCAATTCTGGTCCTATTCATTCTGGGTTTTTTTTTTTTCCAGCATCTTTTCAGGGTTATATATTAGCATATCTATAGCCCTACTTCCTTGCATTTCAGTTTATTTTTCATACTTCAATTGAATTTTCATTTGTGATGCCTCTTAGTCACACTACCATGGTTTCTAACTTCATATCTTCTTCCGCCTCTAGAACCATTGACTCTGTGTACCCACATTGGCATTTCTGCCTGCTGGAGAAAATAAACTAAAATTGCAGCAGGAGAGATTAAACTGGAGGACCAGAAAGTAGATGGAAATTTTCCATTTTTGGAAAATACCAACAGTTCCCATCTGTTTTGGATGGTTTTCTAGGATGAGAATGATTCAGATATAGAGATGATGTCCCAATTGTGGTAATAATCACATTTGGGTTTCTTTCACCTTTTTGCTCTTTCTTAGTCCTGTCCATTTCAGTTTCAGGTTCACTTTCCTGCTCTTTTGCCATACTGTCTCCCTCCTTTCCCAGGAAACCCCATTTAGGTCCCTTAGCACTTAGAGAGCTCAGGTAGGACAAAACCTAACGGAAGCACCTGACAGTTACTTTCTCCACTTTCTATCCCCTAGAGAGAGCATAAATTTTCTGCCTCTGGGGGTCACCCTCCTCTTTTTCATCCTGAAGAGATATTCCTACACAAAAACCCTGTCAGCCCTCCTCAGGAAGGGGCATTTATGCATGTTTTTCACCACTGGAATACCTAAATATCTCAGCTTTGCAGGCCCATATCAAAGATCTCTCTACTTAGAGAGGGTCCTGCAAGTTTCCCACCACTCAAAAACAAGGAGATGCCAAGACCCCACATACGAGCAGGGGCTCTTTTCTTTCTTTTTTTTTTTTCCCTTTAGTCTCCTAAAGAATTATAGCAGTGTTTGATTCGGGCAGAGGGGGAGGCATTGGTGTTCTCTCCTTTTTGGGGAGGGGTGGTGGTTGAAAATAGATACTGGTGTGCGTTTGTTTCATCTCCTCCATTAACAGGCAGATGTAAATTCCCCTACAGCAGAGTGATTATCCTCACATCTTAATCCTCCTCAGACTTATCCAAGCAGAAGATGGGACTGAGTCGTCTTGGAATTGGGGATTGAGGGAGGTGGCGCAATTTATTTCCCTTACTCTTCCATCTCCCAATCTCAAGCTGTGGCCGATGATCACTCTCTTGCCTCTATTCACGGATTGTTCTATTAAAACTACTTATTATCAGCATTCTGGGCCCTCCTCTTTTTGCTCTCCAGCCCACTGTCCCCTGAGGCTGACAAGGCACGCTGGTCCCCTCTGCCTCTTCACCTTCTCATCAAATGAAGCTCCTCGGGGGCTCCTGTGGCACCCGCCTGTCCCCCAGCTCCTCTGCCCACCCTCTTGCCGGCTTCCCGCTCCCTCCGTAACCTCTAAGGGGGTTCGCTTACGCGCCCGCCTGCTCTCGGGGAGCTAGCGTGCCCGACGGCGTGCTTGGTTCCGGGCCAACAAACTTCCTCGCGACCCTGCAGCGCCCTAGCTGGGCCGCCCGGCGCCGCCTCCTGGTTCTCGGCCGCTGTGGCTGCGGCGCCGGCGCGCTCTCGGCGGTGGCCTCGGGACTCTGACAGCGGAGGCGGCAGAGGCTGGGGCCGCGTCTTCCTCGCGCCGCGACTGGGACGTTCCGGCGGCGGCGGCGGTGGCTGCAGGGAGGACTGCGGGGACGGCGGCGGCGCTGTGGCCGACCGCGCTGCGCATGCTGCAGGGTAATTAAGGAACAGGGCCGGACGCTCCGGAACGTGGTGGGGCTGGAGTCCGGGAATCCCCGCCCGCGCCCGCGCCGCCCCCCAGAAGCCGCACTTGGGAAAAACACCCACATGTGGAGTAGGTAACCCCGGGCCGGAGGGCACCGCACCGGAACCCCGCGTCTCTTAGCTTACGCCGCTTAACTGGCTGCCTCGCTTCCAGGGCTAACACCGTCAAAAAAAAAAAAAAAAAGCGCTCTAACGGCATGAATTGATAGTGAGTTTGTTTTACTCCTTTAACCCCCCATTTTTTTTGTAATGTATTTGATGTCTGTCCCTACCCGCATCAGCAGTGCTCCATAGTTCCGCTTCACAGACACACATAGCCAGAAAAACCACCTAGAACTTAGGTGTAACGCATGAAGCCTGCATCATGTGAACATAGGAACACGAACTACATGGTATGTACCACATGAGAGTGGCCGTCTCCTGCCAAACGTTTTTGGTCCCATCCTTAAGGCCCCTATGGAAACGTATGCAGGTGTGCATTATTTATCCACCTAAACATATTTCCATGTGTAGCACAGTTTTTACATTTTCTTGAAAAGCAGATGCACACAGATAACTAGGAACACGAGCAGATGACATAGCCCGGGCATGTGTGAGAGGGCAAGTGCAGAGCCGGTCGCAAAGCCGCGCAGCTTACCTTGAATTCGTATTTGAGCCCCTCAGAGGCGCAGTGGAGTCCGGACAGGGCTGCGGCACCGCCGAGGAGTGAGCTCCCTGCGAGTGGGGAAGGGGGACGCATCTCTGCCCTTATTAGTCTCTCCCAGTGTGACCCTCCCACTCCGCGAGGACAGAGGACTCTGCAAGAAGGTACTCAGCCAACTCAGGCACAGGTTTTCTTTAATGACAGCGATGTCGCCTTAGAGCTGGGAGTAATGCCTTTCAGGTTTATGTTTTACTAGCAGTTTCACAGATAAAATGACGGTTGGATGCAAATGCCTAGAGTTTCTCACTTCTGATCATGAAGTGTCTTCAAAGTATTATTGTATGTGGCAAACGTTCACGAGTAGGTAATTGGCTTTTTAACGGTTGAGCTAAGAAAATATATCATTTATGTTTCATTTTTTCACTTTTATGTCAAGAGTTTATATAAAGTTGATTAAGGCAGTCTGCCCACCTTCTAATCACGCTCATATGTAAACGTTTGTGTGGCTTGGTTTTTCTCAGTGTCCACAGAAGTATTTTGTGATTTTAAATACATCTTTCCATGGGTTGGTGCTTCCAATCTTGGCTTTTGAACTCTTTTGGGATCCCTTTGAATATGTGAAAGTGTCATTTTCCTGCAGATTTCTGTGTAGGTGCATGTATGTGTGTGTAGAGAGAGTATATATATATTTGTAGGCATATATAGTAGGTTTATATACATATATAGGAGGTATATATGGATACTTGTAGGCATATATATTTGTAGGTATATATACATATATAGTAAATTTATATGTATACATATAGTGTATGCATATGTATGTGTATATATGAAAAACAGAATGATTTATAGAATTCAGAAGAGTAAACCAGGCATTAGAAAACAGATAAACTGGTTTTACATTTTTATTTCAGTATTGCCACAGTGGGAGAAATAGGATAAATTATATTATTGATCCACAATGGTGAAAATCATCAAGCTTAAAAGTTACCTTAGAACCATAGAAATACACTTCACATATCAGAGCTCACAGATCAAGGAATAAATAAAATCAGGCAGGCAAAAAATAAAGATGTTAAGAAAAATGTTAAAAGATAGCTCCTTTCCACTTCATTGGAGTGAAACCATTAAAGTATCACTTGTGATTTTTAAACTTCTCTCTCAACCTAATCAAGATACCTGCAGTTTTAGAGTTCGGCATTCATGGTGATGCAAACCATGTTTCTATGTCAGGATTTAAAACCACTTGATACATTTCCTTCTCATATGATTTTCATCACTAATTTTTGGCTGACTGTGGAAAGAGGCCAAGGAGGGAGGATATTGCATGAGTCACGCTACTCAAATGGCCATTTGAAAAACATGATTCACAAACCTTCATTAGACTTTTGGTGATCAGTCTCTATTTTTTTGAAGTATTATCCCATTTGATTTTTTTCTTTCTCTAAGCAATTTTACTTTATATACCTTGCCATCACTAATGAATTGAACTAAGAGCATCCAGGCTTTATTTCTTTGTCAGACTATTAAATTCACCTTATTTACACTTAATTGAAACTATTTAAAGTAATGCTTTAAAACTACCTAAAAGGAAGTCCACAATTTTGTCTCTAATTTTTGTTTTAATACAAGTAAATCAAGTTTATCTTAGAATTATTTTCTTAAACATTTTAATAATTTCATAATTGTTAAGATATTTGAGAGAGCTAAACACTTATATTTTTGTTTATATTTCAAAATGGCCCTTTTCTTATTTCTAATATTGACCCAAGCAAGATTTTGGAAGAAAGTGAAAAATGAATAAATAAAACTTCAAATTATTATTATCTGTTGCTTATTCTGTTTCTAGATACACCAACATCCCCAGGGCAACAAATATTTCTCTATTTTTCTTTCAGGAAAGGGTTTGAATCTAGGCTGGTTTCATGATTACAAACTATTGTATACCTAGGGTTTGCTTCTTTAGCCAGTTCTTTTTATTGAATTTTAAAGTGACTTCAATTAGGAAGAACCTTTAGCCAAACACCTTTTATTTATCTAAGCCAAATACAATTATAAATGATCCGGTTTTCTTCTTGCTTCTGAAGCTACTGCTGGTAAACAAACATCTGAAAATATCAGGGGAATCTGACAGCACTCTAAGTTTTAATAAACAGCTTGCAGCACTTCTAACACCAAGTTCATCTGTGTGCACGTATGTACTTAAAAAATTTAACAGATTTAAAAAACGAACTTCTTTCAACATTTATGCCTAAAGGAAGATACAATTAAATGTTTTTATGTCATGTGAGGGATAAATTCCATTGAAAACATTTTAAAAAACTGTTCCATATTTGTAATGCCCCACTGATATAAATTTAACAATTTACAATGATCATTGTACCATTTTTTATAATTTGGATTTAATACATTTTTAAAATGTGTTTCTCCTAACCCTTAGTTGTCCATCTCGTCTACTTTATGTCTATTTCTTTTTTCCTTTTTTCTATACTTCTGTACTCCCAGTCATGTTGCTCTTGTTCCCTTTTGTAATGTCTTTCACTTTTCTCCCCTTTCATAGTTTCCATTTTTCAGGAAGAAAGAATTTCACCATTGCCCCCAGCTAACTTCTCAGTTACCAAACCATAAGAGTGTTCATTCTTTATTGAATTTATGGGGCACAGCTATACATGACTCCCTTACATATCCCATGGAAATACTTCAATGCGTCAATAGTGGATGAACAGACGTTACTGTTAACTGTAATTACCAAATCTGACTTGTCATCCCTAGCATGCACTTCCCATTATATTCCTTTTTAGGCCAGCACTATGTATGATATTCTTAAGGGTAAAAAGAAAGTAGTTATATCAATTCTAAATTCTGAGTAATTGCCAAAAGTAAATTAGGACATCTTTTTATTTTAAATGCTGTGTTTACCGTTGCTTCTGAAAATAATTCTCTTCATAGAGAAAATAATATTCCACTGGTTGTTTTTAGGTTTGCTTCCCTTCCTAGAAGACATTCTAGCTCATGACATTTACTCAGTTTAGAAATGAAAGGAAGAGGCGATCATAATGTGACTTTCACTTAGTTTATTAGACTCTTCCTAGGGATCAGTGACTCTGAAAGGAAATATGGTAAAAGACAAATGACTGGGGAAAATGTTGGTTAATATACATCCAGTTCTGAAAAATCATTTGAGAGACAGAGTGAAAGAGAGAGAAAGAAATACCCCAATAGAAAAATAGGCCAAAAAGCAAAGAGGCAGTTTACAAAGGAAATAGAAAAGGTCAATACATTTATGAAAAATATTCAATTTAATTAGTATTCAAAGAAATGCACATTTATAAAGGAACTATTTTCCCCTACCCATTCTGCCAAGATTAATATTGCTGATTAGACGTGGTGTTACTATAAGCGAAGAGCATTCTCAACAATTCCAGGAACATATAATAGTTCAGTGTTTCTAAAGGGCAAATTAGCCATGTTTATTAAAAGCGTTAAAAAAAATGCACATAGACTGCATCATAAACTACCCTAAAACAGTGACTGTGGTTACTTATAGTTTGAGATTTTGAGAATTATGATTTTTTCTTTTTGCTTATATGTAATGTGTAAAGTTTCTGCAGTGAACATGTGTTACTGTTGTAATAAAAATATAACAAACTTGAAAAAATGCGATGTTTTATCTCCAACAAATTAGTAAAGCAGTGGTATTAAGAGAGCCGAGAAATTGGCCTTTTAAATAAGATTTTCAATCATTTTCAACAAGAATCTTCCAGGTAAAAATTAGTATGTAATTTAAGCCATTTAAACTGAGTCTAGTGATTTCACTAGGAAGCAGATGTTAATTAAATTGTTTATTCATTCAACATATATTTTTGAATGCTTCTTAAACCGACCACTGCACAGTATACAAAGATACATTGAACGTGGGCCCCACTGTCTGGAGTTTAACATTCAGAAAAAAAAGGAAGAAGAAGACATGTATAAATACGTAATAATAATAGGATATGAACATGCAAAATGCAATAAACAAAGTAGTTATAAAGCTCTAACTGAGTTCTAAGGTGGAGGGACTATGTTCAAACGTGGAAGCATTGGAATCAAAAAATTTCAGTGGACAAAATCTATCCATTTGTTGTTAGTCTAAATAAATATACTTACAAATAATTATAGAATCATAGTACAGAGAAGGGCATTGTAACTAAATAATTATGAAATTATGGGTTTACTGTTTCTTTAATAAATGTTTGTTGAAAGAATCCACAGAGAACAAGGCTACTTCTTATTCAGATGAAGAACATGAGATTTCTTATTTCCTGCTGAATTAAAACCTTTTGCCAAATTCAGAGTCCTAAACAGTGTCACCCAATCTACTCTTATCAGTTCCCTTAAATGTACATTTTGCCACAACCAGATTTAGTGACTTGTAACCGCAGAATGAGCATGTCTCAGCGTATTCATGTTGCTGCCTCCCACTGAAATGCAAAGTGGCTTTGGGAATTCTGCCAGTCATTCAAGGCTTACTTCAGGTGTTAGCTATAAGATGATTCCTTTCCTGCCCTCCTCCCATCAGACAAACCCTCCTCTGCCTCTGAACAGCACAGAGCACAATTTGTGCCTCTTTAATGATGATCTACATTCCCCGGCCTTGTTTCAGAAATATTTTTGTACTGCATCCTCTGACTTAATTGTAAGCTCCTTGAGGACTGGAATTGGGTCCTCTCATTTTTAATAATACCCGGAGCATCAAGTATGATGAATTAATTCTGCTTAATATAGTCTTCAAATATTTGTTGAAATGAAACCTGTAGAGGTTAAATAATCAAGGACATAAAATTTTCTAATGACGAAGTATGGACTGAGTCTTACAGTTTGTCTGGAAAAAATGATGGGTTCCTTGTTGTGTTATATCTAAGGGAATTATTCTACTGATAAAAGAATCACAGGAAAAAATGTTCTCACCTATAAAAGACTCCCAGAGCAGGAACTCTGAGGACAGCAACACAGGAAGACAAGACTCTCATCAATTGAAAACATCCTCATCATATATTCTCTTCATTCCTTTACCAAACTTAAGGTAAATTTACACTATCAGTAATAGAGCACAACCCTGTTTAATCTCTTATTATTATTAGACCATGAAAAATGATCTAACTCCTAAATGTTTTTAAACAACCAATTCTATCTACAACATTTTTAAAAAGAATAATGCAACATTGGCGTATCATAAATGATCACTTGGCTCATATGTTATGTAAAGTTTATGTCTATAAAATTGAGCTTCTCTTTGTTGTAACTTTTTACTGGAACATTTATTTTCAATTTAGAACCGATTTAGCTTATTCCATGATTCTCATAGAATCATTTTGTAAAAATCCCCTTGTGCTAGCCTGGGCACAGTGCTAACTTCTTTACATAGTTCATCTTTTTTAACTCCTTCAGTAATTTTGTTGTCCTATTTTTACAGTACAATAAGGCTATGAACAAATCTCTGATGTAGCCAGGATTTGCACCCAGATCTGTCTCATTCCAAAGTTCAGAGTCACATTCACTATGCTCTAGTACCTAGTCTTCAATCACTTCTTTAACAAATGTTCTGCAAGCACCTATTTGCAATCCAGAGCTACAACACCCAAAAGAACAGCTCAGTGGGTGCTCAAGCAGAGCAGAGGCCTCAAAGTTACCTGGCAAAGTTACATCATTCCTCTTATAAGATATTACAAAAAAGAAAAATACGTATACAACAAGAACCAATTTTAATGAAAAGAAAACCATAAATGAATTAATTGGATCTAGAATTTCTTTATTCATATGCTGCAACATGCTTTAGTCTTTGTTGGCTTAAAAGAGAAAAAATGACAACATAGCAGACTAGGCAAAGAGCTTTTCGTAGTTGACTATTCAACTAAGGCAAAATAAGATAAATTGGACTTGACTCTGTTCTTTATCAAAGGTGACAGATTTACCTGTGTTTTTGATATTTGAGGACATTCTTGCTGTCAAATTATTTTACCAGAAACCCATTTTTACCCATTTGAAATGTAAACTTCTATGTTTATAAAACCCCTTTTAAAGTAATTACGAGAAGTCATAAAACATAGCTAGTAAAGGAAATAATAATAGTTCATAAATCTATACTTCTTTTAAATCACTTCAGATGTTAACCAAAAAGTACAGAATTGTTTTCCACACAGAGCTGTTTTATTTTTAATAAAAACCTCATAATAACTTCTAGTGCTTCAGATAGCAACATTAAAATCTCTTAAGTCCACTATCTTTTATCCAAAGATTTGCTTGCATTGGCTGCCAGACAATGGCTCTCATCCTAATCCTATCCCTAATCGTGGTTACTGCTCAGCTGGTTCTGCTGCGGTGCCATCACTCAGTTTTGGCCCCAGCCCTTGGGATGCTAGCTGCATCCGGAGCCAGCTGCCATCTGAGGCAGAACACTATGATATGAGTGCTTTTTGTCCTTCAAAATTTGTATGTTCAAATCCTAACCCTCAAGGTGATAGTATTAGGAGGTGAGGCTTTTGGGAAGTAATCAGGTCATGAGGGCAGAGACCTCACAAATAGGATTAGTGCCCTTATAAAAAAGGACCTGGAGAGGCCCTCTCCCTTTCCACTAAGTGAGGACATAGCAAGGAGATAGACATCTATGGGGAAGTAGACTCTCACCAGACACTGAATCTGCTTTGATCTTGGACTTCCCAGCCCCTAGAACTATGAGCATTAAGTTTCTGTTGTTTACCCAGTTTATGGTTTTATGTTATAGCTGCTCAAATGGACTAAGATACAAAGGAAAGACCTGTTTTCTCCATCAATGTCAGTCTGATGGTGGTTTCTTTTAGAATGACAGTTGCATAGAAGGTAACAAATGGTATTCTCAGACAGTATTCAGCTTTTTTCACCCACATATCATTAGCTACTGCAGCATAATAACCTATTCCAAAACTCAGTAGCTGAAAATAATAACCATTTGTTATTGCTCACAAGTCTGCTGGTTGAAATTCATCTGGTCTAGGCTGGGCTTGGCTGATCTCAGCTAGGTTCTCTCATGTGTCTGCCACCAGCTGGCAGGGCATAAGAGTATTGGCTGGTAGGAAGGTGGATTACTTGGAAAAGCCATCTCTCCTCCATATGATCTCTCATCCTCTAACAGACTAGCCTGGTCCAAGAGATCCCAGGGGTTTAAGACAGAATGAAAGCTCATAAGGCCTTTTGAGCTTGGGCTCAGAACTGACACACAATCACTTCTACCAAATTTTATTGGCTGAAGCAAGTCACAGGCCAGGTAAGAGTCAAAACTCCATCCCTTGATGGGACAAGCTTCGAAGTTACATTGCATAGAGCACAGATATAAGAGGGTGATGAATTGGGGGCATTGTAATTTTCTGTGGTTAGGAAGATGCACAAAGGGCATCTTCATTCAGCTCCCACCAGTGGTATGTCCTATATCCTCTACTTAATGTCTCTTGCCTCCAGAAATCCCACTAAGCAACTACCAGTTCAGCTCTACAAGTCCTATCCCTTAGCTAATGCCAGTCACTTTCACATGAGATCATGGAAACTGAAGAGATCCTCTACTTCATCCTTTCCCAGAAATGTGGAGAACTGGGATGTGGACATCCCTAACCTTTCCTTCTTAGAAAACCTAAACTGTAGTTTCCACTTGCCCTGCAGGCATCCCTCCTTCAGAAATTTCAAGGGAAGAAGTGAGTCCTATCATTAGGTTTCAGAAACACAAGCCCCAGGGGAGAGAGATCCGATACCCCAAATGTGGTGAGAAGGACTCTTTGGCTTATCTTCAATCCTTTCTCTCCTAGAAGAACTCCTTTTCTTTTGCAGTTTCCACTGATTTGCTGGTGACAATGACTATTAAGCCAGTTTAGTCTTCTTTAGACCTTGAGGGGCCTGAGAGAGGAAGTTACCAGAACTGTTTGCACCTAGCCATTACAAATTTAGTGTCAAAAACAAAACAAAACAAAACAAAACAAAAACCTGTTAGGTGTCTCTACAATAATGTGGTGTGATTAAAAGTTTCCGGCGGAGGTTGTAAGGGACAACTTTAGATGGAATAGCTGTAGAAGGCCTCTCAAAGTGGTGATATTTCAGCTGAAACCTGAATGCCAGAAAGGAGCCAGCCCTGAAAAGATCAGAGGAAGGTTAAGCAGACCTGGGTCTGTCCAATGACTATAGAAATGGCTTCATGCCTAGAAGCAGGTAAGCAAAAGAGGTCATGGTAAAGATAAAGGATGATATAGTCTGCAGCTGAATCCTGCAGGGCCTTTTAGATTTCAGTGAATTGTGTATTTTGTACACTAACAAGGTAAGAATGTATTGGAGGGTTTGAGCAGGGGAATTATATAAACTGAATTTTGTTTTAAAAAGATCACAGCCTTCTCTATGGAGAATAGGTTGTAGCAAGGCAAGAATACATATAAAGAGACCATTTCTGAAGCTGTTGTACCCAGGCGAGAGATGATGATGGCTACAATGAGGATGATATTTGTAGAAGATAAAAAGTAAACAAATTCAAGACACATTTTAGAGGTAGACTTGAAAAGACTCACTGAAGGGCTGGATGTAAGGGCTGAAGGAAACAGAGGCATAGAACAAACCTATATCTCAAGGATACAATAGACTTT
This sequence comes from Homo sapiens, assembly GCF_000001405.40. Taxonomy (NCBI): domain Eukaryota; kingdom Metazoa; phylum Chordata; class Mammalia; order Primates; family Hominidae; genus Homo; species Homo sapiens. The sequence goes on along the minus strand of NC_000006.12, from coordinate 69,857,998 downwards.
TAAAATGGTTTGAGCCAATCATGTTTTTATGCTCCCTTTAATCAATAAAAATTAAAGTTGCATTGTTTTCAAATGCTCATCCTTTAGAAAAGGGGGAAAAGGAGAGAATATCGTATATAAATGACAGTCAAGGCCATGTGTTACAATTTGCCTTGGGGTGCCAAGCAAGGGCACAAGCCCTTCCAAGTGCTTTCCTATCACATTGTGAGGAGAAAGAGGGGCACGGCATAGAAGCGGCAACCTAGAATTGCACTAGCTTCTCCAAGAGGGAACAGACTGAAGCAGCAAGTTCTACAAGTGAAACCAGATTTTTCCCACAAGTGAAACCAGATTTTTCCCACAGAAGGTAGGGTATTAACAGCTTTCCTTGGTCCCTCAACCTGAACTGGAGTTGCTATAGCCCTGGATGACTCCTGTCCAATCACCTTAGATAAACTGAGGAAAGGAAAAAAGGAGACAGTAGGGGAAAAGTAAGGGATTCCAGAGAAAGAACTTTTCTTTTCATGAATCATAATTATAATTATGAGCACAGAGACTCTTACAGATGTATAGACAGGGTAGGGACAATTAAACACTACATTTTAGAGTTGTTTTATGGGCTTGAAGAAATAAACTAAAAATGTCTGTGTGGATCCAGTGTTTAAGTTTCTTTTAGACTAAAGTCACTTGTGTAAGACTTGGCAAAATATTATTTTAATAATCCAGTGATTTGAATATCAAATAAGTTAAGTAAATGACCATATTTACTCACATAATTTCCTGATACAGCAGGTAAGTTAATTAGTGAGTGGCTGAGGTCTGAGCCATTACTCAACCACCTTCAGTCGTCTTGGAGATTTCCCACTCTGTGTAAAGGACCAGATCTCCAATAATGTCGGGTTGCAATCAGTGGAAAAAATAGTCAGACATGATTTCCTAACATTTCTTCCTTTATTTAATAATCTCTCATTGTTTGTGAGGCTGTCGGTTTATTTTGGGAAAAGAGAACATAATAATAACCCAGTTACTAAAAAATACTGGTATTTGGTATAATATATTTTTTAAATATTGAAGTCCCAGTAGTGTTCATATGACCAAGGCTAAATTTAAAGTTAAAATTGTCCATATTTTAAAATCACGTATATACACACATGAAAACATAATTTTAAAATTATTTTCAAACATCAAGATGTATTCTTTAAGTGATCAAAGTAAATCAATTCTTAGGCCTTTTTGTGTCTTTCATCTTAATGAGTCTCTCCAAGGGTGTAGTCTGCAAAGAGAAGATCTTGGATGACTCCTGCCTCTTAGATAAAGAAGCTTTTCACTTGATATATGCAGAAGGGTTTATATTGGGCGGCCAGACAGATTATTCCAAAACAGGAATATTTTCAAGAATGAAAGGAGGCTTTATGAATATTATAACAGGAATATAGGCATTAATGCCTGTATGGTGACCCAAGATTCAAAGCATATAACACACCAACAAAACGTCAAAAGATAGAAGGGCCTAGTGTACTCACCTTTTTACTTAGGATTCACTTTCAAAAATCTGATTTGGGACCTAAGTGACTGTGGATCAGTAAAAGCCCCTGAAAGCTGTTCTAGTATTGTAAGCTTTTGTGCAAGTGTTGTTAATTGGTCATCTTATCCCTAGGGCCTAACACTGCCTCAGTGCCTATATTACTACACTGTGTATCTTACAGTTCTAAAATAACTTCCTGGATGCTTGCAAGAGTTAAGTGCTTCTCTAAGCGCTTTCTATCAGAGCATGACTTGTGTTCTAAGCAAAACTGAGTCTCCTGTTCTAACATCTCTTCGTTGTGAATTTAAGGTAATGTTACAGTTTTAAATACTGTTGACCAATTTCTTCATGGTTTTACACTGGCACCCATATAAATGTCTTAATTAGTATCTCAGGTACTTTGTTATAGAGAAAGTTAAAACCTCAGTCCTTTATTATGTTACCACATGCTGTATACAAATAATGGGCTTTTAAAATGAATGCATTTGTGTATGTGTTTCTTCAGAGTATGTTGAATACATTACTGGGCTTAAGGAAACCTCATAAAGAAGATAATGTGCTATTAAAAAATTGGAAGGCATGAACAAGAGATATCAAATGCTATATAATACCAAGAAGAACACATGCCCAAGTTGACTTCTTATAAAAAGGGGGGCATTTATAAGTTGCAGCTGGCTTTGGTTAATACTTCGGTAATTTACAACGTTGGAGCATTTGGCCTTCTGTTTTAATTAGAGGCACAAGAGAAAATAGAATATTTCTTCATCGAATAAACAAGAGGTTCTAATGTCACAGAACTTTGTCTGTAATAGGATATATACATTATATGTGTATATAAACATATATATGTTCTAATTCAACAAATATTTATTAAGGTCCCTGTGCTGTTTTTACTTCTTTGCAAACAACCATCAAAATAGGACAGGATTCCATGTTCTTTACATGAATTGTGATAGAAAAGTTAATTGAGATCGGGACAGTTCCCAATCTTTCCATCAATACTTTTGGTTTAACTATTTACAGATATGCATAACAATTCTTCTAGAACAAAATGAATGCATGGTGGTTTTTTCCTTTTGCCAATGCTATGTTTTAATTGGAAGAGTTAGCTTAATTTCCGTGAATAATAATCTGTTGGCTTGGAAGAGTTGAAAACCTTCTGAAAATGCTTTCTTATGCATTTAGCACTCAATTGTTCAATAAATATCTATTGAAGACTACCATGCACCAGGTACTGTGGTAGTCATTGAGATACCAAAGTGAACAAAATAAATTTTCTTTCTTCATAGACCTTATTTCCTAAGGAAAGAGATGGATATTAATTGCAGAAATAAGCAAATAATATAGAGTATATCCAATGATAACACAAGTGTTAAAGGAAAATAAAGGAAGGCAAGAGATAGTGCCAGGATTGCTGTTGAGAGTAAGGCAGGGCATGGGTTACTCTTTTGTAAAGGGTGGTCAAGAAAGCTTCACTAGAAAGGTAACATTTGAACAGAAACCTGAAAGAAATAAAAAGGTAATCTTTTTATTCTTGGGGGCAAGAATATAACAAGCAGAAGAAAAAGCTAGTATGAAAGTCCTGAGTTTGAAATGCTCTTGCTGTATACAAGGAGCGCCACAAATGCCAGTGATGCTAAAATGGAGCAAACAAAGAGGAGAACAGTAAGAGATGAGGTCTGAGACTGTGTTGCCTCCAATTGCTACACAGTGATCTATTGTAGAAGATAAGCTGGCAATAGAAAGAAGTATTCATTTTGGTCTATTTATCACATTAAATTCTTTCTAGGCTTTTTTATTTTGAATCCTTATGCTAAAACTGTGTTATCTTCATATTGTATATATATAAAATAAGATTTCTTAACTGCTTTCTTGAGATTTTTTTTAATTTACTTTTTGCAATAGGATACAATAACCACTCACCAAAGTGTCATTTGAAAGAGAAACAAGAATATTTATTCTAATTAATTCTGGAAATTATAATATGTTTGATTACTGGACTGGTGAAATATTTTCTTACTGATCTGCTATGCCAAGGAAAACATATTCTTTCTCTCCTGTATATGTGTGTAATTATGTGTATGTAATACGTATGTTTGCATTTAAAAATCTATTTCTGCAATATTAAGAATTGAACCTTGTCTTATATTACGTAAAATTTTTAAAGATTCTGTACTCATTGGCAGTTGAGTTATGGATTATGAAGAAGACATAATGTATTTTTCTTCAGGGTGGGAAAAAACACCAAAGAAGAGGAAAAGAAAACCTCCAAAGGCAAAGAATATTTTTCTTTTGTTTTTAATATATGACAATCTGTATCTATCTATCTTCATATGTCTAGGTTTACAGATTTTTAATTGTGCATGAAAAGATACTTTTTTCTGTCTTTCTGCCTAAAACTTTAGGCATCATTAAGTATGACTATAAGCTTTAGTGTCAGACCAAGCTGAGTTTGAGTCTCACCTTTGCCACTTTCAGGTAACTTAGCCTTGCTCTAAATGTTTACCTCAAAGAGAAACTATAGGGATTTTCTGGTGTAATGTATATGGCACATTCAGAACAGAATCTGATACATAGCAAATGCTCAATAGAGTATAGTAATTATCATCTCCTTACCTCTTCCCTATTCTTTCAATTCCTATGTTCAGCCAATCACTATTTTCTATTAGTCCTTCACCAAAAGAGTATAAGCTCTGTCCCTTTATCTATATTTCTAATACAATTAACCAAATTACTCATTTATTCATTCAATCAGTACTTAATGAGCACCTGCCGTGTGCCACCAACTGTACTAGGAGACAAGGAGATCAGCAAAAAAGATGGAGAGGTGCCATGAGGCTTTCAGTCTAAATCATATTCTCTTGAATACTAAATTTGGATAAATGTCCCCACAGTACCTAGCATAGTACCAAATATGGAAGATATTTCAAAATAGCCATAGACTTAGTCTTGTAGAATTAGAAAAGAATCTAGAGATAATCTTATGTAAACCCCTTACTTTTAATTAAAATTTATGGCTAAGTGCAGCTCAATATTGTAAGGTGATGCTTCAAGTACTAAGAGCAAAGTAGTTTTGTTTATCACAATAATAGACCTCTTTATTTGGTAGATGAGAAACAGTGACATAAGAAGTTTATATTTTCTGATGCTAGAAAGGTAGTTAGATTCAGAGATGGAATTGGAATACACTGGAGTTTACAGACATGAATTTTAAAATAACTATGAATAGTATGTTCAAGAAATTAGATGAAAAGGTGAAGAGTTTTTTTAGCAAAAAAGAAATTGACGAATAATCAAGTGAAAATTCTAGAAGTAAAAAATAGAAAACCACATGCATGATAATTGAAGGTAACTCAATAAATGAGTTTAACAGTAAATTAGACAAAGTAGGAGAGAAGATTGGTGAAACTGGAAAAAAAGTCAGTAGAAATAACTGAACAAATGTATGAAGACCAATAAATAGAAGACAGCCAGAGTCATCTGAGACAAAATGCAAGGTCTAACTTATGTGTAATTAGAGTCCACCATGGAGAGGATATAGAGAATAGATCAATAGTGTATTTGAAGAGAAAATGGCCAATTTTTTTCAAGACAGATGAAAGATATAAAGCTACAGATTCAAGAAATAGTATAAAATCAAAGAGAGATAAACCAAATATATGCATATCATAGTAAAACTTCAGAAAATTATAAGCATGTGGAGGGAGATAGACAGCATAATTTCAAATGAGCAACATAAAACTGATGGCTCACTTCTCTGAAAAAATAATACGAGCCAGAAGGCAATGGTATGAGGTCTTTGAAGTGTTGAAAAGAAATAACAGCCAATCTAGAATTCCAGACCCATTTATTATCCTTTAAATGAAAGAGAAAATAAAAGCACCTCCAAACAAACCAAAGTAAGTATTTAACTATGAACACATCTTAACTGAAAACGCTAAAGGAAGTTTTTTGGACAGAAGGAAAATAATCCTAGAAGGCAGCACAAAAATTCAAGAAAGAAGGAAGATCCATAGAAAAGGTATATAAGTGAGTAAAGTAAAATCAATTTTGACTGGCAAAACCAAAATGTAATAAACTTTTGAGTTTAAAATGTGTAGTATGATTTTAAATATATATATACTACATACACAATAGCACAAAAGAAGATTAAAAATAAAGTGTTCAAAGGTCATTACATTGGTGGTAGTAAAAGGACTGGAGTTTATGGAAACTTTCATACATTTCCATTTTTTATGCTTTAAGATATCCACTTTGAAATAGTAGCAAAAGAATACATAGCTAATGGAATAACAAAGGGGAAAATAATATCTAAAGAAGACAAAAACATAAAATACAGAAAGATTAGAAAGAAAAAAAGAACTCTCAATCACCATAGATAACAATTGAATGGCAGAAAATTTAAAAGAAATTGTAGATATATTACTAGAATTAATACATGAATTCAACAATATTAATCAATATATAAAAATTAATTATATTTCTCCACTGAGAACATATAGATATAAAATGACATTTTCTTTTAAAAATGTACAATAACAATAAAAGCCAAAAATACTAAGGAATAATTTCAATCAGGTTGTGCAAAGCCTCCACACAGAAAAAAATACAATAATAATAGAGATAATTTTAAGTGCCTCCATTTATTTAAATGGAGGTGTATATGCCATATTTATGATTTGACAAACTTAGTATTATAAAGATGTCAATTTTCCACAAATTAGTCTATTTAACTGTTTTCCCAGTCAAAATCTCAGAAGTTATTTTTTAAGTATATGAGCATCAACCAACAACAAGGTTTCAAAATGTATATAAAAATACAAAGAACCAAGCAATCTTAATGATGCTGAAAGCTGGACATCCGCTTCCAAAATTCAAGATTTATTGTAAAACTACAGTAATTCAGACTATGAAGTATTGGTACAAGTATAGACAAATAGACCAAAATTGAAGATTTAGAGACAAACCCATATATACACGATTTATGTGAAATGTGGTGAGCTGGGAAGCAGAGAAAGGAGAGTCTATCATAACAGGTTTTTAATAAATGATGAAAGATGCCTATAGATGTGGGAGGTGACTCCTACGTGTTACCATATTTTTAAAAAATCAATTTCAATTTGATTATACACCTAAATATAAAACATAAAACAAAGCTTTTAAAATACAATATCACAATATATTCTTACTACCTACTGATAAGCAAAGATTTTTAAACAAAATACACAAAAATATACTAATCCAAAAATGAGTGAACTTTGCTTTATATTTAATGTAACTTTTCAATTTAAAATTTTATCTCTCTAATTAGACTTTCTCTAATTTTTACTACTACAATGTTTTGCACAAAGTAGGTATTTTTTTTAATTTTATTATTATTATACTTTAAGTTTTAGGGTACATGTGCACAACGTGCAGGTTTGTTACATATGTATACATGTGCCATGTTAGTGTGCTGCACCCATTAACTCATCATTTAGCATTAGGTATATCTCCCAATGCTATCCCTCCTCCCTCCCCCAACCCCACAACAGTCCCAGGTGTGTGATGTTCCCCTTCCTGTGTCCATGTGTTCTCATTGTTCAATTCCCACCTATAAGTGAGAACATGCGGTGTTTGGTTTTTTGTCTTTGCGATGGTTTGCTGAGAATGAAATCTTGTTGAGTGTTGAGTATCTATTATTTTGCTTTTGCTCAATAATCCTTTCTTTTTTATAACTTTTCTATATTTTTTGAAATATTTATTAATGCAACAAACTTTTAAAATGCATTATTTATGTTCTTATTTATGAGCTATCCCACCAGATGGCAATGCTCTATTTCCATGGAATCTTAGTGACAACGTTTTGAAAGAAGTCTAAAACTAAATCTTTCATATGCTCATTATTTATAGACCATAGATTACAGAGTTTTAGAATCTAGAAAACTTGAATGAGGGATTATATTGGATGGTATCTGTAGAGAAGAAAACTGGGGTTCAGAGATATTCAATTCTGTCCCCATAGCAATTTTCTTTCTTTATGCACTTAGCCATTGAACAGATATTCTGACTACACTGTTAGTATTTGGAAACCAGAAAAATAATACCTGATACTCCTATGATTCTGACATTATCTTGTTTCTTAAAAAATGTATATTTGTCATTAGGTATAAGAGTAACATTTATAAAATATTAGAATGACTTTTTTTCCTTTTTGCTTTGGTCCTAAATGCCTTCATAATATTTAAACAATTAGGTATATTTAATCATTCTCCTACTTTGGAATGCTTAGGTTGTTTTTACTTTCTTACTACTAAAAAACATGATCAACATATTTGTGAACCCAGAGTTTTCTATATTTGAGGTTACTTCTTTAAGTTATACTCCTGAAAACATCTACTGTCTTATGAATACTGCTAAATTACTAAAAAAAAAAAGGTTTACAATTTCACCAGCAATATAAAATATGCTCTTTCAATAGTGAGAAGGGGACTTTTTATATTTATATAAATCATTTGTGTGATTTATGTTTATTAAAACTAAAATGAATATTTTCCAAATTTCTTTTTTCTTCTTTTGTAAATTTTCTATCCATATATGTTTCTACATAAGTACACATTTCAGTGTTTTTGCCCTATTTATGATCCCATTTTCAATCATCTATGTATCTGGTATAAGTAGAATATTCATCCTATACATGCTATATTTATTAAAACCTTTTTTTCTACTTTCTTCTTTATCCTCTGCTACTATTTCCATTACAAGGTGACCTAGTTTTAAAAAAAATTATAATCTTTACTAGGGCTGGGCGTGGTGTCTCACACCTGTAATCCCAGCACTTTGGAAGGCCGAGGCGGGCAGATCATGAGGTCAGGAGATCAAGACCATCCTGGCTAACACGGTGAAACCCCATCTCTACTAAAAATACAAAAAATTAACTGGACGTGGTGGCAGGCACCTGTAGTCCCAGCTACTCGGGAGGCTGAGGCAGGAGAATGGTGTGAACCCGGGAGGTGGAGCTTGCAGTGAGCTGAGATCGGGCCACTGTACTCTAGCCTGGGCGACACAGCAAGATTCCACCTCAAAAACAAAAAAAAAAAATCATAATCTTTGCTAAATCTACCTAGACAAAAATGCAGCCTTATGAGGTTCAAGTTCATCCTTTTATGGCACTAACATCACACACAGAGATCCCAGCTAAATGTCTATGAGTAAATTAAGTGGCCTCTTGCTAGTGGCCAATAGTATAAATTTACATTTAAAGCTAATTCATTGGTTTGTGTATCAGGATTTACACATACCACAACTTGGATGTGCATATCACATGACTTCTTTATTTCTCTATAACTGATCTAATCTTTATGACCCTACCCACCCACACACTAGGAAGTAGGGTTGAAATACTGAATTTGGTTTTCAAATATTAGTACAATCCAGCTATCTGAAGAGATTACATGGGGTAATCCTACAATAATTCTGCAAAAACATTTCATTCTCCTTTCTCTATTTCTCTTTAAGACGGCATCTGAATGTGTGGGAGAGAAGTGTAAATCACTCGATAGCATTGGGGAAGAGGGAGAATGCTGGCCTCATGCTAGTCCTTGGATATGCGCTGAATGTCATTTAATTGATACTGAAAGTAAAAACACAGAAATCAGTACAACGCAAGTACCTAAGAATACAGGCACAACTATAAACTACCAGTAAAAACTACCAGTACAATCATACTCTGCATGCTGGCTGACTCACAGCTCTGCACCTGCTGTTAGTGTCTGATGTTAATAAACCCCTTGTCTATCCCCTCTCAGCTTAGTAAGGATCCAATGGCTTCTTTCAGCTGACTAGGTCTCCGCAGTCTGGTGCTACAGCTCCCTCTCTTACCTTTGCTTCCCCAGTTCTCTGCACAAACCCCTTGACAATGGAGGCAGGCTTCCCACTACATTATAACCCTCTTCTTCCCGAGAAGACATCTGCTATCTCCTGTTTATTTGCCTGGAACTGTAATGGTGACCTTCATGTTGGAAGAGAAAACCAGCTTATAAATAAGGGGAAAAATCAGGAATTAGTGGTTTTTTAAATATTATATCCAACGATAAAATACAAAAAGTAATGTCATATAAATACTAGAATACTAAGACTTCATGTATGCCTTAAAACAGTGAATTGAACTACTTAAAATCTTTATTTCCTTTATATCAACCTGAGGCTACAGAGACAATTTCTTATAAACTTGTTTCCAGAAACTGTATGTACTGTATGTGCCCTTTATTCTGATACCATAAAAATCAAGATGAACCTACATTCTCTTTTTTTTTTTTTTTTTTTTTTTTTTGAGATGGAGTTTTACTTGTTGCCCAGGCTGGAGTGCAATGGCAAGATCTCAGCTCACTGCAACCTCTGCCTCCTGGGTTCAAGCAATTCTCCTGCCTCAACCTCCCGAGTAGCTGGGATTACAGGCACCTGCCAACACACCCAGCTAATTTTTTGTATTTTTAGTAGAGACGGGGATTTCACCATGTTGGCCAGGCTGGTCTTGAGCTCCTGACCTCAAGTGATCAACCCATCTTGGCCTCCCAAACTACTGGGATTACAGGCATGGGCCACTGTGCCCCATCGAACCTACATTCTTAAGGCTAGTCATTTGACCCCCAAATCAATATCATATATGGAGAAGAAAATGAGTCAGTAGAAGTCACCTATCATTAAGTAGACCAAAATCACCTGAATTTGAAAGTAAGGTAGATTTTAAATTTTTTTTTTTCCTATTAAACATCTTTCTTTGGGTAACTTCATCTGGTTTTCCTTTCAGTGATCAAGTCTTCTCCACTTTCAGTCTAGGTTGTTTAAATGGAGCTGACCATAGCTCTCTCATCTAGGAGTAGGCATGTGACTTAGCCCTGTATAGTGAGCATATCCTACCTCCTTGGTCATAGCAATTGGCTCAAGGGTGTGTGTGTGATCCAAGTCATCCAGTGATATTTAGTGTTGGGATTTTATTGGGATTATTCAGAAGAGAAACCGTTTTTCACTGGAATAGTTAGCAGTAAGCCTAGAGTTTCTGGAGGCCACCTCAAATAGACAGCTTACTCGTGGAAGATAGCCAACACAAAACAAACTAGAGCTAGGGAATAAAAAGAGAAAGATGACTTCATTCGAGTCTCTGAATTTAGCAAGCCCTGAAGCAGGATGGAACCCTTGAATTTTCTATGATGTTAGTCAATGAGTTCTCTTTTCCTTGTTGTTGGTTTAGTTAACTTGAATTTAAATTTCTATCAGTTGCAGATAAAAAGACTGCTGAGTAATATAGACTGTACTGTTTCTACTGCATACCACACCATTGCCAAGAGTTTATCCACCTCCCTTATAGTTTATTTAGATTCTTTCCAGAGGGCTAAATTTAGATTTATGAGGAAATATTTTGTATGTCATTGATACATGTAAGAGAAATAGAGTTTCTGTTTATTATTTCTCAGAATATATTATTGTAATTGAGTCAAGAATGGTGTCCTGGCTGATTGTGCAACAATTAAAAACAAACAAAACAAAACAAAAAAGCAAATAGTAACAACTTAACTGGAAATTACACACTAACTTCTGCTGGTTGTTTGGAAAGCCAAAAGGAACAGTTTTTTGCTACCTCAAACCTAAATGCAAGTCTAGTGATAGAAACTCCACCATCAGCAGGAATAATCAACTATAATATTTTAAATATGGTGGTAAAATTTCAAAATTTATAAATCTTGAGAGCTTTTAGTAGTATTTGCTTACAGATTATTTAAAAATTGTATTCTAGTGCATTTTCATATATTCCTAGATTAGAAGCCACTTTACTAACTTTAAACAGCAGCAGCAACCTTTAACCATTATAAAAAGTGCCTTTGTCTAGATTAGGACTTCTGTAAATTCTGCAAAAATAAAGATTTCCATTTTTTTGCAGCTTTGATCACTCAGGCTCAAGTGATCTTCCCACCTCAGCCTCCGAGTAGCAGGCACCACCTCTGTGAGCCACCACACCGAGCTAATTTTTAAACAAAATTTGTAGAGATGCATTCTCACTAGGTTGTCCAGGCTAGTCTCAAACTCCTGGGCTCAAGCAATCATCCCATCTTGGTTTCTCAAAATGCATGGATTACAGGCATGAGCTATGACATCCAGCCAAGATTTTCATTTTTAATAATTCAAGCATAAAGACATTTGGGGCATCCAGAACATAGATAGAACTACCAGCAAAATTTTAGGGTTCTGGAGTATTTCAGAAATAATATTTATCTTAAAAACATACATTGTGTTCTACCTTTGAGGTACTGGAGGATGGAAGGATAGTCTAGTTGTATTACCAAAATTTTTTGGACACACTAAACACATTCACCCTGTAATGAAAGCATACACATTATGTATTGAACTATGTACACTCTATTTTACAAGTTAGATATGCCTGACCTGTTTTGAAGTCTGCTTTATGCATAACAATTCTATGCAGTCTCATTAGAAAAAAAATAAAAAGTGTTCATGTGTCCTTATTGCTATTCATATTTTTGAAAGATGACAATAAAGATAAGTTTTAATAAAATGGAGACTATGTAATCATCAAAATTTTAATATGAGAAATTTAGCATTATAAAAATAAACTAAGTTTGAAACTGGACTTTTACTATATTTAAATTCAACCTAATTTTAAAGAGACTTGGAGTCAATGCTGAGTGTCTGAATTCATTAATAAAGCTACACACTACTTTATTTTCACTCCATGTAATTCAGTTGGCAATGTATGTTAAACAATAACTTCATATCTTCCTTTGATAAAAATTGACTGTCAGAACTGGAACTTTCTTTTCATGAATAATCGATAAAAACAACAAATACGCCTTCCTAAAGTGACTTAAATTATGCTAAATTGAAGCAGCAAAATTAGTACTAGCTCAAATTTCAAACTTTCTTTAAAAGAAAAACAATGTTTAAAAAGTATAATAAAATGTAGCATTGTGTTTATTTATTTTTGTGAAACACTATGCGTGAAACTTTTAATAAAAATAAATACATTGGCCCACCCAGTGGCTCACAGCTGTAATTCCAGCACTTTGGGAGGCCAAGGTGGGTAGATCACCTGAGGTCAGGGGTTCCAGACCAGCCCGGCCAACATGGCGAAACCCTGTCTCTACTAAAAATACAAAAATTAACCAGGCATGGTGGGGCGCCTGTAATCCCAGCTACTCAGGAGGTTGAGACAGGAAAATCGCTTGAAACCAGGAGGCAGAGGTTGCAGTGAACCCAGATCCCGCCACTGCACTCCAGCCTGGGTGACAGAGCAAGACCCCACCTCAAAAGAAAAATTAAAAATAAATAAATAAATACATTGTTTTTTATCTAACCCAAAATGTTAAATGAAACAAGACATTTCAAGTAAAACTTGGTTTTGCCCACACTTTTAGCACAAGTGTAAAGTGAAAATCTTTCTCTGCTTGTCTAAAATGTTGTTGACAAGGTTTTTAAAAATCTGTTGAAATTATCCTAAGTTGAAGAGGAGGCTATGTGGCAACACTGATGTGGGAATCCCACACACGCCAACATGACTACTCTTTTATTATCTATGCCATTATGTCATTCCATCAATTATAGTTTGTTGTACAAGAAGCACTTCGAGAGAGCAAATGATGGTTTATTTATTTTGTCCCGATATTTTGTATTCCCAGGTCTATTCAAATATTTCTTAAAGAGATAAATAGGTAAATGGAAAGGTGAAAAAAAAATACCCCAGTTTTACACTGTTGGCTGTTACATGCCACTAATGTTGGATAAGTCATCTAACTCTCTGGATTTCAGTTTCCTAAGCTGTAAAGTGATGAAGTTGGACTAAATAATGTCTAAGTTTTTTCAGACCTAAAGCTCTATGGATCCCTAAGAGGGCTGCAGCCAAACAATCAAACACCTTTAAGGCAAACATATACCCTATCCTAATGTTTTATAATTTATAATAATAAAACTCCCTGAACTTGATATCTCTTTACTATCCTATATAAAATCCATTAATATCCTCTATAATACCTTTTTTCACACCTATGTGATGCAAGTAGTAAATAAATGTAATATAATTGTGAGCTCTGGGAAAATAGATTCCTTTCAGGGCTCAATATTTTTAATATCCCCCTTAGTGATTATGGATAATATGAATTCAACATCTGTTTATTGGGTAAGTGGCTAAAGAATCCTGATTTTTTAAACTTATTTTATAATGCTGTAGTTTCTTTCCATTATTCTTTTCTCAATTGATATTACAATTCTAACTATATAAGGGTCGTATATATTGAAATCATATTTCTATTTTTTGTATAAAAATTTGAAGTTTAAATGCAGATAATCATTGACTCATAAGCCTTGCAAATAATCATCCATATATTTTCCTAAATCAAGTATACCAACATGGGTGAATAATTATATTTTGGTACCTAATTTTTATTTAGCTAAACTGAGCCTACACACATCTGCTACTCACAGATGAAAATAGAGAAAATGATTAAAAATAAGGGTAAGGAAATCAAGAAAAACTAATCTGAAAAGAAATCCAGGCAAGAGAATTAAGACATTAGCAATTTTCTTTTAAGACTCATAAAAAGACTTGTGTAGAGTGGGGAAAAAATAGAACAGAGAAGAATCAACTCACTGAGAAAGAATATGAAAAAAAAAACTCACAACATTTCTTAGGTCCAAGCCTATCTTGGCAAATACTTACATTGAAAATGGGTGCCTTTGTTCACAATATTTTTTCATATTTCTTTTTGTGTTCAAAGACAACCAATAAAAGAAGTGAAAATATTTTGAACTTATTAGTAGACATTGATTTTGCAATGCCTCTAAGCACTGGATCTTAGCTGGACTGGAAAAATCATATTAGGATGTTCAGTTATGAAACCACTAAAGAAGAAAAAGGGAGCTAGAAGACAGAGAAATCTGAACTTTTAGGTGATATGGACAAATTTATAGCACATGACCTCATCAAAGTCAAGGGTGTGGAAAAATTATAATGCTTTGGACATGTTCAAAAACTGAGATTGGAGCAGAGGCAATTTTATGAATAGCATGCTGAAATGTAAGTGATTCAGAGCTTGACTGGTGTTAGAGTAGGTGAGAAAGAGTTACCCCACACATTAGCCACAGATCAGAGAAATAGACACAAACACAGAGAAGAAAATGGGAAATAATTCATTCTAGTAAGATAGGTGGTAACACAAAACAGAGAGTCACAGAGAACTAGTGTTACCAAATAATCTTTTAGAAAAACATTAGATCTGGCGGGAATTTACAGCAAGCACCTGGTTTTGAGAGTCCCAGGCCAAAACCAAATAGCTGAGTGACCACAGGCAATAAATAAAAGCCAATTTTTTAATTGTCTATAATTATTCAGTAATATTTCAGGTTCCATTTACTCAGTTCTGAGCCAGGCACCACCAGGAGTAGGAGGTATAGGAAAAGGGATGGAAATGAGTGAGGTCTGACTGTGCCCCCAGGGAGCTTAGATTCTAAAGGAATAGACAAATATGTAAAAATAGACTTTCTGGTTCAAAGTGGAAAGACGTGAGTGGTAAAAAGCACGTTGAGAGTCTAAAATAAAGGAACAATTCTCACCTAAGGGAGCAGAACAGAAATGTTTTAAACTAGGTTAAAAATACAGCATAAGCAAGGATTCTGAAGTAACAAAATGCACAGTCATTTTAGGGGCTAATGAATAGACTAATGTCAACTGAAGGCAGGGTGCAAAAAATCTGAAAAGTTGTTAGGGGTCAGATCTTACAAGAAATGTCATACTTTATTCTTTTTGCAACTGACTGCAACTACAAAAATTTTTGCACCATGTATAATCATTAGTCTCAAAAATATTTTTCAAAATTGACTATTTCAACAGCTGAAAGTGCATTTCTGGCTATTTCAAAAGTTATTTAAATAATTGCTATGCCATCTGAAGATTGGAAGGTAATAAAGCACATTGTTTAAGGACAAGCTGTAAAGTCAGACTGACTTGGTTCAAATCCCATATCTGCCACTTACTAGCTGTATGACTTGAGCATGCTACTAAATCGCTCTGTGCCTCAGTTTCTTCATCTGTAAAAGACATGTTAATGGCATATAACAGTAATTCCACAAGGGTAGCCTCTAAGAAAAGAGAGACAATGACCATTGCAATGAGTACAAAATGGAAAAAGAATAACAAAATTCATGTGGAAAGTAAAAAATCCATCCATTGGTCTTTATTGTTTTTAACATCTTCCTTTTTAAAAATCCACATTCCCAGCAAGAAAATAAAAGCAACTTATCAGGAACTTAAGTATATATTACTCAGTTATATGCATAAATTTTTTTGATCAAGAAAAAGCAAGTAAATAAATACCCCTACTCTCATGCATGAAGGCACTGGTTCTCAAAGTGCTGCTCCAGAGCAGCAGCAGCAACAGCATCCCCTGGGCCTTGTTAGAAATGCAAATTATCTTGCCCCACCCCAGACTTACTGGATCAGAAATTTTGCGAATGGGTCCAGCACTTGGTCCTTTAACAAGCTCTCTGGGTAATTCTGATACTAATGTTTGAAGACCAAAGCATTAGACATTAAGCTTTGCCCCAATTTGTAGGAAGCTATCTATAGGTACTTAGGGAGAGGAATCCCCTCCCCACTTTACTGGAAAAGGTAATGGAAAACAGCGTATATGAGGTGGGCAGAACTTTTAATTTGGGAACCATTTGAGAAGCTGCCTTGTGTTTCTGTGAGGAGATGTCATGCCAGTTATGCCAAATATATTTACATATCATCTTCCCGGGAGACAAGGCAATTTTTTTAATGTAGTCATGTACATTCTTTTAAAGTTCTTAGCCAAGTTTATTATAGTGCCAAAGACAACTTGAGATTTGTAATGAGAATAAGAAAAATGTTAATGAAAAATAAATACGTAAGAAACAATCCATACTCTTCCTAGAAGAAAACTTAGGGGAAAAGCTCCTTGATATTGACCTTGATGATTTTTTTGATAACACAGCAAAAGTTCAGGCAACAAGAGCAAAATTAAACAAGTGGCACTACACCAAACTAAAAAGATTCCTAGTAAAAGAAACAGTCAATAAAATGAAAATGCAACCTATAGAATGGGAGAAAATATTTAAAAACCATAGATCTAATAAGCATTAATATCAAAACAATATATGAAACTCACACAACTCAATAGCTAATAAAAACCAAATAGCCAAATTTACAAATGGGCAATGGACCTGAATCAAAATTTGCCAAAGAGGACATGCATATGGCCAATAGAAATGTTAAAAAGTGTTCAACATCATTAATCATCTGGGAAACGCAAATCAAAACCACAATGAGATATTACCTCACACAAGCTGAGAGATAACAAGGGTTGGAGAGGGTGTGGAGGAAAGGAAACCCTTATATATTGCTGATGGGAATGTATATTGGGACAGCTATTATGGAAAACAATGTGGGTGTTCTTCAATAAATCGAAACTAGAAGTACCATATGACCCAGCAATCCCTCTGTTGGGTACATACCCAAAGGAAATGAAATTAGCACCTCATAGAGATATCTGTGCTCCTTTGTTCTTTTCAGCATTATTTATAATAGCCAAGATATGGAAATAATTTAAGTAGCCATCAACAGATGAATAGATTTTTTTAAAAAAATTATGGTATATATCTACAATGGAATATTATTTGGCCTTTAAAAGGAGAGATATTGCCATGTGACAACATGGATGAACCTAGAGGACCTTATGCTAAGGAAGTAAGCCAGACACAGAAAGAAAAAGACTGTATGATTTCACCTATACGTGGAATCTTTAAAAAAATAGTCAAATAAATAAAAACAGTAAAACAGTGGTTACCAGGAGCAGGGAGGGGGAGGAAAAGGGGAGAAGTAGGTTAAAGAGTACAAATTTGCAGTTATGTATGATACGTTTAGAGATACAATGTACAACATGAGGATATAGTTAATAATATTATATTGTATTCTAAAAATGTGTTAAGAGAGTGGATTTTAGGTATTCTCAATTCACTCACACACCCACGGTAACTATGGAAGGTGATGGATATGTAAATTTGTAGTAATCATTTCACTCATTTCATTATGTATATGTGTGTAAAAACACCATGTTATACATCTCAAATATATACAATAAAAATTTTTAATAAGAAACTATAAACAAAATGTATATTAAACGACCACAATGAAAAAAAAAACTTTAAAAGTCAACAAAAGCAACCAACTTTAAAAATTTCTGATGTGTTAAATCTTCAAACACACATGGAATTCACTGGCTAGAAGATACTGAAGCAAATAGTTTTGTAAGAGTGAAAAATGATACATTTATATAGCTAAGAATAGAACTAGCCGTTATAGTACCTAAAATAAAATTACAAGGACTATAAATCTTTATCCTTTAGGGTATACTGCTGGGATTAGAAAGAAAATCTACTTATGATTTATGATCTTAACAGTTCTGAGATTTCTATAAGTGTTTTTTCTTTTTCACTTCTTAAACTTGCTTTGGCCAACCTTACTATGGCATTTGGAGCTTACATTTTGTAGTGGAAATATACCATGTAAGCATGATCCATGTTCAGTGTCTCAGTAACAAATATTCCTTATTAATACATATTACCAAAATACAGCTTCTTGTGAAAAATAAATTTGAGTCTAAGTATTTCAGAGTATAGCAACAGGAAGTGCAAGAAAATGCGGTCCACTATATGTGGATTGAGGTGTTTTATCAGTCAAGTGAGAGTTGGTAGACTTGGCTTAAAAGCACCATGTCATAAAACACAATAGCCAAGTAACATCGGTGTAGGCAGGTTATATACAGACAAAGCATAGCATAGACTATTACAAAAATATAATGAGAAAAAGGATGCTTTCTTTAAGGTCATTTATTAACAGCCCTTAAGTTTGATCTACAGAGAAATTAAAGTGCTGAAGTGAGACAATTACCTGGAAAGACTGGGTAATTAAAAAAGTTTAATTTTTTAAGTTATTCCAGCCTTTATCTACTTTGGTTGTTTATATTCAGATCACTGAATAATCACCCAATTGCCCAGGTAGCTTTGAGTTATAAATGAGCATAAGTTGTTTACCCAGGGCAAAAATAAATGAGTTTTCCACTGTAAGACAGAGCTAGGAAATCAGAAAGGGAGTTGATCAGAACCAAATGTCCTAAAAAGCTTGATGCAGAAGTAGTCAAAGTTGCAATGGCACACAAGCGGAAGTGATGTAAAAAACATCTAAAATAAGGGAAAAAAGATTAATCCCGTGGTGAAATTTCAGTATTTGTGGAGTCTGAATGGAAGAGATATTTTCGTTCTTTTAAAAAAAATTTTTTTGTAAGCTCCTGAATTTCCAAGAAGGCAATTTAAACCAGTCTTTATGAGAAGGCAATAATTTAAAAACAAAAATAGGAGCAGAATTAGAGTAGATTAATAATAATATGAACTAGACCTGTGACCTCCAATATTTGTGTTTCCTGCCCTTAAAATTTCTGATCTAGATTCCTTAACCATCTCAAAGAAATTCTGAAGAAAAAATGGTAAATGAAGGAAAAGCTGTTCACAACACATATTCTCTGATGCTGTCTCCTGATTATAGTCTTATATTCTTTATCTGGGTGGAATGTGCATCATCAATAAAATGTACATGTATTTCATTTCTGACCTCAAATTTTTTTTCACATAGTCTGATAAATGTTTATTCCTTACAAACAGCCATGGTACATTTTATGCCATTAAATTCTAACAACACCTCTATGAGATGCCAAAGTGGTTATTAAACCTATCAGGTAGTATACAAAGAGTTAGCAAAACAGAGGTCAGCCTGAGTTTGAAGCCAGGTTCTGCCTCTTACTAACTGTGGAAGTTTGAGAAGTTACTTAACCTCTTGATGCCTCAGTTTACTCATATGTAAAGTGGGGACAAAAATATTCCCTCCATAAAAGGGTTGTTGTGAGATTTGAGTTAATGCTTATAAAGTACGTGGAGCCATGCCTGGAACATAGTAGGTGCTAAATAACTAGGAGCTGTTAGTACTCTATTTAGAGTTAGATCTAATTTTGAAATCTCAGTTCCATGTGTCTTATAGCTGTGTGCCCTGGGAAAATCCCTTCATTTATTTAACGCCTTCTTTCTTCTTGGATAATTTGGAGATTTAAAAAAATCAAAAAGAAATTTCACAAGGGTGTCATGAAGACTTAATGGGATAAAATGTGTCGCAGTTATTTGTAATGTACAAGGAATAAAAGTTGACCTAGACGGCTAAGAAGTTTTGGCGCCAGAAGTCAACTGTATATATATAATACTAACTTACTTAGACACCAATGTTCACTGACTTTCTGACTCTGGGAGTACATTCCAGATTTGTTCTGTAATAAAGGAAAGTAAAACTGATCCTTAACCCATCAAGGCTCCTGTACTTACCATGGAAAATGACAATGTTAAAAATTACACTTCTGACAAAAGTTACATGTTAACAATAGCTTTTCTTTTCAGTATGAACATCATTCTCAGTTTATGTGATAGTATTGTAATCAAAGGTTCAGAAAAGCTAATGAAATACTATAAAATGTCAACTGTAAAAATAATTTTAGTGGAACGAATTGGAGAAGTGGAAAAGACAAATTGGTTAGGAATAAGACCATCCTAATAATTAGCCATTAGAAAATGGTCTCACTGAGCAAAATAAAGGTCACATGGGGGTCAGCTGCTAAGGTTCTGAATTATCAATCAGAAAGTGGATAATATTCAGAAATCAATGGAGAAACTAAAGACTTTAAGCCATGCAACACAATCAACAATGAATTACACTTACATAAACACTTTCTTCAAGTCTCCAAATACATGGCAATCATGACAAACGAGGCAAAAGTAGGTGGAAGGTTGAGGAAGGAAGAAACTTGGCTTTACATCTGGTGATGGGGCAATTTTAAGAGTTCCTCTTCTGATATGGGTTTTGAATATACCGAACAGGAAATGAAGGTCTTATCCTAAATTCAATGGCATTTCCCTCAAATGGCAAGTGGTTTCTCCAAGATTGTGTCTAGACAAAGGAATCCATGACTGGGTGTGGCAGTACCTGGGCACGTCCTTGTTCATCAGTCCTTTTGGTCAGGGGCTCTGACTTGGTTGTCCTTCTGGCTCCTGCAGTGTCAAGGATGGTTTTGCACAGTAGTCAGTAATTAAGTGTTTAATGAATGAATCTTCATATATGTCTTACCCAGTCATTTATTAAAAACTTGACGGAAAAAATCATCTTCTATTTGTTTATATTCTTCACAGTATATATGGTATAATGAATGTAAACATAGACAATTGTTAAAAATTTAATTGGAAGAGTTTTTATTTGTATTTTTGAGAAATTATGGTATTAATACATATTGTTGATCCCTTAGTGACTAGGAAAATTGTAAATTAAGATCATTTATATCAATTATAAGAAATAAAGCAAATAGTAAAAATGTACAAGTTGATCATTTTCATGTGCTTAAGTTCTACTGTAAAACTAAAATTTATTATGAAAATACTTAGGCTGTTAACTAGGCACTGCCACTGATTAGAGAGTTAAGTTTGGAAATTTCACTTTTATTCATAGTGTGATAGAGTTGGCTATTAGATTAAATGAGATAATACATAGGACAGTACATTGAACAGTATAAACCTAGAATCATGCCATGCTCAATGTAAACAGGCACTAGGAAAGAGACTATAACCAATTTTGGGTTTTCTTTTTTTAATGTCACAATTGTAGTTGTAGAAAACCCGATTGGTTCTAGAATTAGACAAACTTATGGCCAAATCCTTAGAATGGCACTTACTTACTGACTTTGAGGAGTTACTAATCTGAGTGCCAAACTCCTCATATGTAAAAGGGAGGTCATTCACTTATGCCTTCTTAGATTTCTTCAAAAGATAAATATGAAAACATATGTAAAATGTTTAAATCAGTGCCTGGCATGTGGAGTATGCTTGTTTGTGAACATTTTATCCCCCTTCCTATTCTTTTTTTCTGCTCTTCTATCAACATATCCTCAGAAGGGTGGACAGGGAACAATGAGAATATTCAGGAAAGGGAGCAAAAACTGCTATGAAGATGGAAGAAACAACAACCATGTGTTACTACTGGCTCTTCTCCTTCCCCAAAAAGAATTTAGTCTTACTGCCTGTACTTTCTCGCCTTGTTAGGTAAGGTAGCTAGTCTTGATAAAGCAAAGACCTGAATGTTAATTCTGGCCAAGAGTTTGACTTGCATAACACGAAATATTTCCCTTAACTATTACTCTAGGCTTTATTTCTTCATCTGATACTGGTATGTCTCATAATTTTACAAGTGATGGATAAGGGCTGAGAAGTGGGGCAGGAAATAACTAAGGCAATCAAAAGAGAAAAATATGCTTGTAAAGCACTTAGAGCCATGCTAATTCTGAATGTTATCCACTTTCTTATCCCCTAAGAAAGTCTGTGGAAGAAGAAAGAAGAAGAATCAAATATGAAACTCATGAAATACATCCTTAATAAAGCCCTTAAATTCCATTACTCTAAACGTCTGGAATTGACTTGAAGTACTGACAACTGTAGAGCACCATCTAGTTTTGGCCTCTAGAACTGCAACCAAGTCTTCTGATTCTCAATGGTACGTAAAGTTAATTCCCAGCAGGGGGAAGGAAAACTTACTTTTTAGTGTTTTTAGTTTATTGGTTAAAGTTCTAAATTGGCTGTTTCTTCCCCCATTCCCTCAGAAAATAAGCACGCTTTGCAACAGCTGTTGTTCATTTGCCATATTAGAGTTTCTTATGGAAAATAAATCATTCATAGGTAAATATGAAATATAAAACAGATCATAATAGCAAAGGTTTATGTACATTTAAACACAATGATGTCAGTGGTTTCATTATGAACTTCGTTCTCTGGTGCTTATGAATCAGCAGCATAAATTCGCAGTAAGTGTAATCTTGGTGTATAATGAACTCCAGTGTATTTTAGAAACAATCTAATTTTAATAAAATCAGTATTTTATAAAAAGAACAAGATTCCAGTTAACAGTTTTAATACCAAAAGTATCTTTTAGTATTGAATGGAAAATATTTTAAAACAAAATGTTTTTGCTATCTGCATTTTTTCACGGCTTAAAGATTACATTATACATTTCAGCTAATCATTTGTACTGCCCTTTTTGGTCAATTTAAATATTCCTCCAGTTGAGTTTATTGTGCATGTGTAACTATTTAGAAATAATTAAAAGAAAGGAAATAAAATTTTACAAGGGTTTTTAAAAGAATGAGAACACAGATTGATTTAGTTAACTGGAATTTTGTTCATAAAAAGACATCCTTCATGCTTGACAACTCACCATAGTATTCATGTTATATTCCTACATAACCTTTAAAAATATTTATTAGCTACAAAAAGAGTAATCACTTTTGATTATTCTGACAAAAATCTTTGGAAGTTTCACATTGAAAAATGTCATCAATGCTTCAAAATTATAATACTTTAAATTTATGTAGGACAGTAGTATCTCAAAACACTGTTTAATATATCACCTATTATCAACAAGCTTTATGTAAGAGGCCACTTTAAGTGCTTTAACCTATATTTTTCTATTCCTTAATTGTTCTACCTATACTTAATTAAACTTCTGGTTTATTTTTTTCTTCTTGCCGTGTAGTTGAAAATGTGTTTATTACTCTAGGAAAATATTTAACTACCCAATGCCAGGATTCAGTGGCTACTGGGAGCAGCGAAGTCTTAGTATTCAGGCCATTTGACACTTCTCAAGAGCTAAAACATAATTAGGCAATACTGAACCTGATGAAGGGCAAAATAAAGCATCCTTCAGTATAGCCACTTCTACAACACCCTGAAGAATTAGTCTCATCCCAACTGACCCAACCATACACTGTTCTGAAGAGGATTCAACACATTTATCAGTTGTTCTTAAATAATCCCCTTAGTCCAGTTCCAACCTTTCAACATTGTATCATATTGTTAGTTTCTATAGAAATTTTATTTCCAATCTTTTCAAAAATATTGCTTAGGACTGTAATCCAAAGCAAGCATTACTGAGCCACTTCTGGGTAAAAAGTGCACCTATCAGACAATAAGAAAGCAAATTTAGGGGAGCAAGAGGAAAATTGTCAAATCACTGGCTTTCCAGATAAGACAACTCTGAGTTTTAGTAAGGTACAAAATGTGGAATGATCACCTCTGTCAAAATTCAACTAGAATGTTTTGGACATTTGAATAAAATTGGCAGATTTAATTATGCTTTTTATTTTCAAATTGGTTTTTGGGACTCAATGCAAACATTTGAAATGTCAAGGATTTAAGCTATTTGTTAACCAATTTACAAATAGGAGCATATATATCTTACTTTGCAAAGTTACCTAATATGTTTTTTTAAAAAGGTAATTAATTTGTAAATATATATTCTTTTCTCCAAAACAAAATTGCTCTTATCTTATGGTTTTCTACAATACAGAAACAGTCTCTGAATATATAACTGCCTAAAGGTTTCTACTTTTTTATTTTTACTCATCTAGATAAAAAATTCAAAACTAATATATGAACTATAGTGCTCCTGTGCGGTGAATACTCCAAAAGGGCAAATTTCTTAGAATCATTAGAAATACAAAAGTTAAAGAGAAAAGCAAATAAAAGTTGAGGGGGATCGAATCTTTATGGAATTACTGCAGCAGTTGGTAGATAAGACAATTAGGCCACATTGATAGAGAAACAAATGCACAAACACATGGAACTTTGATCAATCATCTAAAGTTGTTTCTCTTGAGATCATGATGAATAAGCTTACAATATCTGATGAGAAAGAATCCTAAAACAGGTACAATCATCCCTTGGTATCTATGGGAGATTAGTTCCAGGGCCTCCCTCAGATACCAAAATCTGAGGACGCTCAAGTCCCTGAAATAAAATGGGCTACTATTTGCATATCGCTTATGCACATTCTCCTGTATACTTTAAATCTCCCATAGATTACTTATAATAGCTGATACAGTGTAAATGCTATGTGAGTAGTTGTTAGACTGTGTTCCTTAGGGAATAATGGCAAGAAAAAAAGTCAGTATAAGTTCAGTACAGATGCAAATATTTTGATCCATCATTGGTTAATTCCAAGGACATGGATCCCATGAATACAGAGGGCCAATTATACTATGTTTTGGGAACTACTCTTTTTTTATATAATTTTTTAAATTAAAAAAAATAAAGACAAGGTCTCACTATGTTTCCCAGGCTGGTCTTGAACTCCTGTGCTCAAGCGATCCACCTGCCTAGGCCTCCCAAAGTGTTGGGATTACAGGCGTGATCCACCTTGCCTGGCCAAGGAACTTCTCTTTTTTTGTCTTGTTTTTCTTAAGTTGGTTTTGTCTCTGGTTATTGCTAGAGGGAATTTGTCTCTAATTCTAAATTTCTCTGGGAAAAGCAACTTTCTATTAGTAAAAATGTTAATGAATTACCAATGATATCTTGAAACTACAAAAGTGTTCCATGTTAAATGTGCATTTTATAATGATAGAAACAATCCAAGTCTTGAATTACATGGAATCTTGTCTATCAATGTTGATTTGCTATTAGAGAGTGACCAGACAGTGACAAGAGCAAAAAATTGAAAGCAGGCAGAAAGAATCAGCTAAAGCACAGAGTTGAAAGAGGTGCAGAGGCCAATCTCAGTAGCAAGTCATAGCTGACAGAATGTGTAGAATGCTGGCATAGCAGGATGAGATATGTCATTTCATGTCTCTTGAGAAACATGACAACCCCATAGATGTAGCACACTTCTCATTGATTTCTATTTATCCTTTAAACTAGAATAGGCAGCACAACACAGAACTGTAGTAGTCTATCCAAACATTTTCCCTTTTATATTTACATTTTCCATGAAAATAAATTCAATGAAACCTGAACAATAAACCTAAATAAAGCTAATGGAAATGATTAAATCTATCAAGTGAAATTTAATTTCTCATTGGTTTATACTCCTCTTTATAAATTCTGGAACCACTGGACATCTATTGGAATGTTCAGTGGTGTAAATTCTGGAACCATTGAGTATAGAAATGTTGAAAAATTGAAAATCCTCATATCATCCCTATGATACTTTTGATCCAATCCTCTACAGTTTTAAAACAAGAGTCCATGATTTGTCATTTTGTTCTGTTATAAATTTATGTGACACATGGAGGTTTTTGCTAATTATTAGATAGGATATAAGTCATTCAAAATTAATATATCTACTAATATCCACTATTAAAAAATGCAGACCAAATCAAGGAGTTTGGGTTTTTCTTTCTTTTTTTTGTTTTGTCTGCCACAGTGTAGTGCACCTTATGGTCACCTAACACAACAGTTTCTTTTCCATGTTTGTAGAATTCCCACCACATGAGGCAGAACTTGCCTCCCACCATTAAAGTTGAAAATATGAAATAGTCTCTTTCCCAGCTAAGTGCACAGCACAGGTGGCAATTGTGTTTTCACCAGACTACATTTACGGTGTGATTTAATCATTGTTTCTTGCTGCATAGCCTTTAAGTTGTGTGAGTTCCCCAATACCTGTTTAACAAATCCATTTTCTGCTTAAATCAAGCAGGGTTAGTTCGTTGGCCGAATGATAGAGCAAATGAAGAGACATGGTTGCAGACCACAGTCTATCATGACAAAGGAGGGAAGCAAAGGGTCTAATATGTGCCCGGGTGGAATGGAAAACAGTGAAAATCCTGTTTATATTAATTGATAGGACTTCAGAAATCACAGCATCAAATTATTTACTAAATCATCTAGGACGAAATACCCACTGAATACAAGGCTTTGGGGAAATAAGTGGCCAATCCCCAGGAGTAGTTTGAAGGGCTTGAAGAATTGAGAGACTTAATTCTTGGGAAAGGGTAGTTATTTCTAATGGTACCACTCATACATAAAGAGAATGACAAGGTGAGGGAGGATAGCTAAGGATCTCTCTGTCCTACATTTATGGGGCAAATTTATGCATTTGTATGATTTTGTTTCCTGGACATATATTGCTCTCAAGAAAATTTACAGTGGCATGGGTGCCCGATGGAGCACTAGTACGGGCTAAAGTCACTCTTTTCACAATATATTCAGCTTGAATTTTGAATGATTTCCCCCATATTGGAAAGAGTCAGGTACAATTAAATAATTAAATCCAAGATAGATAAGAAAGGAAGTAAAAGAACATGTAATCCTTAACTGTGTTAAAATTTCCACTTCAAGATAAGTGAATTGTGTCATTAGTTAGGCAGGTTAAGGTATAGGGCATGCTCCAGCACTTGAAAATGCAGAGTGCAATAGAGAAGTTGGGAACAAAGAGTGAGCAGGAAGCTGAGGACAAGCATACAGGAGAAAGGTAACTTGACAGCAAACATTGGCCTCAATGAGAGGAACAAGTGTTTAAAGACGACTCAAACAAGACTCAAGTAAGCATTGACACCAACTTAATCTCAAATGCAGGGTTTAGCAGCAAGGGAATCTGATTAGTTGTTCAATTTGTAAGTTGGCAGAATCCCCACCCCTTCACATTTCCTAGGGAACGGGGACTTACAGTATTACAATTCGCTAAGTCAACGAGACCTCGATGACTGGCTTTCATTTAAGTTGATGTCTCAGGAGGCTCAACTGTTTAAGATTTTTTAAAAAGAACTGAGATAACTAAGGACTAACATATACATGTGAAAGTGGGAACCCAACCTATTAACTCAGGCCTATATTGAAGATGAGTAGGGAATACAAGGATTTAACGTTACCATAGATACTTTACCAATAGCACAGGAGTTTTTGGTCAGCACAAGAGTTGTGCAGTGCAAACAGATTCCTAATATCAGAGAGAAGGCCATTTCCAAAGTCCCTGATAACAAAATTTCCCGCTTCAACTAGGACTCTTCAAGACCTAGACTGAAATTGATTTTTTAAATTGTGTGGCATCCATTTGTATGGCACAGCATTCACTGAAGAAAACAAAACAAGTCAAGGGTTGAAAAATTGCCTAAGATGTTGTTTAAAAGATTTTGCTGTCATGTTTTAGAGATCACAGGGAATAAGAGTTTTTCAGAAGACCAGAGATGGTCATTGTAGTCTCCAATTTGAAAAAAGAAAAACAGATAAATCATTTAAAAGTAGATTAAAAAATAGAGGTAGACTTTGCTTCTTGAAAAAATTCCATTTGGATCATTAAGCAGAGAAATTTTCAACTTTGGGGAAATAATGTAGTAAACATTAAATGAATTAATGAGTCATTTAGATAAGATATACCAAGATAGCATCATTTCCTTTTTTAAAAAACAGTGTTTCTAGACTGGTGGTAAATAAAATAAAAACGAAAAGTGTAGTCCACAAAATATTTGATTGAAGCCCTTTTTGATAACCTGTGAAAAAGATAGTGAAATATTAATTGAGTAATAGTATATGTATTAACAATGTAAATTGTTTAGAAAGATGTTACACACTGAATATGAAGTTGAAACTGACTTTTTCTGACTATAAAATTCCTTATATATTAAGGACATTAATTATTTAAATTTTTTATAGAAACATAACTTAGGCCAGGAGGCCTAAGATGGAGATAATGCAATTAACTTAGAAGTATATAATCATCAGATACCTTCTATTTCCCATTTCTTTATAATTTTCACATTTTCATTACAGTTACTTCTGTTAATAGGCTTTGATAGGGAAGAATCAGACGGAATTGGGAATTGAGATTTTTATCTTGCTTTGGCCTGCATTTCATGGCACCTTTGTGTTTCCTTTGTTAGATGTGTTACAATAGATAACACTTTTTCCAACATCCTGAAATTTCTTCTCTGAAGACAGGACCACCTGGAGAACATTCTGCTTTTTCATTTCATGAGTTCTGATAAGAATGAACTTTGATGGCAGTCTCTCTATTTAGGTGAATGGTTTGTGTGACCCCGTTGCTCCTCTTGCTTTGATCTGTAGACATTCATCCTGAGTAGCACACTTGGAATAGAGAATCTTGTGTGCCTGAGAGATTCTGAAACTTTTACCAGGCTAATGATAGTTCATGCAGAGAAGTAGAAGTCACAAATATTGTATAGATTTTTAAAAGTTCTCCACTTGTCTTTCTAACGGAAGCCCACCTGTTCATCATGGAATGTGAGATAAGAGTCTGAACTGCAATGGAGCTGGAGAAGATACTGCATTACAGTTAGGGATTTAGCTCATTTTAGGTTTAGTTCCTAGGCTTGTGCTTGCTAGTGGACTTCCTGAAGCCATCATGTTTCATCAGTTTCTATGAGACACACTGTGAGACACAGTGTCTTCTGCAACCCTGGGTTCTCAGGGTAGACACAATTTTAAAAGTGTAACTTTTCTCTTAGGCTTCCATTTTTCTATTTTCCTCATAAGAGTATTTCTCTGCTTATTAGATTGTTACTCTTGTTTTCCTACCTTCCAAAGGGTGGGTTTTCCCCACAAGAAATTATCTTTTAGCCTCTTTTTTCTTACTGGTCAACCCTCTGCCTTGATGATCTTAACTAATTTCATGCCTCCTAACATATCTCCTCTGTGAGAATGACTCCCACCTCCCATTTCTAGTCCTGATCCCTTTCCTAATCTCCAAATTTAGTTTGCACTGCCTATGCAGCTTGACAGAGCACTCAACTCAACACTTCCAAAACGTATTTTATATTCCCATACTCTCAATTCTCAGAAAATACAAAGGAAAGAAATCTTGTTTCTCCTGAAAGAATAAAATAGGCCAGACAAAATGGCTCGTGCCTATAATCCCAACTTTTTAGGAGGCCAAGGCGGGCAGATCACTTGAGCCCAGTTCAAGTCCAGCCTGGGCAACATGGCAAAATGCAGTCTCTACAAATTTTTTTTTAAAAAATTAGCGGGTTGTGGTAACATGCACCTGTCGTCCCAGCTACTTAGGAGGCTGAGGCAGGAGGACTACCTGAGTCCAGGAGGTTGAGGCTGCAGTGAGCCATGATTGTGCCACTGCACTCCAGCCCGGGTGACAGAGTAAGACCCTATCTCAAAAATAATAAATAAATTAATTAATTAATTAATGGCTTTTGTAACTAGTACCACTAACACTATATTCCCACTCATCAAACATGAAAGTTCAGGATTTAAAAAAAAAAATTCCATTGTCATAGACTATATCACCTACTGTAATATATTTTACTTGTAATATTTTTTACTCTGCCTCCTGTTGTTCATTTTAAAACTACTCCCTAGTTCAGGTCCATTTTGCTTTTTACTATTATGATAGTTTTCCAGTGGATTCCCTACCTCCAAAGCATGTTATTTATTGTTGCAACATTTATTCTTAAAATGTAGGAGTAATTATGTCACCTTCCTGCTTATAATCCTGAAAGGCTTCCTATGCTTTACCAAATTAAAAATAAAAACCTTGTCTCACATCTTGACAGCAGCTGTATCCTACTCTTTAACTTTATTTTTCATCATTTATACCAGAGATGAGGACAGTTTTTGCATCACTTGTGCCCAAATCCCTGGGTGCCTGTCAAGATGTGTATTTCTAAGGTACGTTTTTTACCTACTGAAGCAAAATCTGTAGGTGTGGAGGCTTAGAATTTACAGTTTCAAAAACCTTCTTATACACTTTAAAGTTGTAGAAACATTATCCAAAATTCAGTCAAAGTTGTCAATTTGCTGATTGTCAAATATGGCCTATGCCTTCTTGCCTCTTCTCTTTATTCATGCTCCTCCCTCTTTCTGGAATCCCCTTTTCCTTCTGATCTCTTCTTAGTTAAACCCTATGCATTCTTCATGAATTACCCATACCACATGCCAGGCCCATTGTAAGTGTTCCCACTAAACAAATGACTTATTTTCTTGGCAAGTTCCTCAACTTCTCTAGGTCAGAATTTCTTCAAAGTCAAAAACACTGTTTTAAACTAAATGATCTCCAAAGTAATGTTCTTCTTACAAATTGTGATTCTTGTTTTTACATCTGTTTTGGTACTTAGCACAATCTGTCTAATGTTATGTATTTGTATGCTTGTCTTTGGATCTTTATACTATAAGGACCTGAAGAATACAAACTACGTCTGTTGCTATCTGTACTCTGCCGTGCTTTGCAACATGTGTGTCATGTAAGTGGCTTAAAGGAGGTAGACAGATATGAAATTTTTGCTATGCTTTTGCATCCTGGATTTTCCTGCCTTGACCATAATAATCTGGGCATATGTGCTTGATTTATATTGAAAATGAATCTGATGGTCCTTCTAAAAGATTAAATATTTAGTATAATTAAATACTACAGT
Organism: Homo sapiens; assembly: GCF_000001405.40. Lineage (NCBI taxonomy): Eukaryota > Metazoa > Chordata > Mammalia > Primates > Hominidae > Homo > Homo sapiens. Next base: position 69,827,203 of record NC_000006.12, on the reverse strand, counting down.
GTTAATGACATTTACTATGGTATTAACATAAAGGAATGTGCAGCATGAGACATGGACATCAAAATTCCATTATAAGAAGTAACATTTTTAGTTCTCTTCTGAAGCATTTTGATAGTTCAGGGCATTTATGATACTAGTAACTTCTTAACATGAATAATAGGTCAACTGTAATTCAGTGTTATCAAAGAAAAAGATCTATTTGAAAGAAGTCAACACATAGAAGTTAATTACATTGATTTCTGTAATGCAGAAATAACTATTTATATTTAAGTACTTTGAGAAATGTGTCTGAAATTTAGCCTGCAATATTAGCAGGCTGTCCAGGGATTTTACTGTTTCTGGATATATACTGATATATTCTCTGATAATGAGAACAAATTTCCACTAGCGTATTCAAGAAATAATTAGACAAATAAACTATAGCAAGAAGAATGATGATTAGATATCAGGAGGAACTTGATATCACTATGAAGTCTATAAAGTCATAAAAATAATATTAGGAATAAAAATATTAGAAATAATATTAGAATAAGTATATAGTCTATAGAAGAAAAAAATCTTTTCAGTCTGCATTATGCAAATGGGTCAAAAGCACATACCACTTATGTCATGTGAACAGATATAAAATAGGGCTTACTAGGGGAAAACATAAAAAGAAATAGTAGAGGGTATACAAATAACTCAAATCTCGTTGCTAAGGTCAGACAAAGATAGTTTGCACACGCTATGTTTGACAGTCCAGATAAGACTTTCCTCCTCAACATTCTGCAGATGTATAGGATGGAGAATCAGGAAACATCTATATGACCATGTAATGGTGGAAGCTCCTGTTTGAGCAAATGGCATTGTTAGAAAGGGATAATTTCTGGAACCCAATATATGGTAACCGCCACTTTTTCAGTTGCACTAACTCTGACCTGTAGAATCTGCTCACTCCCTAGCTGAATGCCCTGAATCACAGTCAAAAAAGCATAGCAAAGGCTTTGAGAACAAAATTGTGAGATAACCCGCTGTACAAGACCTACACTGACTTCTGAGTGGCTTAGCCAAGGGGCAGACACAAAGAGCACAGCAAAAGTTTGCTACTAACCCAACATTGCATACAAGAGATAAGCCAGAACTTTGCCTGTGCACACAAAGAAAAAAAACACTCTCCAGAGGATTTCAACAGGATCCAGAGTTTCACAACATAACATCTAAAATATCCAGGATACAATGCAAAATGACTCAGCATACAAAAAATACAATGAATTTTCAAGAGAAAAAGTAACCAACAAATGGAAACTCCAAGATGATACAGATGTTAGAATTATCAGGTAAAACTTTACACTAACAATTTTAACCATCCTCCTTGAGGTAAAGCTGAACATTCTTGAGATGAATGAAAAGTTAGAAGGTATATTCTGCATTTATTGGTTGTCATATTCTGTCGTGTTTCATATATGTCCTTTAGGCATTAACTGCATTCTTTAAACCTTCCGTATTCTTATTTTTATTTTTATTTTACCCACATATTACAACAATTTGAGAGAGACTCTATAATTATAGATATTGTTTATGCCTTTGTGGCTCTGCCAGTTTTAGATTTATAAATTTTGAACTATTATTAAATACATACAAATTTGATATTTGATATCTTATTTAAAAATTCAACATTTATCATTATGAAGTTACACTCTTTATTCTTAGTAAAAATTTTAGACTCAAAGCCTATATTTTATATTAATATATATTAATCATATTAAATATACATGTTATATATTATGCATGTTAATTATATAATTCACTCTCTTTCTTATATTTTAATTTTTATTTTTTACCAGGAAAGGGTTGCGGCCTGGATAATTTATTCTTTCATTTAGAATTACCTGTTATAGTTTTTTCTTCATTTTTACTTTAATCCTATTTCTATCTTTAGTTTTTTAATGTATCTGTTGTGATTAGGATTTTTAAAATCTAGTCTGACAACATTTCTTTGCAGAAGTATTTGGCCCATGTATGTAGAATGTAATTCTGGAATCACTGGGCTTTAATCTTACACCTTATTTTCTGCTTTTTATTTGTACCCTGTTTCATATTTCGTTTCTTTTATTCCTTTGAATTAATATTTTTTAGCATTTCATTTTTTCCACTACTAGTTTGAAAATTATATACTATTTTTTCTTTTGTGTTATTCTAGAAATTATAATGTGCATTACTTCTCAAAGTCTAACATTAATAAAAGCTTTTATTCTTTACAAATAATACTAAGACCTTACAACATTAACCTGATATTTCACCTTCTCCAGCATAACTGATGAAGTTACTTGTGAGTTTATCTAGTCCTTGTATTGCTTCAACATTGTATTTTTTAAAAAAATTTACAATTGTGAAATATGTAAAACATAGATAAGTGCATGTAATGCATAAGTACATTTTGAAGAATAATACTAAAATGAACACTTAAACATCACTGAATAATATGGTTTGGCTGTGTCCCCACCCAAATCTCATCTTGAATTGTAGTTCCCATAATACCCACGTGCCATGGGAGGGGCCAGGTGGGAGATAATTGAATCATGGTGTGGTTACATTCATGCTGTTCTTCTGATAGTGAGCGAGTTCTCACGAGATCTAATGGTTTTATGAGGGGCTTTTCTCCCTTTCCTCAGCGCTTCTCTCTCCTGCCACCTTGTGAAGGAGAATGTGTTTGCTTCCCCTTCCGGAGACTGAACTGTGAGTCAATTAAACCTCTTTTCTTTATAAATTACCCAGTCTTTGGTATGTCTTTATTAGCAGTGTGAGAATGGACTAATACACTGGGCCTAGAAAATGAAGCTTTAAAAATCTGTTAAAGCTTCTTGTGAGCCACTCCCACCTCCCCATATTAGCTTCATTTTTCCACAACAGAGGAAACCACAATTTTTGTCTTTATTTTGCCTTTGCTTTGGTAGCTTTACTACATATGTATCTCTAAACAACATATTGCATAATTTTGCCCATTTAAAAATATTATATTACTAAAACTATACTACATATATTCTTTGGTAACCTGCTTTTTTGCTCAACATTAATTTCTGAAATCTTTTCATAGTGATGTGTACAGTAGTTCATTTTCATCACTACGTGTATTATTGTAAAGGGAGAAGTATTTGATGGGCATTTGGGTTGTTTCCATCATTTTTGTTACTATTTTTAAAAAGCTGCTAAAACATTCATGTACATGCCTTCCTGTGAACATGTGCAGAAATTTCCCTCAGGTATAATTCTAGAAGTTAAAATGCTAGGTAGTATGGTGTATGCCCATGTTCAGTTTTATAATATAATAATGCCCTGTTATTTTCGAGACGCTGCCAGAGTAGTTTTCATTACTCTACACCCTTGCCAACACTTCAAGTATTTGTCAACTTTGAAGTGTTTTTCCATCATGTAGGTGGGAAGAATTCTTCATTTTTTGGTTTAATTTGTATTTCCCTGATTACTAAAGTGTTTGAACATCCTTTTATATATCATTGGCCGTATATCCTATGTGGGTCCATATAATATTAAGGTAAAAAAATAGGCAAAATTAATCTATAGTGATAGAAGTTATAATAATAATTATCATGTAATAAGGAGATGGGCAGTTGCCAATTTGTAGAGGTCATAAGGAAACTTTTTGGGGGTGCCATATATGTTCCATAGCTCCATCTGGGTGTCGTTACAAAGTGCATGCATAAGTAGAAATTTATCAAGAGATAAACTTAAAATTTGTGTACTGTGCTGTAGATGTTATATAGCAATAAAAAAATGCTCTCAGCTGAAAAGGGAAAGGTAAATAACATCACAGCATTTCTAAAACAATAATAATAAAAAAGCCATATAAGGGAATATTGGAGATGCAATTGAATTAGAAATTTGAGGCAAAAATCATCACCTTAAAACTATGTCAATAAAAATAAGTAATGAAGATAAAAGCAAAAATGAATGAAATGAAAAAATAATAAAAATAATAAATAAGTAAAAATATTGGGTCTTTAAAAACTCAAGAAAATAGGCAAATATCAAGAACACAAAATAAAAATGATTAGGAGAAAATAACCATTGAATAAAGGACTTTTAAAAATTAGTGAGACTACCTTTCACAAACTTCTGCAAATAATTTTTAAAACATGAATTAAATGGATAATTTGCTAGGAACACACAATTTGTCAGAAGCGACCACAATATAGAAAATTCAACACACTATTTCCCATGGCATATAGAATTTTTTTAGCAGTCTCTATTAAAATTAGACATGTATACTTTAAGACCAAGTTCATATGTGTGTGTGTATATATATATATATATATATATATATATATATATATATATATATATAACTAGCTACCCACAAAACATTTTACAGGTACTTTTAATAAGGGAATTGTATAAAATCTTTGAAATCAATAATTGAATGATGTTTCAGAATTTAGAAAAAATAGAGACAACTTATATTTTATTAAGCAGGTTTAAAAGTAACAGCCTTAAAATGTACAAATACTATTTTTAAAATTTTAAAATATATAATATAATATATAATATTATAGGCATGAACCACTGCACTCAGCCAAAATGTACAAATAATCAGTTAGAAAAAAAAGTAGGAAAAAACCCTATTTACAATTAAAACAGAAAAGATAAAAATACTTAGAAGTAAACTGAAAATAAATTCTTAAACCCTATGTCTTTGTTTGGGCTGTTATAACTAGTACCATAGACTGGGTAGCTTATAAACAACAAACATTTATTTCTCACAGCTCTGGGGGCTGGGAAGTATAAGATCAAGGGGCCAGCAGATTTGCTGTCTGGTGAAGGCCCATTCCTCATAGATGGCAACTTCTTACTGTGTCCTCTCATGGTGGAAGGATTAATGAACTTCTATGGGCCTCTTGTATAAGGGCACTAATCCTATGTAGGAAGGCTCTGCCTTCATGGCCTAACAACCTCCCCAAAGGTCCCACCTCCTGATACCATCAGCTTGGGGTTTAGGATTTCAACATATACATTTGAAAGGGACATATGCACTAAGACTATAGTACCCTATATGGGTAAATCTTTAAATATTACTAAACTATGTAAAAGTACACTTGAAACTTGAGTACATAGAAACATCTTATGTCTATGTAATTATCAAAATGTTTTATTTTCTGGAGTTAATTTTAAGTCAAGTCAATTTTAAAATTTACACAGAAAGCAAAAGTAAGAGTACTTAGAATAATCCTGTAAAAGAAGAGAAATAAGGAATGTATTAGTTTGCTAGAATTTCCATAACAAAATACTACAAATTGGGTGACTTAAACAATGAAAATTCATTGTCTCACAGTTCTACTGTCTAAAGATCCAAAATCAAGATCTCAGCAGGTTTAGTTTCTTTCTGAGGGCTGTGAAGAAAGGATGTTCCAGGCCTCTGTCTTTGGCTCATAGATGGCCAGTTTCTCCCTATGTTTCTTTCTCTCTTTTTTTTTTTTTTTTTTTTTTTGAGCAGAGTTTCACTCGTTCACCCAGGCTAGAGTATAGTGGTACATTCTCAGCTCACTGCAACCTCCTCCCTTCAGGTTCAAGTGATCCTCCTGCCTCAGCCTCCCGAGTAGCTGGGATTACAGGCGCCTGCCACCACACCTAGCTAATTTTTGCATTTTTAGTAGAGACGGGGTTTTGCCATGTTGGCCAGGCTGGTCTTGAACTCCTGACTTCAGGTGATCCACCCACCTCGGCCTCCCAAAGTGCTAAGATTACAGGTGTGAGCCACTACGTCTGGCCCTCTCTATGTTTCTTTACATCATCCTCCCTCTATGCAGGTCTGTTTCCAATTTCCAGTTTTTATAAGCACACTGGTTAAACTGGATTGGAGTCCATGCTATTGACTTCATTTTACATGATTCCTCTGTAAAGAGAGTATCTCCAAATGAGGTCACTTTCCTGAGATAGTGAGGATTAAGACTTCAACTTATACATTTTGAGGAGACATAATTCAACCCATAACAAGGGAGAACTAGCATTTCCAAACAATACAATATCCCATAAAGCCAGTGAGATACTGGCTGATATGAATAGATAGACCTATGCAACAGAAAAGTAAGTACAGAAATAGACCCAAGCACATAAGCAAATTTGCTTAAAATTCAAATTCAAACCCACATCAATAATTAGGAGTCCATAGTAAAAGACTATGCTATTAAGAAGTAGTAAGTGCTCTTACTTTAGCAAAAAATTGGGTTGTCCAAAAGATTGAAATGTAGAATAATAATATATCATGGATCTATCATGTATTATTAAGGAAAACCAAGATATTTGGTGTGGAGCACTAACCTTTGGGGATTATAATCACAGAGACAAATATCATTGTGCCATGCTCTGAAGTTTAATAATGGGATAGATGGACATAGCTCCTAACAAAAGGCAATGACTAAAATGCCTTGGAATTTGGAATTTGGCGACTTCCAGTCTGTCCTTTATGGCCACTGGACAAAGCAGGGAAGTCAGGCAAGTGTGCCTGGGAGAAAGCATATGGTTGTGAGAATTTTTTAAAATGTCAGCTGGGGCACCCCCAGAAAAGGCAAACAGAGCAGATGGGCATATGGCAGTAGAGGAGGGAGCACTGGGAAATGGGCAACAAGGCTGCTGGCTGGCCTGGGCCCAGGACATGTGGGAGTGACAAGCTGGATAACACACCAAAGCAAGAAAGATAACATTCCCTGTTACAAACAGGTTCATACTGAAAAGACTAAAGCAGAAGAGATTGTAGGGAAAAGAAAAAATAAAATATATATATAAAGAGACAAAAATTGTTCAAAGAAATATATCTGAACTGCTCCACAACATTGGGGTACACTGTAGTTGTGTCTCTTTTAATGTTAAAATGAATTATGAAATCTCCAATGTGGTCTATTATCAAGAATTTTAGTATCACCAACCATCCAATAACCTCAAGGGCATACTCATTCTGAAAGCATCAGTATGCTTCTAGCCACAGAGAGCCAGGGCTAGAGAGCGAGTACAGTACACAACTCCATTGCTTACTGCTATTGCTAAGTGTTGTCATGAGAGACTGGTTTGATGGAGCTTCAGAGTCCTGTCCATTGCTGCAGGGCAACTCTTGCTGGTTCAGGGCCATGCACAAAATCATAATGGTGCCCCATGTTGGGAGGCAAGGTGGTCTTTCTTTTAAATTAACTTTCCCTTGCTCAGTTCTTATTATCTAAAGCCTAACCACTGTGGCAGAGTCAGGAGGCACCTTCCAGATCAAGTCAGAATAAATCCTCACATAAAACTTGAGGACCAACCTAGGCATATTTATTTGTATAGGGACGTACTTTTCCCCAAATGACTTAATTTAAAAGGTTTCTTGCTTTCCTTGAACCATGAGGCCTAATTAAAATCACTGTGATGGTCCACATAGCTGAATTTCCCAAATTTGTATCTCAGGGAACAAGGTTTAGGGACTGATTCATTTTTTCTAGGAGAAGGCCTTGGATTCTCCTCCCCAGTAACCACCTTTGGTGTACCAAGACCTTTGGTGAGGAGTTGAGGGGCAAAGAAGAGGCTGAAGAGTGGGGATAGCATTGGTCCAATGAGTCTATTTTCCCTGCTTTTATGTAAGTGAGAGAGACCCTGAATGATTCTTCATAGAAAAAATAGCTATTTGAGAGAAACTTTCTGTCTTGCATTTCTGAGTTAGCAGAAGGAGCAGTCACTTCTCTTATTAAAATATGTGTGTGTGTGTGTATGTGTGTCATGTATTTGCCATATTAAGCACCCTATTTTATGCAAATGAAGCACTGTAAATAGGGATGATTAAAGACTAGTGCATGTGTTTGTAGTTTTTTAGAGTGGCTGTTTCATTCATTCATTTGACGAAAAGTTACGGATAATTTCCTGTGTCTCTACACTGAAGATGTGGATAACATGCATAACCCCAGGCCTAGAGGCTAAAGTCGTAGAAATCGATAAGTTAAATGGACCATTTTAACACAACACATAAATTCATATGCTAGCTAATGAGTACAGTGTTGTGCAATTATTAAAAAGGTTATATTAATTAGGTCTCTTTTATTGTTGCAAAGACAGAAGTTCCTTGAGAATATCTTAACTCATGTGGAGCTTATTAAAAGGCTCCATGTGGAAAGCAGAAAAACAGAAATCATGCTCATTCATCTTGGGGAGTCAGGAAATTTCCCCAAACCAGGCCCCCCGCAAAAAAAAAAAAAAAAAAAAAAGAATCTCCTTCTGTAGGGCTGGTTTCATGGACTTCAGAATGTAGAAAGTCATTCAGGAGCCAATCAATTCTATCAATTCTTACACTAAATATACTTTTTCATCCTTTCTCTTATTTGCTACTTTGATTAAATATCCACTTACCTCCTTCTTTTGGATTCAGAGCTTGCATTTCTCCCTTTCTCATTTTTGATTACTCACAACCTCTGCCTTCTTAGTTCGATTGCCAGATATTTGCTATTACCTTCTTTCTGTACACCTTTCTCCTTCTCTGTTTACTAACTGGCCAACTACTTCTCTCCCTCTTTTTTCAAAATTCAGAACTTCATGAATTTGCATTCAGTTTATACTCATTGTCATTTTGGGCAAAACTCTTGGGCCTGACCCCCTTGTTTCCTACTTTGCAGTCTACAGACTGGCTGTTCTCCTCTTCCCCAATTTTATCATCTGGCCAAGAAACCAGAATCATACCAGGTATAACATGGCCACTAATGTGTTCCACTAGTCCCTGCAACAAAGGGTTATGAGCAGGGTTCAAAGGGCCTGCGGACATGAGAGGCAGTTGGCAACTATGTCTGCCCAAACAAAGATGAATGTCAATATTTATAATGACTTATAACAACATTCAAACTACCAATCACAAAATTTTGTTGGCAATATAACACCTATGTGTACAGAGGTTGTCAAGATAAGTTATAATGTGATGCCCAGACACTTTTAGGCTTCTATCTTGTAGATTACAAACCCTCAGCTTTCTGAAGCACAGGTGAGTGGTTTCATGTGAGTGGCTTTGTGTGAGTCCTAGTGTTATAATTTTTGGTTATTCAGGTATTTTCTTCTAGAGTCTGATTTTATATGTACATAACACATTAAAAATATGTAAATAATTATTTTGGGAGCCTATAAAATATTTTAGCATAACTATTACAATAGACTAAATCAATAGTAATAATTTTAGTGCTAAAATTTCAAGAAGCATTTTATAATTATCTTATTTAGTAAAGCAAAACAACAATAGTTGAGAATTCTCTAAGTCAATTTTTTATTCTGCATTTTTATTTTCACAAAAATTTTACAAAATTAATACGAGCCTATATTAAATCATCTGGTTCATTTGAAGTACCTGATAACTGAGTACTATCTTGCAGTTTATATTTTCTGTCTCTTTTGCATGGAGTAAGTGTAAGGTAACAAACTGAATGTGTGAAAGTAGTTCCTTGGTTGGAACAAAAAAATGTCATGGTAGAATTGATGGATCCTGTGACATATGATAATACAGGCTTACTAACCTCACAAGAATCTCTTTAGTTAGCCAATGTTATACAGTATTCACATTGTGAACAAATGGTTTTAAGAATACTGTCATGTACATCCCATTTTGTAATTAATATTTCATTAGCAGAAAATATGCAATGACAAATAGTTCTATTTCCAGTTCCAGCAATAATTAGATTACATACCCATTTAATACATATTTCAATAGTGCCAGTACTCATATTATCTCCAAGTAAAAACAAACATTTATACAATTATCAAATGACTCCACTATAAAACTGGCACTCCAGGATTGCTCACTGGCAGAGATTTAGTTAAGCATAAGGCCTGATTATACTTAATTTGCAAACAAAGACTTGAAGTTATTAATACCATTTTGTACCATATACTTATGGGAATAGACATTTTCTACATTTGCATTATTGAAATCAAAATGTCAAAAGAGATTAATTATAAAACCAGACATGAGTCTGCATCTTTCTACTATTAAACTCAGGACTGAATGATTTTTTTTCAGCCAAATGCCACTATGCATCACATTAAAATAATGTTATTAACATGATTTTATCTTCTTTTTAAGTTTCACTTGAATTTTTATTTGTTGTAAAGTTGTATAAGGCCTATAAAATTAAGGCATTCATCCATTGTTTTACATTTTTACTTATTTAAATAGCATCATGAAAATAAGTTGTCATTAGATTGCCCCAAAATGTTTTCCCATTTAAAAAGGACTAATTTATGTATTGCTCAAGTTAGAGAAACAATGGCTAATTGTGGAAGAGATGGAGGATTTTATTTATGTTTAATTCCAAAACACAGAGCTACTTCTCAAAAAGAAGGCAGTTAGGAAAAGAAGACCCAGATACTTAGCAAGATATTCGTGAGTGAGAAAGGTGTACTTGAAAAGGCAACAGAAAGACGGAAGCAGTGATGGGGGCACTGTTAAGCAGGAAGTGGTGCTTAGTGTGAAAAGCCAGCCTGTCTGTCTGTCAGGAAAGTTTTCTGGGAAGGAACCAGAGAGAGGGCAGTGAGAATTTTTTTCTCATCTGCAAGGCGGATCCAGGAGACAAGCTTTTAACTTTGTGGGGGCTCCTCCTCAAGAAAAAGAATGGAAAATTATGAATACAAAGTTAGACTCAAAAGTAAACTTTAATTTAGAATGAGAAAAACAGATTAGAAAATTTTAACAGATGCCGAATACCACAGACATCACAAAATCTAGAAAATAGCCTTCATTTTGGCTCCACACTTTCAAAAATAGACCTCTGGTCTTGCCTTTGTGTCATAGTGCACATCAAATTGGAATCATGGGCAATAAGAATATTCCTGAAAGCCATTGCTACACCTGGATGCCTAGCAATAATTTAACTAAACATGAGAGTAACTCCATGTAAATACATCCCACTCAACCTAAACTAAATGCATCCCTAACCCTACTTAACCTGAGCTGGAGCCTCAGAATGCCTGCAGCCACTCCAGTGATACTCATATGAGGCAAAATGTGAAAGTGAAAATGGAAAGAGACAGTGGTCTCAACAGACTGAAGCAAAAATACATTACTTACAAAAATTTACAAAAAAACCATAGGTCCATGGGAACACATTGCTAGGCCTTTTTTTCCACAGGACCATGGAAAACACCTGTGCAAGTGGATCATTGGCGCTGAAGCTCCATTAACATGATGGTAAATCTGCCCCTGCAGACATGTGAGAGAATATGAGAGTGAGGTCTAAAGAGAACTTAAAAGAAGTATAATTACTCTAATTACCCTTTGGTAATTTCTCATGGGCGTGAATCAAATCTCCCTTGCTTCTAATTATATTTTTATGCCCAACTGGTGTTTCTTTGAGTGTGAGTCCATGAGACTGGATTACAGGTAGCTCCAGAAACGTATAAGTTACAAGGTAATTAGGTAATAGTAAACAGATGATTGATTTGGGTACATGGTAATGGTAAAGACTGAATGGTTTTCAAGAAACTTGTGAAAACTTGTATTTGCACATCAGGAAAAAAAAAAAAATCTGGCCTGAAGAAAGATGAGTTGTAATCATCAGAAATGATGGGACAACTCTCTATCTTTCACGAAGCTCCATCTTCCCTTGAAAATTAAGCTTATTCTAGTACTGGTCAGATGTTAATTGACATACAGACTTAGCAAAGAAAAAGCTGTATGTGTGTGTGTGTGTGTGTGTGTGTGTGTGTGTGTGTGTGTGAGTTTGCTTAAAAGATATAAAAAGGAAATTTCTTGAGAGTTTTCCGTTGACAGATCAAAGTGAGTGACTGAAGCATAAGTCTCAGATCATTGATGTTTATTGAGCCAGCCTGAGGGTTCACCTGGTTAAAATGCAAGTCACAGATGCATTCTGTGATTGTGTTTTCCAAAGAGGTTCTCAGGAAGTTTAGTATTTACATATTTTCCTTTAAGAAAAGGGGCGGGCAGGTAGCAGTGAAATTAATGATTACATACTTGTAAGGTTTTTAGTTAGTGCCTAATAAATCTACATTTTACATAAGATAAGGTGAACATGTGAAGAAAAAGGGAATAGAGGAAGCAGACATCTCAGGCAAGGGTAAAAGAACAATTGATTTCATCTTGTCTTTGTTCTGTACCAGGAAAGATAAGCTAGTGATCAACATTATCAGTGTGGAGTCTTTTGAAAGGGCTAGTTTCTGTTTAGCCCTCAGAGTAGAAAGCCTAATGGTGGTTAGCAAGGGAGGGGGTTATAATGAGGCATGTCTGAACATCCATCCTGTCATGACTGTAAATTCAGCTTCCAAGATTTCTCTCGATTCCCCTTGGCCAAGAGAGATGTCCGTTCAGTCAGTTGGGGGCTTAGAATTTTTTATTTTTATTTCTCACTATCAAATTTAACTACCCAATCTGCATTCCATTTCAATATGAGAAAAGGCTTCTGTGAAATGACAATCCATCTAGAAAGTATGCATGTGGACATATGTTTATGTATTGAAAAAGTAATTTTAAAAGTCAAAATTTGATATCTTATTGGTGCTAGATTTTTTTTTCTAAGTTCTCATTTGTAGATATAGCATTGGCTTTTTATTTGGTACAATTCTTAAGCTGTATCAGCAAAAGGTTATCTATATGTGATGCTAAAAAATGAAATAGATACAGAGCCAACATTACTGAAGTCATTTGGTCTATCAATATTTGATTAAGTACATAACAGAGTAAAATAAAACAACCCAAAATTTAAATGAATAAACCTTCATTTCAAAATTAAATGGAAATACTAAAGGCCTATACAAATTTTGACATTGTTCCTTCTTGTTATTCAGGGCTAAACCTAGCCAGCAGTATTTTTTATAACATCAATTTATTCATATTTTTAAAATTAGAAACATCCTTTTAATAGGAAAGCTGTATTTTAATATAAAGCTGAAACATTATATACTTAGTTATTCTGCAAATAATTAGAATCTTTTTTGAACTATAGCTATCACTGGCTGTCTTCATTTTGCACAATACAAAATGAACAATAGACTTTAATTAAAACAAGGATATTCGGCCTTTTCTTATTTAGAAATATCAGTTTCTCATTAACTACTCAAAAATTGAAATAGCATTGTTTTTCCACTATTGCTAGAACATGAAGTATCTGTGAAAAACGCCCTCTTTGTCTTCACCAGCAGTCCTGTTTTCCTTGGTATTATTCTATTTAAACAAGTCTTTCCCCTTCTGCTGAGTGTCTTCCATTTGCTCCTCCAGATACACGTTCCATCCTTCTCCACTCTGCTCTGTGCCCCAGGAGGCTGATCATTATGTTTGCAATAAATAGGCTCCCTTGCCTTCTGTTTTCCTGTTAAGTACATTCAAAAAGAGTAACAGAGTATTTATCCCCTGGCTCCCTTCTTGAGGGACTGTAGGTGACAATGGCTACTAGAAAGCTCTTTCCTAAGTGTATAGGTCTTTTCAGATTCCAGTAACCTCCTTCTGAGACAGGGAGTGACCTTTCAGTGGTGGTAATGATTTCCTGTTTTGACAACTCTAGGGTTAGCTTCCCTTTTTCCTGCTCACATCTTTGTAAATAGTCCAATCATTGAACTCTTCTTCTGAATCACTTTTAGATGATTAAAAGTACACTTTTAGATGTACTACCCTCTGTTTCTTGCCAGAATCCTGACTGATTGACTCCTCCTTTTTTTCTGACTACCTCATGTCTTCGGAGTTCAAGTTGTTAAAAAAAAATGATCTGATAATCAAACTTAAATTCATGTGTTCAGTGAGACAAAGCAAGAACCTTTCTTAGGGGGCTGCTGCCTGCTCCCCTTGCCAAACATGGAAATAAAGAAAAATATTGAATTCCTTTAAGGGAACTTCCAGACACCTGGTTAGCCCTAAGAAGTAAATGAGCAACTTGATAAGCAAGAAGGCAAGAGTAGCTTAAAACTATAGCCAAGGGAATTAGAGTTCTGAGATGTTTGGTTTCCTTGTAACTGCTCAACGGATTCACCTTGCCCACTGCTTAGACAGAGACGATTTATGAAGAGAGGGGAACTGCAAGGCAGAACGACTAAGTCACACAGAGCCATCTGTGCAGGAGACTGGAGTTTTATTATTACTCAAATCAAATATCCTTGAGCATTTGAGGATCAGAGTTTTTAAAGATAATTTGGCAGGTAGGGGCTTGAGAAGTGGGGAGTGCTGATTGGTCAGGTTGGAGATGGAACCATAGGGGGTCGAAGTTGACTTTTTCTTGCTGTTTTCTGTTCATCTGGGTGAGATGGTAGAACTGGTTGAGCCAGATTACTGGTCTGGGTGGTGTCTGCTGATCCATCCAGTGCAGATTCTGCAAAATATCTCAAGCACTGATCTTAGGTTTGCAATAGTGATGTTATCCCCAGCAACTTGGAGCCAGAGGCTGCATGCCCCTAAACTGTAATTTCTAATCTTGTAGCTAATTTGTTAGTCCTGCAAAGGCAGACTGGTACCCAGGCAAGGAAGGGGTCTTTTCAGGAAAGGTCTATTATCAATTTTGTTTCAGAATCAAGCCATGAACTGAATTCCTTCTCAAAATTAGTTTGGCCTATCCTCAGGAATGAAGAAGGACAGCTTAAAGATTAGGAGCCAGATGGAATCAGTTAGGTGTGATTTCTGTCACTGTCATAATTTCCTCAGTTATAATTTTGCAAAGGCGGTTTCACCCTGTAGAAACTAAAGAGAACATCAGAATATATGTCCCTGAGTTGTTTCTTAGAAGCTGGTACCCCCACCAAATGGATTCCCTGGCATGTAGACCTCAAATAAGAGGTAATTGAGGACTGAACTCTTGCTTTAAATTTCTTCCTGAGGGGCATGGAGGAAGTCACGCCCACAGGCCAGACTTAATATTTCTTTCTTCTGATCCCAAATTTTTAAACAAAGCTTCTCTTCTTTAACCAATTGCAAGTCAGAAAATCTTTGAAATCCAGTTATGACCTGGAAGCACCCTGCCCCACCTGACTCTGCTTCCACCTTTGTAGGCCAAACCAATGTATCACCTCTATGTGTTGATTTATAGTTTTGCCTATAACTTCTGCTTTCCTGAAATTTACCTCTGCCTTTAAACACCCTTGCTTGCAAGCCATCTGGAAGTTTGGGTCTTACATTTCAGCTGCCCAATTATCCTTGCTTGGTACCCTACTAATAAAGGCCCTCCTTTCTCCTGCTGCAAAGCAACCTCGGTATGAATATTTGGCCTTACTGCACTGGGCAATGGGACCCCTGTTTGGTTTAGTAACATAAGAGTGGCCCACGCCTTTTCTACGTTTCTTAGAAATGAGTTCAAATCTGAGTCACTTCTGCAGAAATCACCATTGACCTTATCCTCTCTATTTAACTTTTTCATTATTCCACCCCTTTTTAGTCAAGCTTCCTGAAAGAATATTTTACATTCATGACCTCCGTTTTCCTAATTCTCCTTCATTCCTCTAAGCCAGTGCAACTTGTCTGCTTCCTATCCACTCCAGTGGAATTATTCTAGAAAATTCGTTAATGACCCCCCCACTCATGTTGCCATACTCGGTGGGCACTTGCTAGTCCTCTCACTATATTTGGTATTGACAGCTACTCATTAGTTTTAAAAAGTATCTTCTCTCTTTGTTTATATGATGTATTCTGATTATTAGTTCTAACCACTCTTTTCCTTTTATTCTCTCCTTAAAGTTTGCTGTTTTTTTAGGGTTGTCTATTTAGCTGACTATTATTCTCACTTCTACCAATTTTTCCTGGGAATTTTTTGCATTTTCATTGCTTCAGCTTTTACTTGAGTATAGATGACTCATACCTCTGTGGCAGGTCCCTTGGCTGAGTTTCCCGCCTATACATTCTATGAACTAGAGCTATCCGTGTTCCTCAGGCACCTCAAATCCAAGGTACCAAATAAAATCTACTACCTTGTTTCCTTCACTCTAAGGTGACATTGACTGTAAGATGCACCATCATTTTATAAATGATGAAGAACAAAATATACCAGTTATAGTGGTAAGATCCCATCAATTTAAAGGTGAGTCCTAACATCAGAGATGTTAAAATGTAAAGGAGAAAAGTGCATCTTAGAATCTATGAAATACAGTTTATTTCTGTCATTCCTCACCCTTAATCTTCTCTTCTTCGTATGTTCCCTGTCTTCATTAGTGGCATCATCATTCTCCACATCTCTCAATTTACAATTCTGAAAAGCATCTCTAATGTTAACTCGGCTTGGCTATAATAATCAACTATTCAAATGCTATGTGTTGCCGTGAAGGTATTTTGTAGACATGATAAATATCTACAATCAGTTGACTAAGTACAGTTGACCCCTGAATAAGTTAGGGGTTAGGGATGCTGAATCCCCATGCACTTGAAAATCTGCCTATAACTTTTGACTCTCCAAAAACTTAACTAGTAATAGCCTTCTATTGACTGGAATCCTTACCAATAACATAAATAGTTGATTAACATATATTTTGCATGTTGTATTTATTATATATTGCATTCTTCCAATAATGAAAACTAGAGAAAAGAAAATATTATTAAGAAAATTATGGTTGGGCATGGTGGCTCATGCCTGTAATCCCAGCACTTTGGGAGGCCGAGGTGGGCGGATAACCTGAGGTCAGGAGTTCGGGACCAGGCTGGCCAACATGGAGAAACCCCGTCTCTATTAAAAATACAAAAATTAGCCAGGCGTAGTGGAAGGTGCCTGTAATCCCAGCTACTCAGAAGGCTGAGGCAGAAGAATCGCTTGAACCCGGGAAGCAGAGGTTGCAGTTAGCCGAGGTTGTGCCACTGCACTCCAGCCTGGGTGACAGAGTGAGACTTTGTCTCAAAACAAAAAAATAAATAAATAAAAAAGAAAATAAAGTCATAAGGAAGAGAAAATATATTTACTATTAATTAAATGAAAATGGATTGTCAAAAAGGTCTTCATCCTAACTGTCATCATGTTGAGTGGGCTGAAGAGGAGAGAAAGGAGGGGTTGGTCTTGCTGTCTCAGGGTTGGTAGAGGCAGGAGAAAATCTGCACATAAGTAGAATTGCACAGTTCAAATCTGTGTTGTTCAAGGGCCAACTGTAAATAAAATTATTCTCAATGATCCCGTGGGTCAGAGTCAATCAATTGAAGGGACTTATGGCAGATTGCAATTTCCCTCAGAAAGAAGAAATTTTACCAATGACTGTCAGTGTCAGCTCCTGCCTGAGAGTTTCCAGTCTGCTCTTCCTGATGCCCTCCTCTATTAATTTCTAACTTGCCTAAGGAGCCCCCACAATTGCACAAGTCAATTCTTTGCTCGCTTTCTCTCTCACACGCATGTGCTCTCTCTCTCTCTCCTACTGGTTTAGTTTATTTGATGGAACCCTGACAGTATTCTACCTCCTTCCTCTTTCTTTCATTCTCCATACCTGGACAGCATGTCTTGAAAATTAATCTTATTGCCATCTCATAAATGTATCTTCTTTCATATCGATAAC
The DNA here is from genome assembly GCF_000001405.40 of Homo sapiens. Taxonomy (NCBI): domain Eukaryota; kingdom Metazoa; phylum Chordata; class Mammalia; order Primates; family Hominidae; genus Homo; species Homo sapiens. The sequence continues at coordinate 69,809,761 of NC_000006.12, read as the reverse complement.
CTTGGTTTAGCTTTCATCATCTCTTGTCTTGATTGTAGCTGAAATGAACCCTTACTTCATTTTCCCACTTCCTATTCAGCATTCAGTTTATCTTAAAGAGACAGTTATAAAATGCAAGTCTGATTATTTCTCTTCTCTGCTTAAAACACTTCACTGGCTCTTATTGTCTACAGGATGAAGCCTAAGTTTCTTAGTGGAGCACATACATCCCTTTGTGATCTAGTATCTAAGTGGCCAATTGCTGCCACTTGAGTTACTGATCACTCAAGTAATACTTAACATGGTATTTCAGACTCCTGTGCCTTTGCACTTGTTGTTGCCTTAATGAGATGTTTGCTTACTCTTCTCCTAGTCTGTTTGATAAACTCTTTTTCTTCCTTTAAAACCTAATGGGTGAATATAGTTAACAAAAATGTAGTGTATATTTTCAAAAAGCCAGAAGAAAGGATTTTGAATGTTCACAACACAAAGAAATGATAAATGTTTGAGGTGATGAATATGCTAACTACCCTGATTTGATCATTACACATTGCATACATGTATCAAAATATCACTCTGTATCCCATAAATAAGTACAAGTAATACATGTCAAGTAAAAATGTTTTTAAGATGAAAAAATAAACACAAACAAAAAACGCTACCATGATGATACTTCCTTCTAAAAGCTTTTCTTAACTCATGAATATATTTCATATTTGATACGGTTTGGCTGTGTCCCTACCCAAATCTCAACTTGAATTGTATCTCCCACAATTCCCACATATTGTGGGAGGGACCCAGTTGGAGGTAATTGAATCATGGGGGCCTGTCTTTCCCATACTATTCTTGTGATAGTGAATAAGTCTCACGAGATCTGATGGGTTTATCAGGGGTTTCCGCTTTTGCTTCTTCCTCATTCTGTCTTGCTGTCACTATGTAAGAAGTGCTTTTCACTCTCTGCCATGATTGTGAGACCTCCCCAGCCATGTGGAACTGTAAGGACAATTAAACCTCCTTTTCTTCCCAGTCTCAGGTATGTCTTTGTCAGCAGCATGAAAATGGACTAATAGGGTGAATTGGAACCAGTAGAGTGGGGCGCTGCTGAAAATTTACCCAAAAATGTGGAAGCGACTTTGGAACTGGGTAACAGAGGCTGAAACAGTTTGGAGGGCTCAGAAAAAGACAGGAAAATATGGGAAAGTTTGGAACGTCCTAGAGACTTGTTGAATGGCTTTGGCCAAAATGTTGATAGCAATAAGGACAACAAAGTCCAGGCTGAGGTAGTCTCAGATGGAAATGAGGAACTTGTTGAGAAATGGAGTAAAGGTGACTCTTGCTATGTTTTAGCAAAGAGACTGGTGGCATTTTGCCCCTGCCCTAGAGATTTGTGGAACTTTGAATTTGAGAGAGATGATTTAGGGTATCTGGTGGAATAAATTTCTAAGCAGCAAAGCATTCAAGAGGTGACTTGGGTGCTTAGGACATTCAGTTTTATAAGGGAAGCAGAGCATAAAAATTTGGAAAATTTGCAGCCTGACCATGCAATAGAAAAGAAAATCCCATTTTCTGAGGAAAAATTTAAGCCAGCTGCAGAAATTTCCATAAATAACAAGAAGCCGATTGTTAATTCCAAAGACAATGTATACAATGTCTCCAGGGAATGTCAGAGGTCTTCGCAGCAGCCCCTCTCATCACAGGCCCAGAGGCATAGGATGAAAAATGGTTTCATGGGCCGGGACCAGTGTCCATGTGCTGTTTGCACCCTAGGGACTTGGTATCTTGTGTCCCAGCCGCTCCAGCTGTGACTAAAAGGGGCCAAGGTAGAGCTCTGGCAGTGGCTTCAGAGGGTGGAAGCCCCAAGCCTTGGTAGCTTCCATGTGGTGTTGAGCCTGCAGGTGCACAGAAGTCAAGAATTGAGGTTTGGGAACCTCTGCCTGGATTTCAGAAGATGTATGGAAATACCTGGATGTCCAGGCAAAAGTTTGCTGCAGGGCTGGGGCTCTCATGGAGAACCTCTGCTAGGGGAATGCGGAAGGGAAATGTGATATCAGAGCCCTCACGCAGAGCCCTACTGGGGCACTGCCTAGTGGAGCTGTGAGAAGGGGCCACCATCCTCCAGACCCCAGAATGGTGGATCCACCCATAGCTTGCACTGTGTGCCTGGAAAAGCTGCAGACACTCAATGCTAGCCCATGAAAGCAGCTGGGAGAAAGGCTGTACCCTGCAAAGCCACAGGGACGGAGGTGCCCAAGACCATGGGAACCAACTTCTTGCATCAATGTGACCTGCATGTGAGACATGGAGTCAAAGGAGATTATTTTGGAGCTTTAAGATTTGACTGCCCTGCTGGATTTTGGATTTGCATGGGGCCTGTAGCCCCTTCATTTTGGCTGATTTCTCCTATTTGGAATGGCTGTATATACCCAATGCCTGCATCCCCTTTTATCTAGGAAGTAACTAACTTGCTTTTGATTTTGTAGGCTCATAGGCAGAAGGAGCTTGCCTTGCCTCAGATGAGATGTTGGACTGTGAACTTCTGAGTTAATGCTGAAATCATTTAAGACTTTTGGGGACTGTTAGGAAGGCAAGATTGGTTTTGAAATGTGAGGACATGAGATCTGAGAGGGACCAGGGGCAGAATAATATGGTTTGGCTGTGTCCCCACCCAAATCTCAACTTAAATTATATCTCCCAGAATTCCCACATGTTGTGGGAGGGACCCAGTGGGAGGTCAGTGAATCATGGGGACTGGTCTTTCCTGTGCTATTCTCATGATAGTGAAAAAGTCTCACAAGATCTGATGGGTTTAGCAGGGGTTGCTGTTTTTGCTTCTTCTTCATTATCTCTTGCTGCCACCATGTAAGAAGTGCCTTTTGCCCTCTGCAATGATTGTGAGACGTCCCCAGCCATGTGGAACTGTAAGTCAAATTAAACCTCCTTTTCTTCCCAGTCTCAGGTATGTCTTTATCAGCAGCATGAAAATGAACTAATACAATAATTTTAATTTAGAATATTTTTAAAACAGGATTCAGATATACCAGTTTAAATTCCCTACTTTATATCTTTATTACATTAAAAACAATGTAATAAAGATTACATGAAACAATAAATTACAGAATGTATTTGGCAGCAAATGATAATGTAAAGATAAATGATTCTAGTCTATCAATTGTTTAAAATTTTAAAGATCAATTTTAAATTATTTCACATAGTGTTACACAAATAGTTATCTAGAAATGACTTACTGTAGTCTCATAAATTCTAATAAGACCAATTGTTTTTATAAAATGTTATGACTATAAGTCATTAACATATGGGAATTGAATACTAACGGTTACACTTTGAATTCAAATATAAGCTGAAAAAATCTGCCTAGAAATAAAACAAACAGAATCATGCTATGAAAAAGAATATATGCTTGAGTCAGGAGAGGGATCCTATTGTTTGAAAAAAGAGCAACACATGCTACAAAAAAAGGAGCATTTTTTGTTAAAACTATTGAGTGTGCTATAGATATTTTTAAGTGTCATAAATAAAAAGCAGTTATTATAACTTCTACTCATATTGTTAACTGACTTTGACATCAACTTATGGTTGAGTAGTATATGCAAATTTATTTGTATACCTTGAAATACACACCAGGTTTAGGAATTGACACAATAAAAAATACTTAGAGGTATTCCATGCGTCTAAATTATGAATAAATTATTTTTTTCTTATGCAGAAGAAAAATCTTAAGAAAAAGTGAACATTTAGGCCGGGCGCAGTGACTCATGCCTGTAATCCCAGCACTTTGGGGGGCCGAGGCGGGCAGATCACGAGGTCAGGAGCTTGAGACCACCCTGGCTAACACGGTGAAACCCCGTCTCTACTAAAAAAATGAAAAAAAAAAAAAAATTAGCCGGGCGTGGTGGCGGTGCCTGTAGTCCCAGCTACTCGGGAGGCTGAGGCAGAAGAATGGCGTGAACCCGGGAGGCGGAGCTTGCAGTGAGCCGAGATGGCACCACTGCACTCCAGCCTGGCGGCAGAGTGAGACTCCGACTCAAAAAGAAAAAAAAAAGAAAAGAAAAAGTGAACATTTATTAGTGTACATGGAAATGTTTGTTTTATCAGGAGAAGAAAAGTTTATAAACAGTAGCCATTGAGAGCTTATAGAAATATGGAAATGTAAAGTTTACAATTCACATTATGATACTGTGTGCAATCTAATTTTAAGATAGTAAATTGGAAAGTTGTCTCTGTGTTCACAAATAAAACACCGAGATATTAACATTTCAGTGGCATTCTTCTTCTTCTCCCTGGCATTTTTTTTTCTATTCAATGAAATCGATGAACTAGGTTTTTTTTGTTTTGTTTTGTTTATTTATTTATTTATTTATTTTGAGAACTAGTCTCACTCTGTTGCCCAGGCTGGAGTGCAGTAGTGTCATCTTGGGTCACTGGGTCACTACAACCTCTGTCTCCCGAATTCAAGCGATTCTCATGCCTGAGCCTCCCAAGTAGCTGGGACTACAGGCATGAGCCACCGTGCCAAGCTAATTTTTGTATTTTTAGTAGAGATGGGGTTTCACCATGTTGGCTAGGCTGGTCTCGAACTCCTGACCTCAGGCGATCCACCTGCCTTGGCCTCCCAAAGTGCTGGGATTACAGGCATGAACCAGAAGTAGGTTTTTGAATATCCTTTATATGTTGGGCCTCAAAAAAGCTATTTTTATTTTGAATAACAAAACGTAGACCATAACTATTTAATTTTTCATAGATTGGCACTTGTGCAAAACTTTTGGCTTTCTACGGGATTATATATAAATGAGCAAATTTCTAGCCGAACGAAATGTGTCTCTCAACCATACATTCCCATGACCTTATAAACACAAAAAACCTTATCACAAAAGAAGAAATGTCTTAGGGTTGTGATGGTTTATTTGGTTAGATGACATGGAAGGATTAGGAGGGAAAAGGAGATCATGTAGTATTGAGAAGAGAAGGCAGGTGTGCTCAAACATCCTCAGCACCACATTAATGTTCACCTTGGATCATTGCTAAATCCTTTTGACAGATCAAGTATAGGCACTATATAGAACACAGCAGAACGCTAAATTCTAAATCAACACCTTATGGATCATGACAGACTTGCACAAAGTCACTAGGATCTGAGGCCAGTAATGTTTAACTATAGCCAGACTAAAGGAATTAAAATCACTAAGGAAGAAACTTGTCAATCAGGAGGCTTATTGGTTAGAAATGGAAGCACAGAAAAAAATGACAGTTGGAAAGAGAAATTTTAAGGTTTTCCAAGAGTTTTATTTGGACTTCAATAGTTCAATGTTTTCAGGTAACAAATTTTAAAAATTTGGTATATAATCATCAGCTATGTTTTTAAAACATCAACATGTTAACATCCAATGGTACAACACACATAATGAATTTGGATGCATAGTTAAACTGTGGTCTAAATATATTAAATAATTTCAGATTACAAACTATATCCCTAGTCTAGTCCCCATTATGCAGTTAGCTTGACTCCACTTTCAGGAGCTAAGTTGGGAAGTCATTTCTGTAGGGCTCTTTTGGATTGCAGACCCCGAAGTAGGCTTGAGTCACCCACCCTTCTATTCTACAGTTGAAGCCCTAGTTAAGTCTCTATGTACTACTTCTTGGTTTTGGGGTTTTGATAAGAAAACAGTCTCTTTCCTGATTCTTTTTATCTCTTTTTTGTCTTGTTAAAATAAATTTATTCTGCCATGCTGTTCTTCTTTCCTGTTAATACTTTCAGTATTCTTTTTGTTCTTTCTACCAATTCCTATGTAAGATTATTTTTATAAATTTTGTCTCCCAGTTTATGCCACTTGATCACAATCCTATCTTTGGTTTTCGTTTGCTTGTTTTTTGAGATGGAGTCTGGCTCTGTCACCCAGGCTGGAGTGCAGTGGCGCTATCTCGGCTCACTGCAACCTCCTCCTCCCAGGTTCATGCCATTCTCTTGCTTCAGCCTCCTGAGTAGCTGGGACTACAGGCACCCACCACCACGCCCAGCTAAGTTTTTGTATTTTTAGTAAAGACAGGGTTTCACCATGTTAGCCAGGATGGTCTCCATCTCCTGACCTCATGATCCGCCTTCCTCGGCCTCCCAAAGTGCTAGGATTACAGGTGTGAGCCACCGCGCCCTGCTCTGTCTTTGGTTTTCTAAAACCACCTCATAAAGGGAATGAGACACCACTGTTATACCTCCTGGCCCTCAAACTCACCCCCAATCCCCCAGTTCCAGGAGGGGCACTCATTGAATGCCATGGAGGGTAAAGATCAGTGGAGGATTGTCCCTACTTCATGAACACTTTTCTTAATAGTTTTGGCATTTATGTTCACGGTAGTCTTATTTTTTTGGTTTTATCTTTGCCTGGTTTTGGCTTGAAAATGACCTTTCTGTAGGCAATCATTGCCTGGTTTTGTTCCCCCCTCGGGGCTGCTCCCCAGCTTTCCATGTGTGCCTCCCCCAGCAGAGGATGTTCCATCTCTCCGCAGCTTCCACAGGAATAAGCACATGAATAGGGTGATTCTCAGGGGCAATCCTCCAAAGCATTCAGTGAGTTCAATGGGTGTGTGTGTGTGTGTGTGTGTGCGTGCGTGTGGTGAGAATATGGGGAGGAGCTAGTCCATACCCTTTCTTCACCAAGATACTGGGAATTTCTGTGTGCTAGTCACCTGCAGCAGTTACAAGAGGCAGGGCCTCTCCCAAAACTCAGGTCACACTCTCCCTTCAAATTCTGTGTCTTCCTTCAACTGGCTCTAGGGTACAGAAACCATTCAAAAGCTGAGGGTTGGAGAAATGAGGGCAGAAATAGTTGCTCCTTCATAAACTTTGCTTTTCTTCAAAGGCTACTAGCTCTCTTAATATAGCCAAGGGAGTCTAGTTTTGATAGAAGTTTTTCTGGAATGTTCTATGGCAGACGCACCTGACAGCAATAACTTAACTTGTGCATACTCTGAGAAAGACCCTATGGTCTAAGAAGAATGTATGTTCAGAATTACAAGCTAAGGAGTCTAGAAGTGGCCAACCCAGGGATTCATTCCTTATGTACGAGGAATATCTGAACTCCCGGCCCATTCCCATGAACACAGGCCATACAGGGGATTAAAGCCCTTTGTTTTGGGTTAAATGAAGGTTGCCCCGTGTTGTTAGGGGGAGAGTGCTAAGTGAAAATGCTGTATAAACTGCATACTTTTTACAAATGGTAGTGTTTCTCCTATATGTTCTCCTTATATGTAAGTTTCTCAGTAAACCCTATGTCTTTTTTGCTGGCTCTGGGTCTGCTCTTAGGCCTCTTGAACATAGTGCCATTGCTACTGAAGTCAATAGGGGTCTGGCATGACAGATACCTTCTCTTAATAAACCTCTTGGGGTTGACTAGCTTTTTTGACCATTTCTTTGAACTTAAAATGGAACAGAGTCCACAGAAATCCTGGTATCTTTCCATGAGTTGTTGGGTGAGGGGTTAAGTAAGTGCATTCTACAGTAACTACCGGCGAACAGGAAAGGGGTATTAGTTTTCTACATTCTCACTGAACACATCAGAATGTGCATACAAAAAGCCCCAGAAGCTCTTAAAGGGAAGTATTTTAGGGTAGGAAGGATTGTGTAAATTTATAAGAGTGATTTTTGTTTCTAAATTATTCAAATTGAAATATTTATAAATGAGCATGTATTCCCTTTGTAATTGTAAACAGCAAATAAAAATATTATTTTAAAAAAACTCTGGTCTGATTCAGAGGCTTCTTAGATTTAAAAACATCATTCAAGAGAATGTGTTCAGTCCTTGCTGATCTGATTTATATGTTAAATGACTAGACTTAAGAATAAAGAGAATGTTGATATGCATGCCTATACCTACCCCCCAAAATGACTTTTTCTTCTCACTCTACTCATCTTTCTGATTCAAATTACTATTCCTCTGTAACTAGTCACTCTTGTCAACAACACAGAAATATGAGGCTTTTCCGAACTGAAAGTCAAGCAACTGCCCAATACAACTTTGGCAGTCAGAGGCAGCAAAAGGGTTCGGCCAGTTTATTTAATGGACTTAATTCAATGGAGGGCACATCAGATGTTAAAAATATTTAGTCCAGATTCAGTAAAAGCTCCAATTTCACATATAATTTAAAGCAGTGGGGAAGATTTTTTATCATAATAATTTATGTGACCCAATATATCCCAAATATTATCATTTTAATATGTAATCAATATATAATTGTTAATGAAGTATATAGCTTTTGGCACTAAATCTTGGCAACTCTGTCTATATGTTAAGTTTTCAGCACATGTCAGTTCAGAGCAGCCTATTCCATGTGCTCAGCAGCCCCACGTGGCTAGTGGCTGCCACACTGAAGTGCAGCTCTGAGGGCTCTGACTCTCTTGATCTAAGGAAGGTGAAGGGCCTGAAACACTCTTTCCTGCCAGAAGTGAGGGAACAGCCTCTGCCTCCCAACAACTCTCCTCAGGCCCAAGGGTGAGAGATTTTTGCCCCTAGAAAGCAGGGTTTACAAGAAGAAAGTGTCCACAGTTACCACTGCTGCCCACCTGGCGTCCATCTTCCTTCCAGAGATCAGACAGTAAACAAAGGATGATAAGGCCCCTCAAAAAGGAAACTCAATGTCTTCAGATCTGTCTACATCCTTGATCTCCAAAGTTTAGGTATGGAGGAAATAGATTAAAGGTGAACTTCTTATTTTGCTATTTGCTATTTGGCCTTGGCCCTAATGGTCAGGCCATGGCTGTTTCCTCCTGTGGCATGGCGGACTGCGTAATTTAAGCACCAATCACATGCACACATCTACATGCATTTTGGTATAACTCACCACCATCTAACAAGAGATCCAACTTTAAATAAGGGGAAAATGAAATCTGTACCTGTCGGGTGCTTTCTGTTTGCAGGTAACTAGTAATCAACCTGTCATTGAATCCTGACATCCCATTCATACTGGGTACATATATTACTTAGCTATTGTATAACAAACCATGCAAGACTTCCTAGCTCATGATGGAGTTGCTCAGCCATTTGGGCAGGGCTCAACTGGGCCATTCTTGTGGGCTCAGGTGGGCTCCTTCAGGCATATGTGATCAGCTGCTGTTGACTAGGCGGCTCTGCTTCTGAGTGTGAGTTGGCTGTCAACTGGAGCAGTTTGGCTCTCCTCCCCATGGTATCTCATTCTCCAGCAGGCTAACATGGGCTTGCAGTCATGGAGATGGTAGGGTTCTCCAGAAATGGGACATTTCAGCAAATTTTGACTGTCCTCAAGATCCTTAGGGGAGTCTTTTTCCTTTCAGCTCCAGAACCCTCTCACTGGGTCCTGACTCTGGGCTCCCTTTCTTACCTCCAGGTGAGCAGGAGACCTGGATCCTGGTCCCCAGAAAAAACGGAGGCCCCAGGGCTTCCATGGAGGAGGGTCAGATTTTTATTTTTACTTGTCTGCATTCTAACTATGAATTCTCCCTTATATGCATAATTAAAAAGGGATTCAAGAATTTATTATATAACTCTTAGACCCCTCAGACAAATAAAATTTCTACAAATGTATTAGCAAGAGGAGAAGATTCATAAACAGATTTATTTAATGAGAACTGTTGCTGACCTGTGGAATTCCATCCTTAACTCCAAAGAGTGGTGTATTTGTGGGTGAGGTGGAGGGGTGGGTGGGTTGGAGTGGGGTGTTACCTTCTAACCCTTAGCCTAGTAAGGGAGGCCTCAAGGGAGCTACTTGGAGAATTTGAAATATGGCCCCTGAAATTGAGGACACAGAGGGCTAGTGTCTGACCCAGTAGAGAGAACTACAGTGGACTGTAGCATCAGGGGCTGACTTTCTTGGGTATAATCAAAAAGGGCTGATTCCTTTGATTGTAGAACTAGGAGAATGGAGCTACATTGGGATTGGCCTGTGCTCCCAAAGTTGTTGGTGCAAGGTATGTATCATCATTCCTACAGAGGGGATTTAGACTATTTGGGGAAAGGGGAAGAACTGGCTTGGGGTTGTCTTAGGCCTCTCCTCCAACTTAAATGAGCTTCTAGAAGAAGATTACAAGACCTCAGCAGGAAAAGGAATAATTAAGTATACCTCAGTATGCTCTGGGGCTTGTGGAGGAGATATAAGTGACTACCTGTCAGTGGCTCAAGTCCCTGCAAGTTTGTGTCTTTCCACAGTCAGACTTTTGTTGATGCTATTTCAATCATAAAAGCCATGAGCTGTATGAAGGTCCGAAGGAGGTAATTTTCCTTAGTAGTACCCATTCATTTGGTAGTCAGAACCAAGGACACAAAGCTCTAGCCACTCCACAAGTCAGTCAATATTGCAAACCAAACATAGTAGTATACATAACATATAAATATTATAGGCTAAACATTCTAAAAGAAAATAACATTTAACATCAAGAGAAAGGTTAGGAAAACAGGATTAACCAATCCAAGGAGAGCAACATGGACAAGGAGAGTGTCCTCGGCTGATCAGGATGCATATCAACATTTTGCAAGGAAGAGTCTTTGATTTGAGCAGAACCTTTGGTGGCAGATGCTAGATGCTGATCATGAGTGACAGTAAGACAGTGTCTGTTAAGATGGCTATCTTGAGCTGTTGAAGTTCTACTCTTTTTATAGCCTCAGAGTCCTCTGGTGTTGACTGATAGTAAAGAGTGTGCCTGCAATAGCAAATACTTGGAACCAACTGAAATGTCCATCAGTGATAGACTGGATTAAGAAAATGTGGCACATATACACCATGGAATACTATGCAGCCATAAAAAAGGATGAGTTCATGTTCTTTGTAGGGACATGGATGAAGCTGGAAAACATCATTCTCAGCAAACTATTGCAAGGACAGAAAACCAAACACCACATGTTCTCACTCATAGGTGGGAATTGAACAATGAGAACACTTGGACACAGGAAGGGGAACATCACACACTGGGCCCTGTTGTAGGGTGGGGGAAAGTGGGGAGGGATAGCATTAGGAGATATACCTGATGTAAGACTAGTTAATGGGTGCAGCACCTCAACATGGCACATGTATGCATATGTAACAAATCTGCACGTTGTGCACATGTACCCTAGAACTTAAAGTATAATAATAATAATAATAATAATAATAATAATAATAAAAGAGTGTGCCTGGTTATGTCGTTATCTGGTTGGGTGCAGTCTCTATTGATTAGGTGAACATCTGGTCCCTTTTGGCATGATTCCTTTTGAAATGTAAACAGAATCTTTTTCTAAGAAGTAGTTACTTATGTCAAGGGTGCTCTATACAATCTGGAATAGAGATATCAACCTGGAAGCGATACCTCTCTTCACTTTAAGGAAGCTATGACAGAGGTCTCCAGGGATATGAATTATTAGGAAGAAAGAGTGAAATTCAAACATTTGCAGGTCTAGAGGGCTTAAAGCCAGCTTATGATGGTACCAGTTCAAGTTAAAACTGTATTCTCCCCTATTCCCTTCTTATTCTGTCCAGGCAGGAAGGACCATCCTATTTTTTCCCTCAGGCTTCCAGCCGGAAGTAGATTATAGGTAGAGCATAACTCATCACCACATAATACATTGGAAAAAGATGATGGTATTTTTTCTCAGAGTTGTTTCTTGACTACATCACAGTGGTGAAACATGCACTCACACCCCTGTGGACTCAGGTAAGCCATCCCAAGAGTTTCCTCCCTGTGGACTCAGGTAAGCCATCCCAAGAGTTTCCTCCTTCTTCTTCATTGTGGGCCTATGGCAGTGTGTTTTGTTTGCTGATGCATATACCTTTACATACAAAGCTATCATGGAAATTCACAGGCATGCATACATCTGAATAGAAAGGCTATAACATCATGTGATAAGTTCATGTCCAGCCAACCAGTTATCCCGGCTGGGCACCAGTGCCAGTAAATTAGAGTGATTTGGGCAGCTAGTCAACTTTTATTCAGAGTCAGCTGTCTCATGCGTCCGTGTGAAGAGACCACCAAACAGGCTTTGTGTGAGCAACATGGCTGTTTATTTCACATGGGTGCAGGCGGGCTGAGTCCGAAAAGAGAGTCGGCAAAGGGTGGTGGGATTATCATTGGTTCTTACAGTTTTTCGGATAGGAGGTGGAGTGAAGAGCAATGTTTTGGGGGTAGGGGGTAGATCTCACAAAGTACATTCTCAAGGGTGGGGAGAATTACAAAGAAACTTCTTAAGGGTGGGGGAGATTATAAAGAACATTGATCAGTTAGGGTGGGGCAGAAACAAATCACAATGGTGGAATGTCATCAGCTAAGCTATTTTCACTTCTGTGGATCTTCAGTTGCTTCAGGCCAGCTGGATGTATACGTGAAGGTCACTGGGGATATGATGGCTTAGCTTGGGCTCAGAGGCCTGACATCAGCCATTCTTGCAACCTGGTAAGGAGTTCTGCTAATCACACACATTCCACCTTGTACACGAGGGCCAAACTTCCTTTTGGTGAAGAAGTATAAACCTCTAAAATTGACTTGGATCTCCAGGTCCACCTAGCCCATTCTTTGTGGAGTTCCCTTGCTGTTCTAGTCTATCAACTTAGGCTGAGTCAAATATCTCAATAGGTTGCCCAGCTATGAGCCAACACCCTGCTCTGCAGCCCTCCCACATCTCAGCTTGCAGGGAAGCCAGCGAGGGCAGCGTGGTGATGTCACTGCGTCCGCACGCGCCCCGCCCCTGAGCAGTCCTTGCTGCCCCGCCCCCGCTCGGCTCGCCGCCAGGGGACGCTAGTGGGTCCAGTCTCCTTGGCAACCACTTGCTCCTCCCCCTCCGCCCCTTTAACCTTTAGGGTGCGCGGGTGCAGTATATCTCGCGCTCTCTCCCCTTTCCCCCTCCCCTTTCCCCACCCCGGGCGCTCAGGTTGGTCTGGACCGGAAGCGAAGATGGCGACTTCTGGCGCGGCCTCGGCGGAGCTGGTGATCGGCTGGTGCATATTCGGCCTCTTACTACTGGTAGGGGAGGCGCTTGGAGTTTTCCCCATGTTTGGACTGGGGGAGGAAGGGAGGGGCAGGCCCTGCAGTTGGCCTCTCCGGGCCCCGGAGACCCTCTTCGCCCCGCCCCGCTTTTAGCTTGGACTGTGGAGGGCTCCTTAGTGTTGGGGGCTTGGGCGGGCGGCGGGGGCAGGGGGGTGTCGATTTCCGGTCTCTTTTGCTGTCATTTCACCGATGACGTCTAGGGTTGCAGGGTCCTTTTTGGAAGCTCTTGCCGTCATCGCTGACTTGGGCAATGGGGCCGGTGGGGTTTGGGGGCGGAAGAGACCCTCGGGGTTGAGAAGTATGTGGTGGCCTTTCGTCCCCTGTAAAACATTGTCACACGGTGTGGGGCGGCAGCGCTGGATCTTTGCAAGTTAAGTAGGCGCTGGCGTTGTTTACTTGTCACCTTCTCTGTATGTTTTTTCCCTCATTTTCCCTACCCTTGGGGCTAGTGAGTCTCCAACCTCTGTGCCCATTGTGTGATTCTGCCTTGATGACGTGAGTTGCTCGTTCTGACTTCCAGGTGTCACATTCTCTTCTAATCTTTTTTTGATTGGTGTAGATACCTGTGGAGGGCGGAGCTGTAGCCCTCTTTATTACCAGTATCGGAGTATATACTACTACCTGTCTGACCTCAGGTGCTTTCTTTTCCAACGATCTTATTTCTGCATATTCAGTGAGCAAAGTGTAGATAGAAATGTCTCAGAGTGGCCTGGCTATTACTTCCCTGTTCATATTAAAACCCTTTGGTTTATTTGGGAGTTCAATTTATTTCCTTTCATAACTTCTCTACCTTCTCAAATCTTCTCTTTTCTCATCGTCCGAGGCTGTAGTTACTTTCTGTTCTCACGTATTTTGACCTTTTTGCATTGCAAAACAAAAACCTCCAGTTCTGGAAATCAGGCTTGTTTGGTTTTACTTTAATTGTCAGATCCAGTTGGTGTCTGGTACCTATGTAGTATGTTCTAGTAGATTTTTGCAGTAGAGACTAAAAAAAGAAAATAAAAGAAAAGAATGGTGTGAAAATTTAAGAAAAGGATCCTCTTGTTACTGCCATCACTGTCACAGATAAAAACACTGCCTTTACCCTGGAACATGTTAGTCCTCTCTTGGAGGAAATGAAACCCTAAAGGTTGACTGTGGTCTCTGCAGCCACCCAGTCCTGTATTTGGAGAGCCCCCTGGCTTTTCCAGTCCATCAGATTTAGTTTGTTTAGAAAAAAATAAATAAGCATGTAATGTATGAAAGTTACGTGAGACTATCTTGGCAGTTATAAATTAATAAACATTTACGGTACAGAAGTGGTGTGAATTGTAAGAGGATGTAAACCAAACAAAATACGGCTTTAAAGAGGGCCTGAAGATAAGTGAGAAAACTGAAATTCTTGAAACATGTATTTTATGGACCGAAAGCCAAAGTGTGACTATAAATAAAGCAGGACTTAAGAGAATAGACAACAATATTGGAAGAAAATGAGAATTGTGGTAGAGTTTGGATAGATGAAGAAGAGAGGCCATTTAAGTTGGCAATATTACAGCAAGGACAAATAAAATCAGAATTGAATGTTGTCGTGGATAAAAGCATTAGGAAGAAGGACTTTTGTTTAAATTTCTGCAAATCTCTTTAAATCCTGGTTTATTAGAAGAAAGGCTGGTTTCTTTTGTTGCCTTCTACATTCAGTCTTTTGGGGTATGTTATTTTAGTCGAAGTGTATGGAGAAAATACAGCTGCAATGATAGGTAGTCAGAAACAGAGGAGCGTTTTTCAGATAATTGTGGATGTTTTTTGACACTACACCAAAGCTCAACAAGTGGAAGATTCATGTCAGCTGCAAGGTGGAATCTGAAACCCTATCAATGAGCATTTCATTCATTGTTACATTAAAATCCATTAGCCCATCTTGCACTTTGAAAGGCTCTTTTACCCATGCATGGTTTTATAACATGATGCCATGGCCACTTAGAAAATGTTGGTTTACTGAGTTATGCACATCTTTTAAATATGGATACGTTTCATTACACAATATCAAAATATCACATTTCATTAAATTACAACTGATCTTGTCAGAAATGTCTCTGAAAATTCTAAGTATTGAAGAGTTGTCAAGCTCATACTTGTGGATGTAAGTCTTTCAAAATCCAATTTTCATTTGAAAGTTTGACTCATAATTATCATTGGTATCAAATACTGTCAGTTTTTCTTTAAGTGATAGATTCCCTTTGTTCATTTGACAAAATCTGCCAAAAAGCGAAGTCTGAATAACCAGTTTGACAATTGTTCTTTCAAGTAAAAATGGTGTTCCTTGAAGAGTGGTTGGTTTAGCTTTTAACTCTAAACTTTTCCTGGAGATAGCCATCACATCTTGGTATGCAGCAGGACTTTATGTACGCATGCTTCATATTTTACCCCACAAAGTATTAAAAAGAGTCAAGGGTTGAATTTCAATAAAATGAATTTATGCTGCTTTGTGAAGCACAGTCTTAATTTAAATTGTCCCTTTTTGAACTTGTGGTGAAGAATACAATGATTACTGGTGCAGTTTGGTGCCACTGTCTTGATTCACGCTAATGCACCAGTAGTTTTACCCACTGTGGCTATGAACCATGAGTGCAAATGTCAGCACAGTGAAAAAGGCAAATAGCATCTTAGTATTTATTATGAGAATAGTTTTCAACTTCTGAATCTCCAGAAAGGATTCTGGGGACTACCAGGGCCTAGGGATTTCACACTTGGAGAACTTCTGCCAATCATCTACTAAATATTCAGGACATGGGCCAGGTGTGGTGGCTCACACCTGTAATCCCAGCACTTTGGGAGGCTGAGGCAGGTGGATCAGTTGAGCTCAGGAGTTGAGACCAGCCTGGGCAGCATGGCAAAGCCCCATTCCTACTAAAAATACAAAAAATTAGCCGGGCGAGGTGGCAAATGCCTGAGGTTCCAGCTACTCAGAAGGCTGAGGTGGGAGGATTGCTTGAGCCCAGGAGGTGGTTTGTGGAGGCAGTTGCAGCAAGCTCTGATAGTGCCTGGGCAACAGAGGGAAACTTCGTCTCAAAAAAAAAAAAAAAAAAAAAAAGATTCAGGACATGAATGTTGCCTACTTTTGTGATCGTGGGCAAAAAGAATGGACTTCAGTTTCTTCACACATAAGGAATTGTTAGATTTGGTATCTCATGCCTGTAATCTAACTATGTCTGTCTTTACTATATCAAATCTAAACTGTTCTATCTAGCTTCAATGTCCTCTGTAATTTGGCTCACACCACCTTTAAATTGTATTTGCCATTACAATAGGAGACTCTCCATTTTTGTAAAGCAAATTTATTCTTGTTCCTTAAAGTGTGGGCATCATCTGGGAACTTGTTAGAAATACCAAATATGTGACCCCAGTCCTACTGAATCAGATCTGCAGTTTAACAAGATCCCATACAGTATGTCATCTATTCTCATTAGTTTAATGAAGATTCATCTCTTCTCATTCCTTCTTCTGCCCCAGTGGTTTGCAAACTTGACCTTTCATCAGAACCACCTGGGGAGTTTTAAAAATCTCAGTGTTCAGACCAATTTATTTTGAATCTTTTGGGAGAAGCTGGGGGGACTATTTGAAACTTTTCTTTATAATTGTTAACAGAGTTATATATTTGTTTCTTTTATCAAATTATCTAATAACTACTACTGTTTGTTAAGCAGTTACTATGGCCAGCCACTATGGTAAACCCTTTATATCTCATTTAATCCTTATAACTTGTTATGAAAGAAGTATTCCTATAGACGAGGATACTTGGTTTTATTTTATATTGTAGTAATGATTGATAACATGAACAAAAAGCTCTTTAAGGTTATCAGTTTTAAAACCATTATAAAGGGATTCTGAGACCAAAAAGTTTGGGAATCTCTGGCTTAACTCTTCTGCCTGGTTGCCGTTTCCTAGCTTGTCTGCCTGATATTGGCAAAATCCTTTGTTTGCAGTAATACCTACAAAATGCAGGTTTTCTTTCATTCTTGAAATCCAATAAAAAATTTATTGGAACACTTTGTGTCAAGTACTGCTGAGGATATAAAGATGAGACTCAGCTTTCAAAGACTTCAGAATGAATTTGGGGAATGTTAAAAATATTTATGAATTCCTTTAAAAACAAGCTCATTCAAATATTAATACAAAGTCACATTTTATGAAAAATAAATTTCCCAAAATCAAGAATTTGAGCCTAGATCCTTTTTGTTTGTTTGTTCCAAAGTCTTAACTCCCTTCTCAGTCAATTCTTTCCTGCTATTCTGTCACCAGTTGAAAGGCCAGCAGTATGAAGCAATGACATGCAGCAACTTGGATGGGTTTTAAATGCACTGTGCCAAATGACACTAGCCAGACTGAAAAGACAACATACTATATGAAGGCATTATGATATTCTAGAAAAGGCAGAAACTATAGGGGCAGAAAACAGATAGTGGTTGTCAGGGTGATACTGGTGGGCTGAGGGAGATCCCCAAACACTGGTGGGATCTCAACCCCAGCTGGTTTTCAGGCTCTTGACACTGTCATGAGAAGACATTAAAGGGCAAGTCAGAAAATAGTGTAAGTGTGGAGATTTATTAAAGGGAAAAGTACACACTCGTGTGGGCATTCTTAAGAGAGAGACACACGGTGAGGTTTGGAGTTTCTACCTTTATGGGTTTCTTTATCCAAGGGACATATTCATGAAAATTCCTGGAAAAAAGTAGAGACTTCTTGAAATTGTGGTGCCACCCATTTTTACATCAAATATGAGTGGTCTTGGAACTGCCATGGTGCTGGTAGGTGTGTGATTGAGCATGTTAATGAGCATATAATGAGGTCCTAGGTGAAACCTAGGTCAAATCCATTGCCATGTTGGGTCCAGTGGGTCTTAACCAGCTTGGTCCACACCCTGGTTTTTCAGGGTCTTATTAGCCCTTAGCCTCTAGTCATGGAAAACTGCTCTCTGGAATTTTTTAGCCCTTGTGAACATCATGCATTATTCCTGTCTCAAGGGCTGGGGGCAGAGAGAGGAGTTAACTACAAAGGGACAAAGGAATTTTCTGAGATGATGGAATTGTTCTTGTATCTTGCTTGCGGTAGAAGGATTTGGAAGCTGCAAAACTAGTTTGGTGGTTTTATTAGTTTCATTTGGGCCCTGGAATTGTAGGATGCTCAGAAAGAAAGTAACCGCTGTTGAAAAAGTGAAAGGTCAAAACAAGGCTTTTAAAACTACCAGAGCTCTTATTTAGAACAATGGTTCTCAAGTTTGGCTCAGATTGAAATCCTCAGGCATTTAAAGTACTGATGCCTGGAGGAGCCTTATTCTCCGTTGATAGAATTGATTGGGGAATGTAGGGAAGTTATAAGGGTACTTAAAAGTTACCCAGGTGATTCTGACTCACAGTGAAGGCTGAAATAACACAGTCTCTGTCTGCAACTCCCTATGAGTAGAGTAGAAGTTCTCAAAATACAGCCCTGGACCAGCAGTAGCCTCACCTGGGGAAGCTGTTACAAATGCAGATTTTCTGGCTCCACTCCAGACTTCTTGAATCTGAAACTCAGAGGATGGGGCCTAGCAATCTGTGCTTTAACAGTTCCTCCAAGTGATTCCGATGCCTCCTAACGTTAGAGAATCATTAAAGTCCTATGCTCTGTGTTAGTCACTAGAATGGCATTGGTAACTATTAAGAGTACTTGGCTGACTAGAGATGTCAACCTCTACCTCTGAGTGAACTTTTTTCACTGGAAAGCTCCTTGCTGTGCACATGTATCCATTTTCAGCATTGACTTTTCTTTGTTTAATGCTCTTTAAAATTTAAATTATAGTATAATGTGATAATTGCATGGTGATTACTGGCAGTTAATCTTTAGCTCAATGCTATTCTTGAACTGTCAGAACAGGACAGAAGTTAATTTTCATCCAAGTTATATTTTGTAATGCTTCAGTAATAAGCCTAGAATAGAACAGCTTCTACTCATATCTCTTTTAGGTTGGAAAAATCTACAGGGAAAAAAATATTCAAAGCTAGTTATAACTGTGATGTGTGAAACCATTAACGTTTGCACTGTGTTTAATGAGGAAATATGTAGCTGAGCACTGTTATTAATAGTATTGTGTGTGTATGCATACGTGATGTACTGCATTCATGAAGTAGGCTTTGAAAATTATACATCTTGGACAAGTTTTTAAGGGATAGTGGGCTTTCCTTACACAACTAAAATAACCTTTACTTCACATAAGGTTTCCTGCTAGAAACTTTCAAACACATACAAAAATCAGAGAAAATACACTGGGTAGTAACAAACATCTCTTTTTGTTCTATTTCAGGCTATTTTGGCATTCTGCTGGATATATGTTCGTAAATACCAAAGTCGGCGGGAAAGTGAAGTTGTCTCCACCATAACAGCAATTTTTTCTCTAGCAATTGCACTTATCACATCAGCACTTCTACCAGTGGATATATTTTTGGTTTCTTACATGAAAAATCAAAATGGTACATTTAAGGTAAATATAATCTTACTTTGCAGATTTTTTTTCCTTTCAAATTTCTGGCACACTTGGCAGTCCGATACATATTGTGTTTTATTTTTGTATCTGGGAATGAATGAGAATGGAAATACAACATAGAAGCTGAGAATGTGACATCTAACCTGATAGACCAGAAGCAGACTTACAACTGACATAAGAACTATTAATTCAGCCGCCCTGCAAATGCTTTAAGTAATCATAATAGGTTATATATTTTTTGCTGCTCATAACTCCCTTGAAGCTTATTTGATTTGCATTAATGCAATAAGTAAATAATTGAGAAGGGCTTTTGTTAGTGGCAGATCAGGATCCTAATCTCCGTTTCATATTGAGTACTTTGAGTCAGTATGGTGTAGTGAATTAGGCTGGGAATTATAAGATCTGAGTTCTAGTCTTGACCCTTAACTGTCTAGCTGTGGACCTTTAGCCAAACCACTTAACTTTTCTGGACTTGAGGTTCCTCATTTTAAAAATGAAGGGTGTGGACTAAAGGTTTCTGAGTTTCCTTTAAATTATGCAAATTACTTTTAAGTTTCTTACTAGCTTAAGCTTCTGTGACTCAGGAACTGTCTCTGTTGTTGTAGCCCCAGTATTTAGCTTTAGTACTTAAATATTTGAATGAAATAGTTTTTCATTTATCTTAATAATACATGATTACAAAATAACTTCCTGAATTGGGCTAAATTAGGTAAATAATTTTATTTTATTTTTTATTTTATTTTATATATATATTTTTTATTTTGTTGAGATAGAGGCTCACTCTGTTGCCCAGGCTGGAGTACAGTGGCATGATCTTGGTTCACTGTAACCTCCGCCTCCTGGGTTCAAGCGATTCTCGTCCCTCAGCCTCCCAAGTAGCTAGGAATACAGACATGCAGCCACCATGCCTGGCTAGTTCTTTTTGTATTTTTAGTAGAGATGGGGTTTTGCCATGTTGGCCAGGCTGGTCTTAAACTTCTGGCCTCGAGTGATCCACGTGCCCAGCCTCCCAAAGTGCTGGGATTGCAGGCATGAGCCACGATCCCTGGTCCAAATGGGGTAAATAATTTGAAAATATTTTTGTAGTTAGGTTTAAATTTATTCTGATTACTATGAAAATTAGATATACTCTGATTGCTGTGAAAACCACATTTTTTTTCTGTACACCATTTAGCAAGTTTTAATTGAGCACTTAGTGTGTGCCAAACATTGTAATGTTATAAAGATAGTAAATAACATCTATTAAATATTTGCTATGTGTCAGACTCTATTTTAAGTGATTTACATTTAGTAACTTCCTTTGGTCTCTTAAACAATCCTGTGAGATAAGTAGTAGTATCTGTGTTTTTGTGGCTGAAAAATCAAGGTTCAAAGAGGTGAAATAACATAGCCTGTAAGTGCTGAAGCTGGGATTTGAAGCTCTGCAGTTTGGTTCCAGAGAGCTTTGTTCATGAGGTTTCTTGGGAAGATGGCTTCTAAACAAGTAAGAGATATTTTCAGGTAGCCTAGTAAATAGGATACCTACTAGTGATTCTACATTTTTTCAAAATATAAACTTAATTCACATTTTATATTTTGGGTTGAAACATTATTTCTAGAGAAAATGACTAATTTTACTGGTGTCATTGGGTTTTCTCTGCTTTTTATTATTGGGCAAGAATAAATACACTTTTAATACTGTTAGACATAGATAATTAAATGGTTGATTGTAACATTATGAGGTCATTTTCTCTGATAAATAAGTGTCATTTTAGAATTAAATTCTATAAAAATGTTTAATTTCTTTTGGCTCTGTATATCGCTTTGTTTCTTGGATAAGAGATTTTGACATTTTCAGAATTTCTGGATATTCTTTTTATTTTAAAACAGTGTAGTATACTTCCAAATGTACAGTACATAATTATAAATTTCTAGGATATTTTTCTTTCTGAAAGCTGTTAAGTTTAAATAGATAATGATATATATGTATATGTGTGTATTCTGATGTATAGAGGTCATATAATTATCCCTGGTATAATTATTGTTTGAATCGGAGATTTTTTTAGTTTAGAATTGAGCATGTTTGATTTATTTAGATTTTGTGGGAAAACATTTCATCTTTATACATATGTAACAAACCTGCACATTGTGCACATGTACCCTAGAACTTAAAATATAATAAAAAAATTTCTAAAGTATTTTCATGAAATTATGAACTTTCTATTAGATTAAGTATTGTTTTGAGCACATGCTTAAATTAGTGCTCGCTTCCTAGGAAATAGGTTTGTTTTGTTTCTTTGTTTTCGATATTTAAATCTATGAGATTGCATTATACTTGTTTGAACAAGATTTTAAGAATCCACTAAAGAAGCAAAAATATTAACTATAAAAATTGAGGGTGCTTGTTTTAATACATGTGCCCTTAAAAGAAAAAAAATATGGCTGTAGTTAACACACTATATTTGTTAAATCTAAATGTTACACTAATATTTAGAAGGGGAAAATATCTGTTAAAACTTTTCCCTCTACTTTTTTAAAACTTTGTTTCATTATTAGGATATTAGTTATTCATCAGTTGTTGGTTCTTGTTTTTTTCTACTTTTCTTTTTTTGAGACGGAGTTTCACTGCAACCTCCGCCTCCTGGGTTCAAGCGATTCTTCTGCCAGAGCTTCCTGAGTATCTGGGATTACAGATGCACACCGCCATGCCCAGCCAATTTTTTGTATTTTTAGTAGAGATGGGGTTTCACCATGTTGGCCAGGCTGGTCTTGAACTCCTGATCTCAGGTGATCCACCCGTCTTGGCCTCCCAAAGTGCTGGGATTACAGCCATGAGCCCCTGTGACTGGCCTTTCCTACTTTTCATTATTAAGTTGTCTCTAGTTCTGTTTGCTTTTAACTTAGATAATGTATCAGATTTTTCTTGGTAGTTTTTTTGATACCTTGAAACATTCTGTGTGTCTGTATTTTCCCTTCTCATTTTGGGCGGCTCGGTGAGGATTAGTGAAATTCATGAGTTTTTATTTGAAACTGGACTATTTGCTGACTCTCAAAAGTAGTACTGAAAAAATTTTTGAAAACATTTTCCTGATAAACTCTAGACAGTAGTTTTTCCTAAAGTTATTACTGAATTCAGGTGCCTAGTGAAAGATAAGTTTAAGTATTTAAGAATTAATTCTTCAAACTTCATGCCACGATTGTAAATGTAGTCAGAGTAAAAAGGATGCCAACGTGGTTTTGGTCTATTCCAACCTTGTTTGTAAAGATGAATGTACAAGTTGACATTGTTTTCCATGATGAATGCTAATGTATAATAATATTTACAGTGTGCATTTGAAATTCCTAAATGAATATATACATTCTCTAACTTTCTCTACTTCCACCTCAAATATTTTGAAGCCTCTCTCTAATTATGGACTTGTCTTCTAAGGTATAATTATTTGGAAACTCTACATATTAATGATTGCTAACATTTTTCTTAAAAACAGAAGGTGCCCAGGCTTTTCTGTGAGCAGGCAGTCATTGCTAGTTTCTTTATTTTTGTTTTAGTTACCCTTCTAGCTTTCTCTGCCTTCTTATGGCAGGGGTATATTATAATGCCTGAGTTGTTTCTGTTGACCTTTCTTTCAGCATATGGCATTATTAATAATTTTAGCTAGATAATTTGTTTCTAGCTTCTTTTCTAAAGTAATTAACTTTTTAGATAACAGAAGAGAACCTTTTAGAGTACAGCTGGAAGTGCTGTCTTTAACAGTCTTTGATAGTTGGCCAGTAACATTGGATGGGGATATACATGAAATATACTGATCCAATAGTAAAAAAAAAAAGAAATCGACACTAATATGAATAAATATTCTTTCTTTTACACAACATGTAAAAATAAAAAAATTAGTTAATATTAAGGTATGTCATGAAAACATTTAATGTTTTGGTGTTTGTTCATATCTTACTCCTGTTCCCTAATTATGAATATCTTTATGGACTGTTATTAGATGTCTGGGCTAAACTCTACTGCTCCCTCATTCCTATTTTCAAATGGTGGGAACTGTATCTTAGAACTTTGTGCTCTTTATTGAACCTTAAATATGTTTATTTACTTAATATTTACTAAATATATAGTATGTGCCTGACAATTGTAGGTACTGGAGATTAATCATTAAGGCAAATGAGGTTGCTTTTCTCATGGAGCTTAGTCTGCAAGGCCAGATCAATAATCAACAAATAAGATAAGGTAACTTTATAGTGATAAATTCTATGAGGAAATAGATTGATATGAGAGTCTAGTCAGGTTATGAGTGTTTTGGAGAGGGGGATAGGAAGGCAAAACTGCTGAGGTTTCTTGCCATGATACCTGGATGAGGAGCCAATCTAGTAAAGAGCCAGAGGGAGAGAGCCTTTAGGGAGAAGCAGCAGCAAATATAGAGGCCTTTAGGCCAGGATGAACTTGGCTTATTTGGCTGACATGTATTGTTGAGGGTTTTGCTTTGGTAAAAGCTGAGATCCAGAATAAGGCAGGAGCCAGACTGTTCATGACTTTTAAGTCATATTAATAAGTTTAGATTTTCTCCTAACTGCAATATGAAGTTAATGAAGGTAAAAGATAAAGGTGACTTGGGCTAGAGTGGTGCTAGTAGAGAAAAATGATTAAAATTGGCATGTATTTTAGAGGTAGAGCTGCTGGGATCTGCTGATAGATTAGATATAGGGGGACAGGTGAAAGAAAAAGAAAATTGGAGCACTGATGCCTAGGTTTTTGTATACCTTAGAGAAATAGGGAAACTTAGAGGAATAAGAGGGCATGTGCATGGGCAAGTGAGGGGGTGTAGAGAAAAGAGTTATAGTTCGGACAGGCTACCTTTAAAGTGTGTACTGTACTATCTATCCAGGTGGAGGTGTTAAGTAGGGAGTTGAAGCTCTGTGAAGAGCTTAGGGCTGGAGAGAAGTATTTGGGAAGCAACATATGGATGATATCTACAGTTATGGACTGACTAGCAGCTGGGAAGACTGAGTAGTCAGAGAAGCCTTGACACTGGACCGAGGACTGGAGTTCTCTATCGTGTAGAAGGTCAGCTGAAGGGGAGAATCTGCAACCTGAGAGATAAGAAAAACAGAAGAGGGAGGCTTTATGGAAATCAGAATAATGTGTTTCAGGAAGAAAGAATGATAGCTTTTTTCAGTGGTGTTGAGAGGTGAAGTGAATGGGGTAGAGAAGTGACTGGTGGCTTTGGTCAGTGGTGACCATGAAGAATAATTTCAGCAGAACAGTAGGGTGGTTAGGTTGAGTGGGTTAGATATGGACAGAGAAGTAAGGAAGAAGTGATAAGGAATGCTGACAACTTTTCAGGAAGTTTTTGTTCTCTACGAAAGTGAGAAGTGGGTTAATGGAGGTGTTTTTATTTGTGGTGTTTGTGTATCTCTTTGTGTTTAATAGTTACTAGAATTTGTATACTTTAGAATTCAGTACAGTGAGAGAAATTTTTGAGGGGAGAGAAGGTATTGCAGGTGCAGTTTCCTCCAGAAGGGTGAGTGAAAGTGAAAGGGTTGGGTGTAATAGGAGTGTGGGTATTTCAGAGGAAAGAAGGTCTAGAATTTGGATACAAATGGAGATATGTTTTAGATTTAATAGTAAGTTGAGTGAGCTCCTGTCTTGGGGCTGCAAATTATTTTAGAGACCTCTAAGTCAGTATTTCTCAATCATGGACATTTTGCCTTGGATAATTCTTTGTTATGGGGGCCTGCCCTGTGAATTGTAGGTGTTTAGTGGCGTCCTTGACCTCTTACCTCCTAGATTCCTGTAGTATACTGACTCTGTCCACCATGTCTCCGGACATTGTCAAATGCCCCATGGGGATCAAAATGGCTCCTGAATGAGAACCACCATTTTTATGGTGAAGTTATCAGGTAAAAGTGAGGAGAATCATTTTGGAGTTTTGGGTTATGCAGCAGGTTTCAAAAGTCAACTTGAAAAATGGGGAATGGAATTTACATATGCGACCAATTACATTCTTGTTCTGTGGAATTCATATCCTTGTCTTCTGAAATATTCTTCTTTAATATTCTTTATTTAGTTCTTGATTGTCTCACATTCTTTTGTGTCCTAAATGACTCTGAAGTTTCTTTTAGTTTCTACTTCGAGAGGCAATAGTTTATAAAACATATCAAGGTCATAGTGGTTCCCAAAATTAGAAGGAAAGTTTTACAAACTAAGCTCTCTTGACAATACATCAAGTATCTTGGAGGCAAGAGAGTATGTAAAAGCCAAATACACTAACAGTACTTGAGTGATGTTGTATATCTTACACATATTTGTAGCTTTAAAATAGTAACAGCAATACTCCTGTTGCCACAAGAACTGGTTAGGCAAAAGATCCTTATAGAGTAAAAGATGCTAAATTTCAATGATTCTTTTGCTTCAAGTTAACCTTCAGACTTTTTATTTTTAATATTTTTTTTTGAGATTGGGATTTTGTCTGATTTTAAACTAATTTTTAAGTGATTCTCAGTGGAGACATTACTACCTCCTGGGGCTGTCTTGGAAATTGGTGGGAAGTTTGTATAACATATAAGAAGTAAAAAAAAGATAGTTGTTATTATTCTCTGGCCCATTGATACATTGTTCTTAATTTGCTCATCTTCAAAATCCTTTTAGTCCAGGTATGGTGGCTCACACCTGTAAACCTAGAGGCTGAGGCAGGCAGATCACTTGAGTCCAGGAGTTCAAGACCAGCCTGGGCAACGTGGTGAAACCCAGTCTCTACAAAAAATACAAAAATTAGCTGGGCATGGTGGCATGCACCTGTGGTCCCAGCTACTTGGAAGCCTGAAGGTGGGAGGATCACCTGAGCCTGGGAAGGTCTAGGTTGCAGTGAGCCATGATCATGCCACTGCACTGCAGCCTGGGTGACAGAGTGAGACACTGTCTCAAAAACAGAACAAAACCCACAAAAATACTTTTAAATTTCTGTTTTGATACAGAAGTAATCACTAAAGAAGCACAGCTCTTAGGAGTTGAAGCTTTGATTATGTACATATTCATTTGGATACTTGAATCATTGATGAAAAAATTTTCAGTCATTGCACAGAATTCTCCCCAGTGCTTTCCCATTCTGTGTGGTAAGCGCTACTTACATTTTCTTTTCATTTTTTCTATAATATGTTTGGGTATTTCTTTCATTACATTTTTTAGACAAAGATTACATGTGTTAAAACTTTTGGTTGTGATTTGTTCTGTTTCCTCCTACTCAAAAGTACTTCATAGATATTTATCTATGCTAGTTTATATAGGTCTCATTGTTTTTAATGTCAACATGTTATTCTATGTTATGCATGTACAGTAGTAAATTTTACTATTTCTATTCTGGCATTTAGATTGTCTCCAGTTTCATTTTTCTTTTAAAAAATATTTTAAACGACCCTACACCGAATATTGTTGGGTAAAGGACTCTTGGCCCAAAACCAATAAATGTTAATTAGTACAGGGTCTAATTTACCCTGACAAGGGTCAGCAAGTGCTCAGGTTCTTTTGTAACTACATTAGGCAAAGAGAGAAACTCTCCCACAGTGCAGGTGCTTTAGTAGAGGCATATAACCTCCTAGTCTTTTCTCTCTCTCTCTCTTTTTTTTTTTGTTTCTTGAGACAGAGTCTTGCTCTGTTGCTCAGGCTAGAGTGTAGTGGCATGATCTTGGCTCGCTGCAACCTCTGCCTCCCAAGTTAAAGCAATTCTCATTCCTCATCCTTCCAAGAAGCTGGGATTATAGGTGTGTACTACAATGCCTGGCCTCAAACTCCTGACCTCAAGCAATCCACCTGCCTCAGCCTTCTAGAGTGCTGGGATTACAGATGTAAGCCACCGCACCTGGCCTCTTAAGAATGGTCTTGCAGGTAGAATAAACACCTTGGACTTGGGTGCCAAAGAATATGAGCTGAGTAGGTACAAGTAGTTCACTGAATGCTAGGACAATTGCTGAACACCTGGAGACTTTGGGTCTCTTAGTCCAATGAGTGATGGAATTTGGTACAGCTCCTGCTGTGTGGGAAAGGAAGGGCCCATTTGGGCTAGCTTATCGCTTTGTAAGAGCTCCTGAGGTAATTTGTTGGACAAGTAGTATTGTCCAATGAATAAACTATCTATGTACTAATATCCATCCTAATTTGTGTGAATATTTTTAGGATCGATTCAATAAAGAATGTCTACATGGTAGACTATCTTACTGTGTAGCAGATGGCTTTCCCTCCACATTTTGGCATTACTGGATGTTATTGTTTTAAATTTTGCCAATAGGTAGGTGAAAGGTTATATAATAGTGGATTTTCACGTTTTATTAGTAAAGGATAGTAATTGGGAAATTCCTTCTTGTTGGTCTTTTTCAAATTTATTTCTGGCCCTAGCTTGTTTTGTCAGATGATTTTTAGAATCAATATGTTAATATACTCTACCTCCTAGCACAATGGGATTTTGATTGGTGATATATATTAATTTTAAGATTAATTTGGATGGCAGTTGGTATTTACAATCTTTAAATGTGGGAACAGATGACTTTCCATTTATTAAATTTGTTATATCCTGTGATTTATTTTTTATATGGTTAACATAAATGTTTCTATTTGGCCTATTAAGGGTTTGTTACTATTCCTTATTACTATTGGGAACATATTGTTTTTATTGTGCTTTGGATATCAAGGTTTTGCCTTTGTAGAAGTAAGTTTGGATTTTCTACTTTTTTTATATTTTAGGCATTTATCAGCAAATTTATAGCTACTCATTGCTAGAGGTGTTTATGGGCAAAAAAAAGAGAAAAGAAAAATCCTTAATTATCTTAAGAGAATTAAATATTGATGCCCTTTTTTAAGAGCACTCATAGAATGTTGACACTGACTTGAGCTCTTTAAGTGTTTATAAAACACTGACCTGGATTCTAAATTTTGCTTTATACTTAATAGCAGTGATAAGTCCTTTAGATTCTCCACGTTTAATTTTTCACATGCACAGAATTTAGAGTATAGGCCAAAAAGGCTTGACATTGTACCTTAGTTCTGACAGAATAGGGTATAGATTTTTTTTCTATTGGAAAAGATTAATTTGAATTATATTTTCTAAGCTTAGTAATTCGAACAACCCTTGTGTGGGATGAATGCAAAGGAGATTAGACTGATTTTTCCTGTAGGTTTTTAAAAAAATGTATAATATGCTCAAATATGTTCTTTCTGAAGTACTAATCAGGTTTGTTGCTCTCTGCATAAAATTCATCACTATTTTCCATTGCCCTTAGGACAAAGTCCAAAGTACTCAGCATGACTCACAAGCCCCTGACATATGTGTCCTTCTCTTCCCTCTCTCCACCTGGTTTCTCTTACCTTTCCAAAAGCTCAATTTAATCTATATTTAGCTTCTTGAAGCTTTTTTCAAACGTTCTGTGTATGTTCTTTACTCCCTCTTTCCTTCCTACTATTTTCTGTTTCCCTGAGATCATTCTCCCTCCTTTCAGGTCTCAGTTTAGTCATTTTTGAGAAGCCATTCCTCATCTTCAGTCTGAGTTAGGTGCCTTTTGTCTGTGTTTTCCCAGAACTGTGTTGTCTTATCTCAGCATTTACATACTGAAATTTGTCTATTGTCTGTCTCTCACTTATTGAAGACATAGATTGTTTTTATGTGGGTGGATAGATTTTGGAAGTGATATTCAGTCGTATTAAAACTTGACTTTTAATTGTTAGGCAAATGGGTGTTTCATTAATATTTCTATTGTTTCCTTTTATCCTAGGACTGGGCTAATGCTAATGTCAGCAGACAGATTGAGGACACTGTATTATACGGTTACTATAGTAAGTATCTTTCAGTTTCTTTCCCTATTTGGACTGCTAACCAAAATACTGATACGACTCCGATGAGTGGAGAACCCCAGGTTCTTCCTCTTGGGTCGAATTAGAAAAAAATGACATGGACACACATGGAGTAGTTTTAAGGAGCAGGGAGTTTAGTAGGCAAGAAAGAAGGGGGAAGAAAGAAATAAGCTCCCCTGTACAGAGACAGAGGGAGGGGAGCTCCAAAACCAAGAGAGGGAACCCCACCTGCCACGGATACCAGTCAGGTATATGAAGAGGCTGAAGGTGCCAGTGTTTGATTTGCATAGGGCTCAGGATTGGTTTGACCAGGCATGTCATCCACATAGCCTGTTAAAAAAAAAAAAAAAAAAAAAAAGGACCCTCCCACCTAGCCTTTTAATATGCCAATACAGGGTGCCATGATCTTCTACACAGGTGGGGATATGTGGGGACGGCCATGTCGCCAGGAACATGTGGGGCAAGGGCAAGAAGAAGAGTGCTGGTATTGCCAGGTTTGGGTGGACCCAGTTTCTAATGGCTTGCATTTGCATATCAAAGGTTGCCTAAACTTTTCTGGAGATGCTTTAAAAGATGAAAACTTCCTAAGGACCGTTTTCCTCTCTATCTGCCTACAATAATTTCTTAATAACTCCTACAATATAAAGCTACATATAAACTTTTAATTTTGAAACCACATATGAGATTTCTGTTTTCTACAACAGGAATAAATAATATGTATTCATTTTCAAAATCCTGAAACTTCTTGAACCTACTTTGCTTCATTTAGATTCACTTTGTAACACTTCTTTGTAGCAGTTCAGTCAAGTTACTTTAAATCTCACCTCTCCTTTTATCATTACCAATTTCCCACTCCTGTTTTTTTGATTTTAAATTTCAATTTTCTAAAAATTTTTTCTAAGTATTGCCATTAGTAGACTGCAGTCTCTGGGGAATTTGTACTATCAACTTTACTCTCCACAGAGTCATTTTAATCCCAGACTTATGGTTGCTTGGCTCCTCCTCCTTCCCTCCCTCAAACATCATTCTCAGTATTAGATTATAAAAGCTTTATAATAATACAAAAGCTAAATGTTTCCAGAATTTTCTCTTTGAATAAACATGAAACTTGTGTTTTATAAAAAAAAGTGTAATTGTTGAGTTAGGAGAAGGATGTCATTTTTTTCAGCAATAAAGATTCTGAGTAAGATTTCAGTAGGACATTAAATGGGAAACTGAAAAAAATCTACAAAAGTTTCTATGGATGGGATATGTTTTCGAGTTCCATTGAATTGTTTTTTTTTTTTTTTTGAGACTGAGTCTCGCCCTGTTGCCCAGGCTGGAGTGCAGTGGCACAGTCTCGGCTCACTGCAGCCTCCGCCTCATGGGTTCAAGCGATTCTCCTGCCTCAGCCTCCCGAGTAGCTGGGATTACAGGCACACACCATCACGCCCAGCTAATTTTTGTATTTTTAGCAGAGACAGGGTTTCACCATGTTGGCCAGGCTGGTCTTTAACTCCTGACCTAGTGATCCGCCCATCCTGGCCTTCCGAAGTGCTGGGATTACAGGCGTGAGGCACCGTGCCCTGCCCCATTGAATTTTAATTCAGCTGCTTTGCTCCTTTGCCTTTATCCTAATCTAAAATCTGTAGGCCCCATGAAATTTTATTTCTTTCGGGTAGATTTTAGTATTTATGAAATTTCAAAATATAATTTATTATTTCTGATGAATATATTAAATATAATAAAATACAATTTTGACCTATTAAAAGTTTTGAAATGGAGCTATATTAAGTAGAATGTTGCCTTTTTAGTATAAATAGAATATAAATACTTCTACACAAAGTTTTAGGGGGGGAGGTCTGTCACCTGTATGACACTAAAGTGTAGTGATTCTGTAGAACATATGTTGAGATAAGCCAGTTTATACGTTAGTGAAGTCAAGGTCTGTGAACTGTATCTTATCGTTGAACCTAGAGGCCATTGGACTAATCCTTTGTAATTAAGTTCGCAAAAGACTTGTAAACTGGAATGTTAATTCATGCAGGCTTTTTCAGTTTGTTCCATGGAGAGAATTAAGCCCACAGAAAAGAATTTTGTAAGTATTTTTCTTAGTCCTCCCAAAGATGGTGTGTCCTCAATCCACTCAAGGATAATGTGCCCTTAGTATCATTTTAAATGCCTGTGTGATAAGTTAATCATTACAAACAGTAGATGTCTTGGGACTTAAGGCTTGATTTCCTATAGAACTTAATTTATAGTGAGAAATATAATTGCTTTGAATAGGATAGTTGAGACAGTGATCTAGGAAAAAAATTTGTTTAAAAAGCCAGATTATGAATTGAAAAATTTGTTTTATGACCATGGAATCAAAACAAGAAAATTTAATTGGATAATATGAATGGTTAGTGGTATAATATTAGTCATCTCCATCTCAGCTATGGCTAATAGGCCTTTGGCTCTGACCCAGAGGTGACCTACAGCTAGGACCCTGAAAGGATTCCGTAGCTTCGAAGGTAGTTACTATCCTGAAGCTCAGCTGTTTCTTTTCAAATGCTAGATACTATCTAACTGCCCTAATAGGAAACATCTAATTTGTCTTCTCCTGGATTTTGAGGACTATACAGAGTTCAAACAGAAAACACAGTTTTTATCCATCTCTTCTGTCAGAGGCTAAGTTTGTCTAATCCTTCCTATCCCTCTTAATATATCAACATATTTTCATGATCTAACCTTGCTAGGCACTGTGTAAGACTTTTACATTCAAAATCTTATCTAGTTTTCATGAATGCCCTCTCTCCCCCTTTTTTTTTTTGTATTTTCTACCTTTCACAGATGAAGATATTGATGTGGAGAGATGTTGAAGATCAGTTTGTCAGTAAATGGCATAGCCCAAAGTAGTTCTTATTTCCTCAGCTGTAGCTTCTTACTGTTAAGTGAGCTGCCTTTTGATAAATAGTACTGGGGATGTTACTTATAAGAAGGATTAGCAGCACTGAACTCCCAAGAGCAGCTTCAGAAATCATCTGGGGCCTCTTTTTTTTTTTTTTTTGCAACAGAGTCTTGCTCTGTTGCGCAGGCTGAAGTGCAGTCTCGGCTCACTGCAACCTCCACCTCCTGGGTTCAAGCAGTTCTCCTGCCTCACCCTCCCTAGTAGCTGGGATTATAGGCACATGTCATCACGCCCGGATAATTTTTTGTATTTTTAGTAGAGACAAAGTTTCACCATGTTGGCCAGGCTGGTCTCAAACTCCTGACCTCAGGTGATCCTCCCGCCTCAGCCTCCCAAAGTGCTGGGATTACAGATGGGAGCCACTCATTGTGCCCGGACCCCTTTTTTAATTTTTTTGAGATGGAGCCTCCCTTTGTTGTCCAGGCTAGAGTGCAGTGGCACAATTTTGGCTCACTGCAACCTTCGCCTCCCAGGTTCAAGTGATTCTCTTGCCTCGGCCTCCCGAGTAGCTGCGATTACAAGCGTTCGCCACCATGCTCAGTTAATTTTTGTATTTTTTAGTAGAGATGGGGTTTTGCCATGTTGGTCATACTAGTCTCGAACTCCTGACCTCAAGCGATCTGCCCGTCTCAAAGTGCTGGGATTACAGACGTGAGCCACTGCACCTGCCCACTGGGGACATTTTAAATAATACAGAATGGTAGATTGTATCCCGAGAGATTCTAATTTACTTTGTTGTGTTAGGCAGCCTGTGAATCTATTACTAAAAAGCTAATGGTACTGATTCTGATTTTAGCACAGCCAAGTTTAGAAACCAGTGGCCTAAGTCAGTGGCTTTTCTAAAGATGTCTCGTGCATGTGCAATGAGATAAAGGTTTGAGGGATAAGGCGGCTAAGCATTGACTCCATGGGACCTACTTATGCTTTAATTGTCTTTTATGTTCGGGTTCCATGTGTGTTTTCAAAAGAAGAGCTTTCTGTTAACAAATCATGTGATAATCTCTTTTCTAGAATATTAAGATTAATGTTTAGATGCCTAATTCATGATAACTTTGAGTAAACTGTATACATATTTTCCTTCATAGAGTTACTAATGCAGGGTTTTTTCTGTATGTGTCAAGTTTTCTTAGGTACCAGTTTAGGTGCTAGTTTAGATGCTAGTTTTCCATAGAGGAGAAACTGATCAAAAAGGTTTAAACTCTTAAAACTCCTAAAGAAGTTTTAGTCATCTTCCTCAATGAAATTGTTTAGGAGTGTTAACTACTTTTAAACTACTGATTCAAATTTATAGTCTCACTGCTTTTTCATACTCCATGACATTGAAATCTATTGGCCCATTTGCACTTTGAATGGATCTTTTGTCCATTTGTCAAATGCCAAATAAGACAGTTGACATTATGCCTTATTCATTTGGAAAATATTTGTTCAGTGAATAATATAGGTCTTCTGAATGTTGACACATATCATTATACATTGAAAAAACCACATTTGTTAATATTGCCATTATTCTTATCAGAAAAGTATATATTGAGATGCTGTAAAACTCAAAGATAGATTCAAGTTTTCCAACATTCTAATTTTCTCTTGAAAGCTTCAGTTTTATCATTGGTGACAAATACTGTCACTTATTTCCTTTGGAGTGATAGTCTCACTGTTCATTTTTGAGAAAGCCTGTCTAATAATCAAGTCTGGATAACCATTGCTTATCTGTCAGTTGTTCTTTCAAGTAAAAATGATGTTCTTTGAAAAAAAAGTGGCTACTGTAGCTCACAACTCAAAGAGCGCAGACAAAATTGAGATGTTGTGAGACACAAGTACAGCATGGTTTATGTGTATTTCCTGTCACACAGAATATTAAAAGGATATATATGCAAATGTGGACACTAGAATTTTTACTGCTTCAAAAGGGACTTTTGTGAATAAAAGGCTCAAATCTCCCTCCTCCCTGAAGAATACAATGACTTCTAGTGTAATTTGAGTCTACTATCTTGATTCCTGTAAAGGGGCAGCAGTTTTATCCACTGTTGTTTTTGCACCATTAGTTTAACTGTAAACATAGTGGAAAGGCACATAATATCTTAGTATCATTATGCAAACAGTTTTGATGTTGTGAATACCCTGAGAGGATCTCTGCAAATCCTAGGGTCTGGAAACCACATTTTTAAGGATCTTCTGTTATATTAATGGAATTTGGGGTGTTTTGTTCTGAGAAGCTGGCAGAAATCAGGCTGCCTGCTGCTTCTCCTTGTGAGCACTCCCCAGCTGTTGATTAGTTATTAATAATCCTCATTAACTGAAGCTACTTACAAAGCAGATTCAGTTTTCTGGAGCTTGTTGAAGTATGAGAGGGTAAAGTTGTTCATTTTCATCCTATTCCCTGCACACCTAAGGACTCTGATCAGGTGACTCCCTCATCTGGGAAGGTTATGCCCGCCCCAGAAACTTTAAGGATTTGTACCTTTTATTTCTTTTGAATGTTTTATTTAGTTCTTCATCTTTTCCTTCCTTCCCTCCCTCCCTCCCTCCCTCCCTCCCTCCCTCCCTCCCTCCCTCCCTTCCTTCCTTCCTTCCTTCCTTCCTTCCTTCCTTCCTTCCATCTCACTGTATTTTGGGCAGGAGTGCGGTGGCGTGATCATAGCTCATTGTAAACTTGAACTCCTTGGGCTCAAGCAGTACTCCCACCTTGGCCTCTCAAAGGGTTGGGATTACAGGCATAAGCCACCACACTCAGCCTACTCTTTTCTTTTATAAAACTGCCCTCGTGTGAGTTTTGAGTTCTGAGTTTTGTTTAATTTTGTATTTAGACCTGCTATGCAGGCTTAGCAGTGACTTCTGAGTTCTGTTTAATTTCATATTTAAGCCTGCTTTGCAGTCCTTTTATCCCTTATGTTGTCTGTGTTTTAGCCTTTTATCTAATTTGTTTTTATTTCAAATTTATTTTTATCTTTATATTTGGCCTCTCCCTATTTCTACAACCCCTGCATGCATGCAAAAGTAAGAAGTGAGAAAAAACATTAAGTAAAAGGAAATTCATGTAAAAGAAATTAATGAAAGGCGGGGGTAAATGAATTAAAACTATCCCAAACCCTAAGCAGGAATTATTTGAGGCTATTTTTGTTCAGTTCTTCTGTAACTGGCCTATCAATTCCTCATGTTATTAGCCTGTTCTCCCACTGCTGATAAAGACATACCCAAGACTGGGTAATTTATAAAGAAAAAGAGGTTTAATGGGCTCACAGTTCCACATGGCTGGGGAGGCTTCATAATCATGGTGGAAGGCGAGGAGGAGCAAAGTCACATCTAACATGGTGGCAGGCAAGAGCATGTGCAGGGGAACTCCCCTTTATGTAAAACCATCAGATCTCGTGAGACTTAATCACTGTCATGAGAACAGCATGGGAAATACCCGTCCCCATGATTCCATTACTTTCCACTGGGTCCCTCCCATGACACATGGGGATTATTACAATTCAAGATGAGATTTAAGTGGGGACGCAGAGCCAAACCATATCATCCACATAGACTTTCTTCTCTTGACACTAGTTTTCAGGCTATCATCTTGTGTGTAGATGTAAATTGAATCATATAGTTCATAATGTTTTGTGTTTGGCTTCTTCAGTGTGTAACATTATATTTGAAACATCTATATTGATGCAGGCAACAGTACTCTGTTGATTCTTATTACTATATTAACATACCGTAGTTTATCCATGCTAGTGTTGATGAAAAATGGGGTTGTTGACAATATTTGGTCTTTTCAAATGCAGCTGTTAAGAAGATATTATATATGTACATTTAAAAGATTTTTACTGCATTGTTTTCCATTGTATGGATGTTCATAGAAAAATCCCAGTTTATTAGGTGTTTAATAAAATTTTTTTTTGCTGTTAAAACAATTTTGTAGTAAAAATAGGAGTGAGTCAAAGTATACACATATTTAGATGAATTAAGTTATGGAACTAAGGGAGAATAAGATGGACCGGGAAGCTTTTCAGTTCCAGTTTCTATGCCATACTTTTAGAGCACCTAAGAGAGTTTTTTGGAAGTTTCTCTTCATTCCCTATTGATTAGGTGCTGATAATTTGTATCTGGAAACTTTTTTATGTATTTTGAACTTAGGTTTATCTTAGTGTGTTTTGTGCTGTTAAAGTAGAATACTCAAAACTTGGTAATTTGTAAGGAACAGAAATTTATTGGCTCATAGTTCTGGAGGCTGGGAAGTTCAAGATGAAGGAACTGGCATTTGGTAAGGGCCTTCCTGCTGTCATCCCATGGCAGAAGGGCAATGGAGGCACACACATCCTTTTATAATGAACCCACTCAGATGATAGTGACATTAATCCACACATGAGCAGTCACCCTTGCTACCCAAATACCTCCCATTAGGCCCTACCTCCCAAAACTACCATATTGGGTAGTGATCATGAACTTTGAGGGACACATTCAAATCATAGTAGGGTTTACAACTCCTAGAATCTAACTTGAGAAGAGTACATGAGACCTTTGAAGTTGACTTCTTTGTGATTTCTCCACCTGTGAAATGGTGATAAAGTAGTACCTACTTCGTAAGGTTAGGAGTGTGAGACATGTGATTAGTGCTAAATAGGTGTTATTTACTGCTGTTTATTCAAATCAGATAAGAGAACAAGAGAAATTTTCTCTGTTAGTGCAATGATATAGGAAAGTTAATATTGAAAGAACTGACTAGTATCTCATCAAATTTCAATTTTCTTGACACTATTGTTTTGAAAACATCTCTAATAATATATTTCAGTGCTTTTCCAGACAAGATAGAAAGACTGAGACTAATTTTTAGATTTGTTTGATTCAAAATCCTTTTTACAAAATCTTGTTTGATAAGATACAGTTCTGTCCTGTCTCCTGCCCCTTTTCCCCCTTTTTAAAAGAAAGTATTCTTAATTAAAGGGGATGTTTTCTAAGTGGTTTCTGTTAAGTTTGCTCAAGAGATTATCTAGATAATCTCTAGAGACCTAGTAGCGTAAGAATTTGTTTCCAGTTGGAAATACTAAGAAAGCAAGTGATCTCTTGGACTTATAACTAGTGTGACTTGTACTTTTTGTCTCTAAATGAACTGATGATTTGTCACATTAATATCATAAACCTTCCTTCACACTCCAGATTTTGGAGATTGAGACATATGTTCTTGTTTTTTCTTCTTATGTTCTTGGTTGTGCCTTTTGAGTTTCCTTTGTTGGTTCGTTCTCTTTCTTCTGACCTTTTAAAATATTTGTATGTCCCACGGGTTAATCCTTGAACCTGTTCTGTTTCAGTTAATCCTTTGGTGATTTTATACCATTGCTTCCTTCTAAATATCACCTATATGCCCAATTCCCAGTTTCGAATCTTTGTGCAGACCTCTCTGGAACTTCACAATCCTATGTCCAACCGTTACAGAACTCTACCAAAAAATCAAAGACATCTCAAATTTAACATTTCTAAAGCAACTGACCTTTAATCTGTCATACAGTAGGTTTTTTTTCTTGTGGATAGCAACAAGAAGGATAGAGTTTCTCAGGCTGAAAACCTTAGAGTCATCCTTGAATCTTTACTTTTTCACATTTTGAGTCAAATATGGCAGAAAATTCCCTTGTGCTTGATTTTCAAAATTTATCTAGAATCTGACCACTTCTCACTACCTTTTTTTTTTCTAGCTATAATCCTGTCTAAGACACCATTGTCTCTTTTGGGGTTATCACAGAAGTCTGTCTTTTCCACCCTTGTTTTACTGACAATATAGCAGTCAGAGTGATTCTTTAAAAATATGATACGTCTTTTCCTTATCTGCTCAAAACCCTGAAGTAGCTTCCCATGTAATTCAGAGGAAATGACGAAGTCATTACTGAAGCCTGCAGGGCCTTATGTGATCTGACATTCTTCCCCACCCCACAAACTTCTTTGTTCTCATCTACTATTTTGCTGTGCTAGGCAAACTCTCATGATGGCCCACAGTGCTGTCCACCTCCTAATATTCATGCCCTTATGTAATTCCCTCCTTTTGAGTGTGTGCTGGACCTAGAGATTTGCGTCTGCCAAAGAGAATGTGGCTAAAATGATGCTGATGGGATGTCACTTCTGAGATTAGGTAGAAGACAGTGACTTTGTCTTGCTCATACTCCTTGGCTTTTTCTCTTGCTTGCTCATATTAACCAAGCTGCCAGTTTGTGTACTGCCTTATGGAGAGGCCCACATAGCAAGGAACTGATAGCGGCCTCCAGCCAACAGCTAGTGAGGAACTGAATCCTGCCAAAAACGCAGTGAGTGAACCTGGAAGCAGGTTCTTCCCCAGTCAAGCCTTGGGATAACTGCTGCATTGGCTAACATCTTGATTGCAGCCTTGGGAGAAATTCTGAGCTTGGGGACCCAGCTAAACTGTGCTCATATTCTTGACTCATAGAATCTGTCAGTAAATGTTTTTTTAAACCACTAAGTTTTGAGTAGCCTCTTACATGGTAGTAGATAACTAGTACATCTCTCCATCACTGTTATATTAATGTTGTTATTAATGTTCCTTGAACATTTCAGTTTCACTCCTACCTTAGACCCTTTGCTTTATGTTCCCTTTGCTTAGAATGCTTTTCTTCCAGTTATTTACTTGACTAATTTAACTCCTTTAGCCTTTAAATCTTTGCTTACATGTTACCTGTGAATGAGGCCTACCTTCAATCTCTGGCTCATTTTATCCTAGTCTATTTTTTTTCTTTACAGCCTTTAATTACATTCTGATGCATTATATAGTTTTAGTTATGTTTATTGTTTGTATCCTCCTGCTAGAATTTATACTGTGCTAGGGCAGGAATCTTTATCTCTTTTGGTCCTTGATGTGTTTTAAGCACAAAGAACAGATATTGGCACATAGTAGGTACTCAAATATTTGTGAAATTCATGAATTTTTTATTTTCTATGTAATTTAGGGAAACTCACTTGAATTTCTTACTTTGTTAATGAGAGAGAATAATGTGTACTTCCGTGTTGTTAAGATTGAGTGAGTGGGGTGGGATTTCAGCCATGGCCAAGTTTGAAAATTGGCAGATTCTCTCACCAGAAAACAAATATGAAGTTGGACAAAACTGAACAGAAAACAACAGCTTCAGTTCTTTAGCAATCAATGAAAGACATACAACAGTCTGAGAAGTGTTTATACTTAAAAACTGCTAAGGGACAGTGGTAGTTTCTTGTATTTTAGCCTAGGGCTGTTATGTTTCCCTACCCCCAACTTCCAGCTTGGTTATTGCAGAAGATCTGCCAGGGCAGGGTGGGTCCAGGGAGGACCTACAGCTGTACTGCTGTATCAGAAGGGGACTCACTCAGTTGGGTGGTGCTCACTTCTAGTGCTATTGTTTATGGAAGTGACAATCTTGGAGTCAGGTGAGCGGAGAGGACCCAGGATTCTACTAGCATGGGATTGTGGTCATAATTGGGACAAGCATATGTCTGGCTGAAGCTGCATACATGTGTATTGGAGACTGGAGAGGGCCCAACCTAGTCATGTACTCCTGGCTGCCCTAGAGGCTCTACACGTGTGTAGGAGACCAGAAAGGAAAAGCCAGGGGCAATTGGCCTGAACTTTTAATACACTCTCCTACCAATATGCAGGTTCATTGGCAAGGAAGGGCTGGAAGTCTTATTGGCTTGAGTTGTTTGAGCAAAGTTTATTTCTGGTTATTGTCTGATTATTAAGCTATATAGACACAGGAGCAATCCCTAGGAAGCCAGGCTTAAAAACAGTAATTTAAATAAATATATATTTTTTTGAGCTGGGATAAAAATTAAAAAAAAAAAACACTAAAAAAATCGTTAAAAAAAATAGACACATCAGCAGTTGCACACTTGTGGAAAACAGATTTTATAGACTTAACCCTGCCAAATAAGTGAACAAAGGAATTAAAGAGGCAACCTTCAGGAGCAAAAAGCGTAATACAGAGTTGCTACAACATATTGTCTAACATGTCCAGTTTCAATAAAATTATAAAATATGCAAAGAAATAGGAAAACATGAACAATGCTAAGGAAAACAGCATATAGTGGAAACAGTATTTCTAGATGTTAGATTTAGCAGACAAAGACTTCAAAGCAGCTATTGTAAATCAGTTTAAAGCAGCAAAGTAAGCTAAGAATGAAAATAAAGTGTGACAAATAGAGATGTTCAAAAAGGAGATAGAAATGATTTTAAAAATAACAAAATGAAAATTCTGAGATTGAAGAATATAGTAACTGATGTGAAAAATTTACTAGAGGGTCTTACCAGAGGTTTGACATGACAGAAGAAAGAAGCAGTGAATTTCAAAGGTAGATGATCTAATCTGAAGATCAGAGAGGAAAGATTAAAGAGAAATCAGTAGAGCCACAGAGATCTGTGGGTCAGCATCAAGTTTACCTATGTATGTGTGATGGGAATCTCAGAATGAAAAGAGAAAGAAGAGGGCAGGAAAAAAAGTTTGAAGAAATTATGGCCAAAAAGCAATCTACCCATCTAAGAAGCTCAGTGAAGCCCAAGTAGGAAAAGCAGAGATACAGACCTGGACAAATCATTGTTAAATTATTAAAAGCCAAAGCCAAAGACAAAAATTTAAAAGCAGCCAAAAAATTACATAACAGCATCTTTATGATTAGTGACTAACTTCTAATGTGAAATAGTGGACACCAGAGGGCACTAAAATGAAAAGAAAAAAAAAATAAAGATTTCTGTGTCCTCTAAAATCCACTAAAAATGAAGGTGGAATAGGACATTCCAAGATAAAACCTGAGAAAATTCATTGCAAGAATCCCTTTCTTACAAGAATGCTAAAGGAAGTCTTTAAGGATAAAAGGAAATGACACTAGGCAGTAAACCAAATTCATAGGAAGAAAGAAATCAGAAATTATAATGGTTAATGTTTAATATAAAGGCACTATATTTTTTCTCCTTTTCTTATCTTTGTAAAAGATTTAAGATTGTATAAAGTAATAATTATAACACTGTAAATGTTGGGTTTAGGGTTTATAATATATAGACATAAAATATATGATGGGAATGGCACAAAGAAAAAGAAGTATTAGAGCTATTTTGGAGCAAGTTTTTAAAAAATATATATTTTGCCTGTATTGTGTGAATATTAATTGAAGGTAAATTGTGATAAATTAAGGTATGTAGTATAATTCCTATAGCAACCACTAAGAAAATGACTCAAAAATATACTTATTTTATGTATCTATAAATATCTATAAAATAAGTCAGGAATTGGTAATGTAGAAACTAACTTTTAATACAAAATAAGGTAGTAAAGGAGAAGCCTGGAACAACAAAAAAGACATAATAAAGTATAAAATGGCAAATGTAATTACAGCCATATCAATAATTGTTATATTATGTGTAAGTAGTCTAAATACCCCCAATCAAATGAGATTGTCATAGTGGATCAACAAATGAAGATTCGTCAACGTGTTGTCTATAAGAGAAACACCTTAGATTCAGGGACACAAATAGTATATGGTTAAAGAAAAGGTTAGTAAAAGATGTCATGCAAATAGTAATTCTGACAGCTGAAATGACTATATTAATATCAAATAAAATAGACTTTAAGACAACGGACATTTCATAATGATAAAATGGTTAATCATTAAAATGACAGAAAAATTATAATTCTGTATGCACCTATTAACAGAGCTTTAAAATACACAAATTCAAAATGGGCAGAATTGATAGGCAAAATAGATAATTCACCAATATTAGTTGCAAATTTGAGTAACCAACTCTTTACTGGTTAGGAAATAATTGTTTTCTGATAGAACAGTTAGAAAATCAGTGAAGGTTGAGAAGATGTAAACAACAATACTGATGAACTTAAAAATGTAGAAAATTGTATCCCAATGGATGCAGAACACAATTGACTTAAAGCACATGGAGAACATTCTTCAGTATAGACTATATGATAGGTTATAAAATAATTATCAGTAAATTTAAAAGGATTAAAAATCATACAAAGTGCATTTTCCAATCATAATGTAATTAAATTAGAAACCAGCAATGGAAAAAAATCTTGGCAATCCACAAGTATTTGGCATTTAAACCACATACTTCTAAATAACCCATGGATCAAGATGAAATCACAAGGTAGATTGGAGAATATTTTGAACAGAATGAAAATAAAAATGTAACATATCAAAATTTACGGGATATAGCTCAAGCAGAGCTCAGAGGATAATTTGCAGCTTTAAATCCCTCTTTTAAAAAAGAATTCTCAACTACCTAAACTTCTACCTTAGGAAAACAGAAAAAGAAGAGCAAACTGAACTTTAAACAAGCAGAAGAAAAATAAAGGTTAGAGCAGACATCAATGAAATAGAAAACAGAAAAACAATAAAGAAAATTCAAACCAAAGTAGGTTCTTTGAAAAAAAAGAAATCAGCAAATCTTTAGCCAGACTTAGGGCATTGGGAAAGAGGGAGAGAGAGAAAAAGGATATAAATTATCAAAATAAGGAATGAAAGAAGTGGCATTACCAACTTTGCAGAAATTAAAAGAATTACAAAGGAATGTTGAGTAACTTTATACCAATAAATTAGATGAAGTGGATAAATTCCTAGACAATTTTCCAATTGAATCAATTACCATAACTGATTTAAGAAGAAATAGCACTGTAGCAAGCATAGAAGTTGAATTATTTATTTAAAATATTCCCACAAAGAGAACCCCATACCTAGATTTCTTCACACAAGAAATATGTGAAGAATTTCACATATTATGTATTTAAATAATTATACCAATTATATATTTAAATAAGAAATTATACCAATTTCTATTTATGTATTATAAATAGAAATTATACCAATCCTTTATCAACCTTTTTAGGAAATAGAGGATGAAGGAACACTTCCCAACTCACTTGAGGCCATTATTTCCTTCATACCAAAATCATATTAAGACATCACAAGAAAGGGAAACTGTGGACTAATATCCCTCATGAATGTAGACACAGAATTCTTAAAATTTTAGGAAACTGAATCCAGTGTCATATAAAAAGAATTACATAGTATGACAAAAGTGAATTCATCCCAGAAATGTAAGGTTGCTTTAATATCCAGAAATTACTTTACTTAACATACATGTTAGCATACATAGGACAGAAATGAATGATCATCTCAATAGATGCAAAAAAAATTCCAGTATCGATCATTGATTAAAAATTATCAGCAAAATAGTTACAGAGGAGAACTTCCCAAGCTGACAAAGGACATCTATGAAAAGCCTACAGCTACATTATACTTAGTGGTGAAAGACTGAATACTTTTCTTCTGAGATTAGGAGCAAGATAACTATGTCTGCTCTCAACACTGCTATTTAACATTGTACTAGTGATTCTAGCCAGTGTGATAAGTCTAAATAAATAAATAAATAATTAAATGAATAAATTTACTTAAATATTAATTTTTATTATTTAGTTATTTAAATATTTACTTAAGTAAATACATCCAAACTGGAAAAGAAGAATTATTACTGTCTTACTTTCACAGGTGATATAAGATTCTATAGGTAGAAAATTTCAGGGAACCTATATATGGACAAATACAACCAGTGAGTAATGTTAGCAGAATCACAAGTATAAGATTGATATGAAAACTAGAAACAGACAATTCAGATGAACTGAGAAAAGCAATTCCAATCAGAAACCATCAAAAAGGGTGAAAAAAGTACTTCACATTTAACAAAAAAGCATAAGATTTCTACACTGAAAACTACAGAAAAATTGCTGATAGAAACTAAAGAAGATTTAAATAAACAATTCCATATTATGGGGTTGAAAACACAATGCTGTAAAGATGCAATTATGTCAGTTTTCTCTCAAACTGACCTATAAGTTGAATGCAGCCTCTATTAAAGTCACACAGACTTTTAAAAATATTTTTGAAAAACTGACAAGCCAATCCTAAAATTTACGTGGAAGTCAACAGGATTTACAGTAGCCAAAAAACATTTTGGAAAAGAAAAATGACATCAGAGAATTACATCCTCAGATCTCAAAACATAATATAAAACTCAGTAAACAAGACTATATAGTATTGCAGATGGTCAGACATATAGAGCAATGGAATAAAATTCAGAGTCCAAAAATAAACCTTTATATTCATGGTCAATTGATTTTCAACAGC
The DNA here is from genome assembly GCF_000001405.40 of Homo sapiens. Lineage (NCBI taxonomy): Eukaryota > Metazoa > Chordata > Mammalia > Primates > Hominidae > Homo > Homo sapiens. Next base: position 69,765,396 of record NC_000006.12, on the reverse strand, counting down.
TGTGCCAATTCAGTTTAATTCCATTCAATTAAAAAAATTTTTGCTGGGAAAGTTGGACTATTATATGCAAAAAATGATTTTTTTTGAGCCTTACCTTACACCATACTCAAAAATCAATCATAGACCTAAGCTGTAAAAGTATAATACTTTTAGAAGAAATTAAGGGAGGGGGGCACAATGGCTCACTCCTGTAATCCCAGCACTTGGGGAGGCCCTGGCTGGCAGATCACTTGAGGTCAGGAGTTCAAGACCAGCCTGGCCAACATGGTGAAACCCTGTCTCTACTAAAAATACAAAAATTAGCTGGGCGTGGTGGCAGGCTCCTGTAATCTCAGCTATGTGGGGAGGCTGAGGCAGGAGAATCTCTTGAACCCAGGAGGCAGAGGTTGCAGTAAGCCAAGATCTCACCACTGCACTCCAGCCTGGGTCACACAGCAAGACTCCATCTCAAATTAAAAAAAAAAAAAAGAAAAGAAATTAAGGAATACAATCTTGGTGACCTTAAGTTAGAAAAAGAGTTCTTAGATATGGCACCAAAAGCATGATTCATAGGAGAAACCTTAATAAGTTATACTTCATCAATATTAAATCTTTGTCTTTCAAAAGACACAATTAAAACAAAAATAATTATAAACCACAGACAAGCCAAACATATTTGTAAATCATGTATAAATCATAAAGGGCTTATATTCAAAATGTATCTTACCAATCATTAATAAAACCATTCAATTAAAAAATAAGCAAAAATTTGAACAGGCATTTAATCAGGGAAGATTTATGAATGGCTTAAAAACCCATAGAAAGATCTTCAACATCATTAATGATTAGGGAAATGTAAATTACGTTTTCAATGAGATATACCAGCACATCAACTAGAATGCTGTCTTATTAGTTAAGGCTGCTATAACAAAATATAGAGTGGGAGTCTTAACGAACATGTATTTCTCATAGTTCTGGAGCCAGCAGATTTGGTTTGTAATGAAGGCCTTCTTCCATGCTTATAGATAGCTAGCTGCCTTCTCGCAGTGTCCTCACATGGCATAGAGAGAGAGAGAGAGAGAGAGTGAGGTAACGATCTAGCGCATGTACTCTGGTCTCTTTCTCTTCTTATAAGGACACTAATGCCATCACAGGGGCCCTAACATCATGCCCTCATCTGAACCTAATTACCTCCCAAAGGCCTCATCTCCAAGTACTATCACATTGGCGTTAGGGCTTCAACATATGAATTCTGGGGGGACAAACTTACTGCATAACATTCCACTCCTGGCAGCCCAGAATCCATGTCCATTTCCTATGCAAAATACGTTTATTCCATCCTAACAGCCCCAAGAGTGTTAAGTTTGTTGCAGCATCAACTCTAAAGTACAAAGTCTCGTCTAAATATTTTCTAAATCAGATATGTGTGTGACCACAAGTAAAATTTATCCTGAGTCATAATTCTTCTCTGACTGTGAACCTCTAAAACCAGATAAGTTATTTGCTTTTAAAATATAATGGCAGTACAGGTATAGGATAGACATTCTAAGGGAAAATTCAGAAGGAAAAAAGCGTTTCAATAAAGTAAAAAACCTAGCAATGCAGATACTATTAGAATTATAAGATAGCTCAAAAACAGTCTTCTTTGGTTTGACCCTATGCCTTCAGGACCCACTGTGGTGATGGTCCTGCCTCTACCATTCTGCGGGGCAGTGTTAAACCTCAAGGCTCTGATGGGTAGGAGTTGTACCCACAAGGCTTCAAGGCAGCTATTCTCTGACATGTTGAAACCTAGACAATCCCCTCCCACCCCCTTTGAAATGAGGATGCAGCCTTGATCTCTTAATCACCTTTGGGGACATTCTTTTTATGTCTTGTAGAGTAGTACATTTTCATAGCCAAACAAGTTTGTGATCTGGTCCTGTAGGATCCAAGAAGCCTATCAACCTTCCTTCATTTCATCCCATCTTCCTCCCCTTCAGTTCAAACTGGCAGTGTTTCTGCTGGGATGGCTGATTAGGTTCTTCTTGGTTCATATCTTCACTAATCTAATTATCAAATACACCCTTAGTGTTCTCTTCAAAACAAGCTTTTCCATTTTTTTTTGCAATGTGGATAGGCTGAGAATTTTCCAGATCTTCAAGTTCTGGCTCATTTTGCTTAACAATTCCTTTTTTTTTTTTCTTTTTTCTTTTTATTCTAAGCAGTCAGGAGGAATCAAGCCACTTCTTCAACACTTTGCTTAGGAATCTCCTTAGCTAAATATTCAGTTTCATCACTGGCAAACTTTGCCTTCCACAAAACACTAGAACACAGTTCCCAAGTTCTTTGCTATTTTATAACATTACTTAAAAAAAAAATTGTCCAGTGGCATGTTCCAAAGCGACCTCCATATTTTTAGATATGTGTTAGGACAGCAGCCCACTTCTCAGTACCAAAATCTGTCTTATAGTCAGTTTGGGCTTCTCTAACAAAATACCACATACTGGGTGACCTAATCAATAAACATTTATTTCTCACAATTCTGGAAGCTAGGAAGTCCAAGTTGAAGGTCTCAACAACTTCAGTCCTGGCGGAGACCCTTTTCCTTGCTTGTAGATGGCCACCTTCTTGCTGCGTCCTTGCATGGCAGAGACAGAGATTGAACTCTGGTCTCTCTTCCTCTTCTTCTAAGGACACCAGTCCCATGATGGGATCCTACCTTGTGGCTTCATTTAATCCTAATTACCCCCCAAAGACCCCACCTCCAAATACTATCACATTGGGAGTTAGGGTTTCAACACATGGATTTTACGGGGACACCAACATTCAGTCTGTAACAGGCTGTAATAAGAAACACAGACAATACCCAGGTGCTGCCATGTATATAGAGAAACTAGAATCTTTGAATGCTGCTATTGGGAATGTAATATGGTGTAGTTGTTTTGGAAAAACAGTTTGTAACTTCCTTTTTTTTTTTTTGTTTTTTGGTAGAGACAGGGTCTCTACTGTGTTGTCCAGGCTGGTCTTGAACTCCTGGCTTCAAGTTATCCTCTTGTCTCGGCCACACAAAGGGCTGTGATTACAGGCATGAGCCACCACACCCAGCCATTTGTAACTTCTTTAAAAAGTTAAATTTCCTATATGGTCCAGCAGTTCCACTCCTAGGAATTTACCCAACAGGAATGAATGCAATATCTAGGCAAAGATGTTCATAGTAGCAGTTTTTATAGTAGTCCCAAACTGGAAAGTATTCAAATGTCCAACAACTGGTGAATGTTTAAATAAAATGCAGTATGCGCATACAATGGACTATATTAATATATTCAGCAATCTGAGTTACAAGTTGGCAAATTATGGCATGGCTTGTGTAAACCTGGCTGTGTCTATTTGTTTATGTGTTGTCTATGACTGCTTTGCTACAGCAGCACAGATGAGTATTTGCAACAGAGATGTATAAACTGCAAACGTGAAAATATTTATTATGTGTTAACAGAGAAAAAATCCCAACCCCTGTGCTAAGTGAAGGAAGCCAGATGCAGAAGACTGTATCTTATATAATTCTATGCATATAAAATGACCAGAAAAGGCAAATCTCTAAAGACAGCAGATCAGTGGTTACCTCAAGCTAGGGGATTGGGGATTATTTGTGAACTGGCACAAAACAACTTTTTTTGGAGTAATGGAAATGTTCTAAAACTGGATTGTAGTGATGGCTATAGAACTTTATAAATTTACCAAACATTATTGAATTACACAGTTATAATTTGTGAATTTCAGGATATGTAAATTGTGTATCAAAGTTGTTGGGAAAAGTATCGAATCAGCTAATGTAAGTGAAGATTATAATACAGTTCTGTGTATATTATGGAGAGTCAGTAAAGGATAGTTGCTATTAATATAACTTAAAATCTTAGAGGATTTGCACTTTTATTATTTGATTTTCTAGAGTTGTAATCTTATCCCTAATTCATAGATTAAAAAAATGAGGTTAAAAAGTTATGAAGGACTAAGGCTTATACATTGGAATGTGATTCTTTGTTGCTATACAATTGTGAATTATAGCATGAATTATTTAGCCTTTTGTCTGACCATTTTATTTAACAATTTTTTTTTTGTTAAAAAAATGGCATTGCAGTGTAAACCTTGGAATAAATACCATTGAGAAGGGGAAATAACCAAAAATATCCATGGGGAAAACAACTGTTCTTCAGAATACAAAGTCTAAGTTCAACCCTGTAAATGATTTTTATTCTCAAGTTGTATATTCTTAGAACTTACACAGCACATCTGACTCACTTTGCTATACTGTCAGCAGTTGTACTAGTTATCTACTGTCATGTAACAAATTACCTCAACATTTAGCAGTTTAAAACAGCAAACCTTATTTCACAGTTTCTTTGGGTGAGGAATCCAGATGCACCTTAGTTGGGTGTGCTCGGTCAGGTTCTCTTGTTGGGCTACAAGGAAGATGTCTGGTGGGACTGTAGTCATTCCAAGATTCCGCAAGGGAGAGAGTTGACATGTAAGCTCTCTCACATGGGTTGAGACAGGCCTCGGGTTTTATCTCTCTCTTGGCCTGTAACATCAGTTCTTTGTTACGTGGACTTTTCTATAGGGCAGCTCACAACATGGCAGCCAGGGCGTCTCAGAGTGAGAGAAGGATACAGCAATAAGATGGAAGCCAGTCTTTTTGTCACGTAATCTCAGAAATGACATCCCAATATTTTTGTTCATATTCTGTTCCTTAGCAGTAAGTCACTAGTGCCAGCCCACACTCAAGCTGAGATTACACAGGTCGTGAATACAGAAGCAGGGTTATCAGGAGCCACTTTAGAAGCTGCCTACCACAGCAGTCTTGCAAATATCAACATCTTTGATGTTTACTTGACATATGCTTTTATGCTTAGCAGACTATTTATTGATCATATTAAGTGTGAAGTTTGAGGTGGTCATTTTGAAGTCTCCTGTGTTTTTCCTGATGCCATTTCTTCTATTTCTCCCTTAGAAATACTCTAAATTTAGTTTGTGTTAATCCCTTGCTTTGCCTTTCAGTTTTATCATGTTATATTCTTACTTAGTTTTACATTTCTGAACTTTATATGAAATGGCTTGCTTGCTTTCATTCATCTTCATGTTCTAGACATTTATACAGATTATTGAAGAAAGTATAATTTCATTGTGTATGACTATGCCACATATTAATCAGTGTGGACATTTAGTTTTTTGATGTTAAAATTGTGCAATGAACATTCTTGCACATGTTTTCTGTTGTATATGTGCAGAGTACATACATAGGAGTCAAACGGATAGATCATAAGTTATATGCATCTTCAGTATGGTAGATAATGACAAGCTATTTTGCTAAGTGTTTGTACTAATGTAATTCTTATTAGAAGAACATAAGCCTTCTAGTTGCTCTATATTCTAAACTTTGATATTGTCATACATGTTTAGTTTTTGCTAGTCTGGTGAGTGTGAAATGAGAGTTCACTAGTCTATGTTTCACTTATTTGTAAATGAAATTGTATGTTTTTAAAAAATTTGTTGGCTTTTTCAGTTTTCTGCTTCAAGTAACTTTCAGTTGGGTTGTGTTCTTATTGATTTAAGAAATTTTTTAAAGATAATTTGAGTAGTACATACTACGATTTTAAATATTGTGTCTTTTCCTCACTAGAATTAAGTCTCATGAGAGGCTTCTGTGTTTTGATTTAGCTGTATACTGCTCCCTAGAATGATGGTTGAAACATACTCAGTAGGTATTTGTTAAATGAATACATTTAAAAGGGACCTTTTCTGTATCTATTAAGATACAGAAGTATCTATAAGATATCATATAAAGCTTTTTTGTTTGTTTTGGTTTATTCTTTCAAGTGGTATATCAGGTATTACATGGCTAGATTATACTTAAACTAATTTTGCATTCCTAGCATAAACCTAAATTGGCCATCTTGGTGGTTTTTTTTTGGTTTGTTTTTTAAATGTATTTTTGGATTTGATTTGCTGCTCTCTTAATTGGGATTCTTTTAAAGAATCAATTTGCAGGTGAGACTGGTCTGTAATTTTTCTTTGTCTTATTATTCTTGTCAGGTGTGAGTATTAAGACTGCTAGCCTTGTAAAATGAGTTGAAAAGTCTGTCTACATTTTAGAGAATGCCAGGGACCAGTGAGCACTTATGTTTCTCTTCCTCCTATAAAATATATACTTGTTACCAGTAACTAAGAAGTAGAAGTGAGCATAGAAGTTTACACTATTATTCCTAATTCAGTATTGAGTAGTTCATTTATTAGTAATTTTGAGTGGTTTGTTACTCACAAAACTTTTGCTTCTTACCTTGCTTACTGGTTTATAATTCTTACTAGACATCTGGGAGTACTTCCACTGTAGGATGAAATAATGGTTCCCTTCCATTAGAAGGTATGATTTCTACCAGGCCACTTTGATCTAATTCCAGTGAATAGTTACCATATCAGATGGAGTGATTGACCCTATTAGGGGAAGTAGGGTTGCTGCTACACAGTTAATGCAAGGAGAAGTATATCTTGAACCCATGGGATTTTCTGTGGCACCTCATGATATTATCATGTTCAGTGGCAAAAGTTAGTTGAGATCTATTATGCCTACCCTTCACAGACAAGATGACCAAGGGCTTGGAATAGCTCAGGAATAAATATTTGAATTTGCCCATTTCTAGTACCAAATTCTGTTTCAGGAATTGTGTGTGGCTGCTATTAGCAGTTCAGAAGTTCCTGGTTTAAATAGTCATATAGTGTTTCAGTCTCACTTAAAGTAAGTATGGAGATAGGCTATCCAGGGCTGGTATGGCAGTGCCATAACATCATGAGAGTACTAAGTTCATTCCTTCTCTACTCTCCATCCTTAGGACATGATTTCCATCTTAAGGTCACCACAGATTTTAAAATGGTGCTAGAGTTTAAGCCATCATGTATCAGTTTCAAGTAGGCTGCAGTAGGAAGGGGGAAGGTCAAGAAAGGGAGTGCCAGCTGAAAGGAAATGGGTATAGATATGCAACTATCAGTCTCGACTCAGGAGTTTTTCAGCTGGGTAAATAGATAATTTTAGAAGGCTTTTAGAATTCCCAGAATATCTTTATACTTTGACCTCTAAAACAAAAAGCTTTGTAATGACTAATTATTCTGTCACAATATTGACTGCTTTTCTTTGTCATTGTGTTTTGATGTAAATGTTAGCTATTTTCATTGGTAGTTGGGAAGGATATGTTTAAAAAATTTTTAACAATTTAAAAGTCTAATGTATCCAAGTTAATTTTCATGTGAGTTATAATTTAATGATACGTGGCTTTTAAAAGGTAGATTGTTGCTTCGTATATGTTTAAACATCTTAGGAATTACTATGTATTCTTTGGTACAGTTTTTGTCCATGACCTTTAAGTGGCTCTCTATTCACTTGTTTTTTGCTAGTTCTCGATAAGTTGTTTTAAAAAACCAACTTGTTTCATGAGTTTAATTTCGCTCAATTTCTATGGACATGAGGCTTAAAAATTTTTTCTTAATGTGTTCTTTGATGTTAGTGGGTCTGCTAAACCAAAAATCTGTTTATCTTTTATTTGCTAGTAGCAATCTTTTAACAAAAACATTTATAAGTAAAAGCATATTTTATAGAGATGTTAGGATATGAGAGTGTCATAACTTTAGAGTCAAGAATAATTTGCCTTTGAAAATGGCTGTGAGTTTGATGTAGAACTTTTAAAAAAGCAGTTTTTCCTGTTTCATGATAGTGGAGGCAGCAATATTTTTTCCCCCATTTACAGATATATAAACTCAACTTGACATTAGAACTGATCATATGATAAATGTTATAAAATAAATGTTCATTTAATTCTCTCTTTACAGTTCAACATTTATGGACTAAAAGAAGAAATCTTTATAAAGGACACTGAGAAAGAACAGATTATTAGAAGATAGCTTAGAAGGTTGTATCAGGGAAACAAATATTTAGAGCAGTTTTAAACCTATTTTGAATCATTGACTACTAGAGGGATATTATAGTCTGTTGAGAATTGTGTCTGTTCTCCACTTCATTTCCCCAGATGTTGATTGCTAAAAACTTTTGTGGGCACTTTTACCAGCAACATGGGAATTTTGGTTGCCATACATCTTTTAAGTCAATAGCTGCCCCATTTTTTTTTGACTTCTCAGATTAGTGTTGTCCATTCTCAAACTTCCTTATGTTCAATCATAGAAAGGTAGTCTTGTGTCTGGGCTTGTTTTAGTCAACACAAGGTCTATGAGATTCATCTGTTTCTCATGTTTCTTTTTTATTGCTGTGTGATCGTCTTTTATGTGAATATATCACTCAGTTTGCTTATCCATCCACTTGTTGATCATTTGGATCATTTCCAGTTTTTGATCACTGCATATAATATTTCTCTCAACATCATTATTGTAAAAGAGTTAATGCAGCAGACCTAATATTGCTGAATGCTTGTATGTTTTCAGGGAGGTCCTGCTTGTGTGGCTTACCTTTGACTAACTCCTAGGAACTTAGCCCTTGGTGTGTTCTCTATGTTACTAATTGAAAGGTGGTTTTGTACAGCTGGATATGGAACCATGCACTACTGGCTAGTTTAGATTGTGCAAAAACATGATTTTTGGAGAATTCTTGCTTTCCTTTTTGGAGTCTGTAGTTTTGGTAATCAAAGCTGGTCACTTAGGCAAATGCACTTGTTTTGCAAGTCTCCAATAAGTGCCCTGGACTCTGCAAATCAACCAAGCTTCTCTGGGCAGAGGTCCTTTTACATAAGTTGTTATACTTTATTGCTAGAGGAAGAAAATTGTTGGGTCACATGATAGGTATATGTTTAACTTGATAAGAAACTACTAAACAGTTTTTTACAGTGTTGTACCTCACTCCTACAAGTAAAGTATGATAATGTTAGTTGTTTCTGCATTCTTGCCAACACTTGGTATTGCCAGTTTAATTTTAGCCATTTAGATTTACTTTGCATTTTCCTGATGACTTATGGTGTTGAGCATCTTTTAAAATGTACTTGTTGACCAATGTATATATTTTCTTTTTCTTTTTTTTTTTTTTGAGATTGAGTCCTGTTCTGTTGCCCAGGCTGCAGTGCAGTGGCGCGAATTGGGCTTACTGCAACCTCCGCCTCCTGGGTTTAAGCAATTCTCCTGCCTCAGCCTCCTGAGTAGCTGGGATTACGGGTGCTTGCCACCATGCCTGGCTAGTTTTTTTGTATTTTTAGTAGAGACGGGATCTCATTATGTTGGCCAGGCTGGCCTGGAACTCCTGAACTCAGGTGATCTGCCTGCCTCGGCTTCCCAAAGTGCGGAGATTACAGGTGTGAGCCACCATGCCCAGAAATTGTGTATATTTTCTAATGTGAAGTATTGAAGTCTTCACCCATTTTTTAAAAAAGTTGTCTTTTTATTGAGGTACAGGAATTTGTCTTATACTTTGCTATGCTAATTAAATATAATGGTAACTTAGGTGTTCAAAAGATTGTTTATCACACAAGATTAGGAGCACCAGAAATGCTTATAAAATAGTCATTAGGCTGTTTGGCTATCTAAAGGCCAAGCCCACCAAGTAACAGACACAGTGGCATACTCAGGCTGAAGCTAAATCTTACTCCACCTATCAGTTTATCAACCAGTTTTTGTTGTGAGGCTGTCAGCCTACTCAAGTCTGTTGTGCTAATTCACTTTTTTTTCTAGTTTACACAAATTATTTTATTTGATTATGTTAATCCTAATATTGGCATGGTATTTAGGGTGATTTACAAATGGCATTTTGTATTTAAGTTTTTAAAGCTTTGGAATACCTGTTAACAATTTTTTTTTTTTTTTTTTTAAGTTCTGGGATACATGTGCAGAATGTACAGGTTTGTTACATAGGTATACGTGTGCCATGGTGGTTTGCCGCACCTGTCAACTCATCATCTAGGTTTTAAGACCTGCATGCATTAGGTATTTGTCCTAATGCTCTCCCCCGGCCTTGACCCAACCCCCTGACAGGCCCCAGTGTATGATGTTCCCCTCCCTGTGTCCATGTGTTCTCACTGTTCAACTCCCACTTATGAGTGAGAACATGAGATGTTTGGTTTTCTGTTTCCTGTGTTAGTTTGCTGAGAATGATGGCTTCCAGCTTCATCCACGTCCCTGCAAAGGACATGAACTTATTCTTTTTTATGGCTGCATAGTATTCCATGGTGTATATGTGCCACATTTTCTTTATCCAGTCTATCATTGATGGGCATTTGGGTTAGTTCCAAGTCTTTGCTATTGTAAAGAGTGCTGCAGTAAACATATGTGTGCATGTGTCTTTATAGTAGAATGATTTATGATCCTTTGGGTATATACTCAGTAATGGGATTGCTGGGTCAAATGGTATTTCTGGTTCTAAATCCTTGAGGAATCGCCACACTGTCTTCCACAATGGTTGAACTAATTTACACTCCCATCAACAGTGTAAAAGCATTCCTCTTTCTCCACATCCTCTCCAGCATTTGTTGTTTCCTGACTTAATAACCATTCTAATTGGCGTGAGATGGTATCTCATTGTGGTTTTGATTTGCATTTCTTATTGACCAGTGATGATGAGCTTTTTTTCATATGTTTGTTGGCTGCATAAATGTCTTCTTTTGAGAAGTGTTCATATCCTTTGCCCACTTTTTGATGGGGTTGTTTATTTCTTGTAAATTTGTTTAAGTTCCTTGCAGATAAATGTTTATGTCTGTTGGCTGTTAGATTTGCAATAGAAATGTTAAAACTCACTATTCTTTGGTTTGTAGTAGAAACACCAATATTCATTGCCCTAAAAGATTTATTGTCACTATTAGTTGCTCATAATATTAAAAGCCTGCATAAATTTCATTAAATGTCTATAGTGCCAAATTCAGTATGTTGACAGACATTTTGTGATTGCTAAGTATAAATTAACTCTGCGCCTCTGTTGATTATTTAGGGTCCTATTTGATTTGAGTTTCTTTTATCTGTATTGCATGTAGTAGGGCTGTTTCATAAGTGTCCTCCAGATAAATGAGATAGTGCTAGCAAATGTTAAGACAACTCTTTAAAGTCATTTCTTCCAACACAATAAGTAATTTAGATTTTATTATACATTACTAACATGCATTTTTTCCGTATTTTTTTTTTACCATCTTAACCATTTCAAGTGTACTATTCAGTGGTATTAAATATATTCATAATATGCAGCCATTGGTGCCATTCATCTCCATAACACTTTCCATCTTATAAAATTGAACTATACCTTATTAACAGTAACTCTATTCTGCCCTTCCTCTCTCCTTCTGACAACCACCGTCCTACTTTCTGTGTCCTTGCTTTTGACTACTCTCAGTACCTCATATAAGTAGAGTCATATCGTATTTGTCTTTTTGTGACTGGCTTATTTCACTTAGCGTAATGTCCTGGTTATGCTAAGTTCATCTGTGTTGTAGCATATAGCCATATATCATTTCCTAACTTTTTTTTTTTTTTTGAGACGGAGTCTCTCTCTCGCCCAGGCTGGAGTGCAGTGGCGCGATCTCGGCTCACTGCAAGCTCTGCCTCCCAGGTTCACGCCATTCTCCTGCCTCAGCCTCCCGAGTAGCTGGGAATACAGGTGCCCACGACCACGCCCAGCTAATTTTTTTGTATTTTTAGTAGAGACGGGGTTTCACCGTGTTAGCCAGGATGGTCTCGATCTCCTGTATACCACATTTTGCCTCTCTATCCATCCATCAGTGGACACTTGGGTGGCTTTCATGTTTTAGTTACTGTGAACAATGCAGTTAGGAACATGGGTGTACAAATAACTCTTCGAGAGTCTGTTTTCAACTCTTGTGTGCATACACCTGGAAGTAGAATTGCTGGATCATATGTAATGCCATTTTTCATTTTTTTAGGAAACATCGTACTGTTTTCCACAGCTGCTATACCATTTTATATTCCCACCAGCAGCACACAGGGTTCCAGTTCCTCCACATCCTTGACAACACTTGTCATTATTATTGTTTTTTGTTAGTAGCCATCCTAATGGGTCTGAGATGGTAACAGCTGCTTTCTTTTATAAAGCAATACAATGATTATCATTCTGTAATTGCTTTATATAATTATACTGGTACTATTATGTTTCATGAATATGTACAAACAAATGAATGTGAATATACAGATTTTAAAACAGGTTTCTTAGGCTTAAGTCTCAAATGTTCCTTATTCTGTTTTTATTGTTAAAGGTACTGTATCTTTGGATTAACTTAAGCTCTATATTGAATTTAGATAAATATTTTGACTGACTGCTGGTTAAAAGTATGTCAAATCTAACATTTTTTTTAAAAAAAGCAGATAAATAGTAATTCCTATCAGTTAATGTTGAATCTAATTTTGAATATAATCTAAGAATTGAAAACAGGGTCATGAAGAGCTATTTGTCCTTGCATGTTCATAGCTGCATTATTCACAAATTGCAAAATTTGGAAGCAACCCCTGTGGTCCATTGATGGGTAAATAGAGAGTCTAATTTTACTGTTCTACTATTCTTTTTACCTTTTCTCTATTTTGATTTGTGTAAGATTGGTTATATAATACTGCATATTTTTTTAAACTTGAGATGAGAAAATTATTTATATCACAAAGAATATTATTTATAGCTGTTTCTTTAACTTGCTGGAATAGCAAATGTTGTGTCAAGTGTACTCAAATTTAAGTTGGAATGAACACAAAAGTTAAAGTTCATTTAAATGGGATGGTTTATAGGACGTTCTCAGCATTGTAGTTAGTACAGAGTAAGAGCTCATATGTCAGCTGCCACAATTGTTCTTGACCCAGTTATTACTATTGTTAGAAATTGCTGTAAAGTTAACTTGAATTATGGGTTGTTATTCTGATAATACTGTTGATTTCTTGGGACATGGGACAGAAAAGGCTATTTGGGCATCATGTACTATATAGAAAGAGTTATGAGAAGAGGGAATCAGATAGGGGAGTGAATTTGTTAAGTGAATATATATACATATAGATAGATAACCATGATTAAGTACATATGTATTTAGTAAAGCTCGGTTTATTATTTATTTCCACAGCTTTATATTCTGTTATATTGTTCTGTGTGTTCTTCTGGATCCCTTTTGTCTACTTCTATTATGAAGAAAAGGATGATGATGATACTAGTAAATGTACTGTAAGTATCTTTATTTTAGAGGCCTTAGTTTAGGAAAGAAAAATAATATTACCTGCTTTTTCAGAGAATGAATGACTGAATTTTTTCTAGAGCAGTGTTGTCTAATAGAAATACAATGTTAGCTAAATTAAAATAAAAAGAAACAGTTGAAATTAATTTAATTATACATTGTATTTAGCATAATATATTCCAAATATTATTTCAAATATAGTCAAACTATTAATGAAATATTAAGTTTCTTTTCTTCACACTAAGTCTTTGAAATTTGGGTTGTTTTTTACACAACAATCAAGCTAGCCACATTTCAAGTGCTTTCTAGCCACATGTGGCTTGTAACTATTGTTTTAGACAAAGCAATTCTAGATCAGGCATACAAAATTTTTTCTGTAGAAGGCCAGGTAGTAAATAATTTAGGATTTGTGGGCTATATGGTCTCTGTCTTAGCCACTCAAGTCTGCCATTATAGTGTTAAAAGTATCCAGAGACAGCGAACATTTTATGATCCAGTAAAACAGAAGATGAATCAGATGTGGCACACTGAATGTAGTTTGCTGGCCCCTGTTCAAAAGCATAAAGAAGGAGCACTTGTAGGTTGTTCTTACTAATCCAGGATAAGGCTGACTTTTTTTTTGGCCAGGCGCTGTGGCTCACGCCTGTAATCCCAGCACTTTGGGAGGCCGAGGCGGGCGGATCACCTGAGGTCAGGAGTTAAGAGACCAGCCTGGCCAACATGGCGAAACCTTGTCTCTACTAAAAGTACAAAAATTAGCTGGGCATGGCGGCAAGGGCCTGTAATCCCAGCTACTCCGGAGGCTGAGGCAGGAGAATTGCTTGAACCCGCGAGGCGGAGGTTGCAGTGAGCCGAGATCACTCCACTGCGCTCCAGCCTGGGCAACAAGAGCGAGACTCCATCTCAGAAAAAAAAAAAAAGGACCGACTTTTTAAAAACCTGACAAATACAGCACACATCCATGTTCAGAACTGCCGACCATTATCACTTAAGTATTGGTATAAACAACTAAAATAATAGTAAATATAATTCAGGAGCATCTTAGAAATATATTGATATTATATAACCGAGTTGGGCCTGTCTCTCAATTGCATGGATGACTGAAAATCAGGAAATCTATTAATATATAGTAATTAATAGGTCAAAGAAAAAAATATATGTTAAAAGGTATATGTCAAAATCGAACACTGTAATTTAGGGGAACAGTTATACAATAAGACTAAATGTCTTATCTTTTTGACTTATAGGATTTTGTTTTATACCTTGTTTATATTTGTATTTAAATACAGAAATAAATGTATTAAGTCAAAAGCTAGCATCATGCTTAATCATGCTTAAAACTTCAAGAGCATTTGCATTAAGATTAGGAGCAAGTAAATTAACAGTATTTTAAATGACTCCTAGAAAAAAAGTTAGGTATTTAAATATTTATGAAGAGAGTCAAAATTGTTATTTGCAGATACTATTTTACTCTATATTTGGAAAAACCAAGGTATGTAAAGTAAGGTAGCTAGTTACAAATTTGATAAGATCTCCACGAGATGTATGCGTTCTCTTTCACTTCTTCCAAAGTGCACATTCTTCTACCCTTTGGTTGATCTTAGGATCTTCTTTACCTTTTCTTTAGTTTTTTTCCTAAAGAATATCTTACCCCCTTTGTGAATAAGAACTATGTGAAACATTAATTCAGATTTTAAAAGATGATTTTTAGATACTTCGTTAGTCTGAGAGGACAAATGTTATTTCTGACCGATTTAAAATGAGATTATTATTAACTTTTTTATTCGTATTCAGAATGTCCAGCTTTGTCTTTATTTGCTTTTCTTAGCCTTTGGAGTATATTATAAGCACCAAGCAAAACATGGTTTTTAAATTCCCAAGTTCCTGGTCTTAAGTACTTATTTAATCACTTATGACCTATGTGCCTTAGGACAGATTATTAACTTCTCTGGACTTAAGCTTCCTTATGTCTAAAGATGAGAACAACCTATCTTAGAGTTATTATGAGAATTAAATGAGTTAACATATGTGACGTTCTTATCAGTGCCTGGCATGATATATGTTATATATGTATAAGATATATATTAATGTATGTAAGTATATATGCACATATATTTATGTATATGTGTATATATACTTATATATGTATATATGAGTATGTATATGTGTATATATACTTATATATGTATATATGAGTATGTATATGTGTATATATACTTATATATGTATATATGAGTATGTATATGTGTATATATACTTATATATGTATATATGAGTATGTATATGTGTATATATACTTATATATGTATATATGAGTATGTATATGTGTATATATACTTATATATGTATATATGAGTATGTATATGTGTATATATACTTATATATGTATATATGAGTATGTATATATACAAATATATTTAATATATACTCATGTATATACTCAAACACAAACGTATATATTGTGTTTATTATTGTTATAAACCATTTTGATGAATTGGGTTGGGGCATTGTAGATTCTGATTGCTGTCTGGGGGAATATTTTATTACATATTCTGATAATTTTACTAAAGATGCCTACTGGAGAATTAACTATGCTTTAGGTGGATTGGTTTTTACAAGGGCCTAACTATTGAAAAGATTTAAAAAATCTCATGTTTTGCAAAGATACTTAAGATGTAGTATACCTGTTTTCTTTAAATTTTAAGGTTGTTTTTCAACCTTAGTTTCAATATTGAGTGTAAGCATGTATCTGATGTGAAGGTACTGTTAAAGTGTTGCAAGAATATTTTATATTTTAAAGGGCTTGCTAAATGTTATACTTTTTTCTCCTTGGCATCTAGCAAATTAAAACGGCACTCAAGTATACTTTGGGATTTGTTGTGATTTGTGCACTGCTTCTTTTAGTTGGGTAAGTCTTGATTTTTTTTTTTTAAACCATGAAATGGAAATAGAATTATTTGAAAAAAAAAATAAAAGGATCATTCAGAAAAATCTAGGAAAGAAAAAAATGTAAGAAAAAAGAACAATCCACTCTCTAAATCTCCAAGGAACAATAGCCACAATTTAACAGTTTTGTCTATGTTGTTTCATCTAGACATTTTTATGTGCTTGAATGCAAGCAGAGTTCACCTCCCTTCTTGCATGCATTCTACATGCTTTTTACACAAATGTGATTATGTTTTATATAATTCTTGGTAATCTGCCTGTTAACATATTGTGGGCATCTCTGCAGGATAGTAAGTGTAGCTCCATCAATTTTGACTATATTGCGTTTCCTTCTAAGGATACAAAAATATATTTAACTGATCTTCTAGTGATGACTGCTTAGACATTTATAATGTTTCCCCATTATAAATAACACTTTGATGAAAATTCTTGTCTGTGCATCTTTTCAGATTTGACCCTATCAGTCTTTTAAATCTTTGTCAATGAATTCCCTTTCTTAATTCTTCTTGTTTTTATACTAATATCAGTAAGATTTTGCTTATTTGTTTGTACTTCTAAAATTTATCCTTGTTAATGGAAGACATTTATCTTTGTTAAAAATAGGTCATTAGTCTCATTTTTTATGTTAGGAAATATATTAGGAGTTAATAAATTTTTTAAAGTTTCTGTTTATAATTTAGTCTCACAATTTTCAATAAATAACTTTCCATAAATAAAAAAATTACTTATTACATGTAACTTGTAATGGGAATAAAATTGTTGAGTAATGGGAATAAAATTCTTGAACTTTTTGTAGTTCCAGGAGTTCTTAGGATGCATGTGTTTTATAGTCAAGTCATATTTTCAGTTCTTTTTACCTGCCTTGATGTGTCATGAAAAAGAGTACTTTTGTAAGCACTTTTTTTAGTGGTTTTTCTATGTATTTTAGCTCTGGAGTATATTTCTAAAGTATTTTTTTGGCTTTTTAAAGAAAGCCAAATCTACTTATGTTAATTTCCCTTGTTAACATCGAGGTCCCTTGTATGCAAACCTGAATTATCTGGAGCGGGAATCAGCAAACTTTTCTTAAAGCATAGATAGTAAGTATTTTAGATTTATTGTCTGTATGGTCTTTGTGTCTCTCTTGTAGCTCAGAAGTAATCATAGACAATACATAAACAAAGAACATGACTGTGTTCTAGGAAAACTTTATTTATAAACACAGGCAGCCAATAGTTTGCCAACTCCTATTTTAGAACATGAGTGAGAATCATCAATAAAACTACAAATCTTTGCAACAGTGAGAATAAGAAAATAGTGAATTAAAGACTATTAGCATTTCAGCCATCTAGGACAGTGTTCTTCTCATTATCATACGTAAATATTTGAATGAGGCGTGCATTTAGGTTAACTGATTGACAAAAGGTCTTGAAATATTTTTGAAGGTGGCATATTCAGAGTTTCTTTTAAGTGATATGCTTTTGCTAATAAAACTAGATAATTTTATGGCAAAGCCGTGATCTAGATTTAACTAATTCATGTAGCTCATACGTTTTTGAAACACTTATGTGTTGGATACTGTGCTAGATCTTAGGGCTAAAGGTAGAGGACCATGGTCTCTGTCCTCTAGGTTTACATTGTGGAGGCATGCAGATACATACCTTTAATTACAGTGTTTAAGTGCTCTGATAGGAGATACATACCAGATGTTGATGGTAGAGGAGCAGGTTCTTACTCTGCATTGCAGAATCAGGAGATCTAAGAGGAAGTAATATTTGAGTTGAGATTCGAAGGAATGGGAATTGGTCAGCTGACTTGACAAATAAAAAAGATGAGTAACATGTATAATGTTTTCATCTGCTTTGGCTGCCATAACAAGGTATCATAGACTGGGTGGCTTAAATAACAGTCATTTATTTTCTCATGGTTCTGGAGGTTAGAAGTCTACGTTGAAGGTGCTGGCAAATTTGGTTTCTGGTGAGAGTTCTCTTCCTGGCTTATAGAAGGCCACCTTCTTGCTCTGTCTTCACATGGCCTTTCCTTTGTGCTTGCAGAGAGAGAAGGGGAGGGGGAGAGTGAGAGGGTGGAGGAGAGAGAAGGAGCACTCTCTGGTGTCTCTTCCTCACCAATGCCATGGGATGATTAGGGCCCCACCCTTGTGACTTCATTTAACACTAATTCCCTTGCTAAATGACGTATATCCAAATACCATTACATTGGGGGTTAGGGCTTCAACATATGGATTTTGTTTTTTTTTTTTTTTGGAGAGTTGAGTACAGGGGACTTTATTGATAGTACATGACAAAGGTGGTACTCCCTAGGTCCCTCCTTCTTCAGGGGGTCTGACACAGAAACTGTGTCCAGGGGAGATTCTCAGTGTGGTAAGGGACTGAGTGCGTCAGGGACTCCCCAGCAGCTGAGGGCCTCTCTCTCCCTGTTGTGCTCTTGCTGGGGCTGGTGATCCAGGGGCTCTTACCCCTTGGAAGCCGGGTGGAACATGAGTTCCACCACCCTGTTGCTGTAGCCAAATTCATTGTCGTATCAGAAAATGAGTTTGAAAAAGTGGTTGTTGAAGGCAGTGCCAGCCCCAGCATCAAAGGTGAAGGAATGAGTATCACTAGTAAAGTTGGAGGAGACAACCTGTTGCTCAGTGTAGTCCAGAATGCCTTTGAAGGGACCCTCCAATGCCTGTTTTACCATCTTCTTTATGTCATCATATTTGGCAAGTTTCTCCAGATGGCACATCAGGTCCACAACCAACACATTGGCAGTGGGAACATGGAAAGTTATGCCAGTAAGCTTCCTATAGATCAGGGATGACCTTGCACACAGCTTCGGCAACACAGAGGCAGGGATGATGTTCTAGAGAGCCCCACAGCTGTCACACCACAGTATCCCAGAGGGGCCATCCATGGTCTTCTGAGTGCCAGTGATGGCATGAACTGTGGTCATGAGTCCCTCCATGATGCCACAGTTGTCCAGGGTGGCTAAGCAGTTGATAGTGCAGGAGGCATTGCTGACCATCTTAATGCCATTTTTGTACTTCTCATGGTTCATGCCCATCACATGGGGGTATCAGCAGAATGGGCAGAGACGAGGATCCTTTTGGTTCCCTGCTTTAAGTGAACCTCAGCCTTCTTCATGGTAGTGAAGATGCTGGTAGATTCCACAACATAATCAGCGCCCAAATCACCCCATTTAATTTTGGTGAAATCTTGCAACTGTAAGAGGGTGATGGGATTTCCAATGATGACAGGTTTCCAGTTCTCAGCCTTGACAGTGCCCTAGAACTTGCCATGGGTGGAATCGTGCTGGAACATTTAGGCCGTGTAGTGAAGGTCACTGAAGGGTCAGTGATGGCAACAATATTCACTTTGCCAGAGTTAAAAGGAGCTCTGGTGACCAGGCACCACTATGGCCAAATCCATTTAGTCTGGCCTTCACTTTCACCATGATGTCTCAGTAATGTGTCTGGTGATGCTGAGAAGATGAGGCTTTCTGTAGAATGGGGGAGCAGAGAGCCAGCAACATATGAATTTTTAGGGAACACAATTCAGTCTATAAAATATATTAACTGGGAGGCTGAGGTTAGCATGGAGTGTTTGAAGAATGACATAAAAAGTGTGATGTGAATTTAGATTTCCCCTCCCCTCAAAAAAGGAAGGGTAATATGATGTTTCAGGTGTTCCTGTGGGCAAGTGACAGGATATGACATTAGCCAGGTAAGTAGACTCTGGGTCTTACATGCCATGTTTAAGAAATTTTTGGCCGGGCGCGGTGGCTCACGCCTGTAATCCCAGCACTTTGGGAGGCCGAGGCGGGTGGATCATGAGGTCAGGAGATCGAGACCATCCTGGCTAACAAGGTGAAACCCCGTCTCTACTAAAAATACAAAAAATTAGCCGGGCACGGTGGCGGGCGCCTGTAGTCCCAGCTACTCGGGAGGCTGAGGCAGGAGAATGGCGTGAACCCGGGAAGCGGAGCTTGCAGTGAGCCGAGATTGCGCCACTGCAGTCCGCAGTCCGACCTGGGCGACAGAGCGAGACTCCGTCTCAAAAAAAAAAAAAAAAGAAATTTTTAATTTTGTCCTACCCGGTAATTGTAAGACAGTGAAGATGTGTATATATTTGTGTAAATGAATGCATGAAAATAAATATGTATGACTTTGCTTTAAGAGTTACAGCACTGTGGGCTGGGCATGGTGGCTCCCGCCTGTAATCCCAGCACTTTGGGAGGCCGAGGGAGGTGGATCACGAGGTCAAGAGATCGAGACCATGCTGGCCAACATGGTGACTTCTACTAAAAATACAAAAATTAGCTGGGCATAGTGGTGCGCGCCTGTAATCCTAGCTACTCTGGAGGCTGAGGCAGGAGAACGGCTTGAACCCGGGAGGCAGAGGTTGCAGTGAGCTGAGATTGTGCCACTGCACTCCAGCCTGGCAACAGAGTGAGATTCCGTCTTAAAAAAAAAAAAAGAGTTACAGCACTGTGAAGGATGTATTGCAAGAGGATTTTGGGTGTTGGGTTGGAGAAGTGGTATGTAAATAGTAGGTAGGAAGATCAGTTAAGTAGCCATTATATAAGTTCAGGTGAGCATTGGAACTACAGTGGTTACAAAGAGAACAGAGAGGAAGAAACATAAGCTATTTGGAAGATAAATATGAATTGACTTGGTGATGGAGTGTAAGAAGTGAACATCTTATTTTCAGTTATGCTGAATTCATCATTTCCATTTCATATCTACTGAAATTCATTAGCTTTTCCTTTGTCTGTTTCTGAAGAGATAATGTGTGTGAAGTTAATTCAGTGAATCAGATTGGGTAGGAAATATTTTTACTAAGCAGTTTTTTAGTTTTGTTATTTTCAAGGGCATGAGGGAAAAGTATAATCTTACTAGGCTGTAGTTTGTATTTTAACCCATTTATGCCAGAGGTTGCAAATTTTTTTGGTGAAAAATCAGACCTTGATGATGACCTTGAGTAGTAAAATATAAATAACTCTCACAAGCTTAGTATTCCAATAATGGAACAATAGGCATAAATGGCTTAATCTAGTACTTTGTGTTTTTGGAAGCTGAGGTGTTCTGTATACATTTTTTTTAGAAGGGCTGAGATTTTAAAAGTATGTGCACCTTTCTACCACACAAATCCCATTGTATTCTAACTCTCGGTTACTTTAATATCATCACCATTTCATTTAGTATACTTTAGTATACCTGATACTTTAGTAAATGCTTTAGTATACCTGATAATTTTAACTGCTGTTTCTTTCCTCAGAACTGATATATCTATATTATAACTTTATTGGACTTCAGTTGCCTTTTCATCTGTTGGGAGGTATTTCTTTTTCTTTATAGATCTTTGTCTATGGGGCTGATATTTGGTCAATGAACAGTGGTTTATTCCTTCTGGTGGTTAAAAGGTTGACATGCTTTTATACCAGTCAGGTGCTGCTCTGCCCTCTGGATCTTCTTCCCCTACCTCAGCTCCATTGAAAGAGGAAAGCCTGGTTCATCAGTGTCCTGCAGAATTAAGGCCAGGGTCTGTGTTGATTAATTAGTGCCTTTGCCATATTTTGAGTTCTACTTATGGATATTTTCTTAGTTTATGTGAAAATATTTTAGGTCTGATTTTTAGATTATAAAATCCTGATGGTAAAGTAATTTAAGAACCTGCTTTGAATTTGTGCTTTCGTTTATACCTAAAATACTATGTGCTCAAATGTTTAACTCTCTGATGGATGCTTTCAAAGTATTTTCCTGAAGTCATTCTGATAGTAGTGTGGGTCACTTAACTTAGTCTTTTTAGTTTTTTTGATTATATAAGTTTCCCTCTGGTATTACTCTATTTGAACTGCTAGATAATTCTGCTCAGGAGTTGAACATGTGTCATCAAGAGCAAGGGTTAATTAATTTTAGTCTCTTTCTGTACAATATCTTTGATTACCTAAAACTGACATACTGAGTTTTAGAATATTGCGTATTAAACCCTATGAGATGAATGCTATTTTTAGATATCCTAATACGTATTTCTTTTTTAATAGTATGATGGGTGGTATTTTGTACAACATAGAAATTTTTGTTTTCCCACTCTCACAGATTGGTTATTCCCAGCTAACAAGTTCAGAGCATACTTTTTGGGATATCCAGAACAAACTGTCCAAATAAAGGAATATCATATGGGTAGTTTTTTCTTGCTTAGTTTATATTTCTGTTATGGATGTGTAATATACAAAAATGTTATAATTTTATTTCTTGATTCCACACCTCTGCTTTCATTTGTTTGATTTCATACCTGGGGCAACAAATAATAAACTTTCTACATTTATTGCTCTATGCCTGTAAGCACTTTTTTTTTTCTAAAAGTGGTGAGAAATAAGTCTCTAGGATTAAGAAGAATATAGTAAACTGAAGTCAATGCAGATAGTTAGAAATTTAAGTAACCCCCTGACATGCTGTGCCCAGTCATTTTTTAAATAAGAGTTATCAGTAGCAACAGGAAATAGGGATTTTTTTAATTAAAAAGAAAATTTTAGAGTAATTACTTTGTTTTACATGAAAACATTATTAGAGCAGGTACCTTAATATATTATTGAACTAATTCATTTCCTCTTTACAACAGAGGATAAATCTTATCACTTTGCTTACACTTAAAATTAGGTTGGGAAGGACGTGGTATTAGAGTTACTTCCTACTCCTGTTTGTTCCTACACATATACAACCTAAGGGATACCCAGCTCTTTACCTTAATCTCTTGATTATCTTCTTGTTATTGATATGGGCTAGATAATAAAGTGCACATTTATTTATTCTATCGTTTCCCAGTCTAAGATCATAGAGCAGGTCCTAGGATGCTAGCTGTCTCTATTATTTCTACAGTTCCTTTTCACCTGTGGGTTGAAAAACAAATAGAAACTACTTTCATTGTGTCTGTTGGATAGAATCTTGAAAGATATATTAATAGAAAAATACTAATAAGAAAGTAATAATCACTCCCGATTCCACAGTGAGACATTTACTGTTTATTCTAATGTATTTCTTTTGTTTCTTAAATAATTGCATATGTTTACATTCTGCTTTACTGATTTAATACAGATGTCCTTAACCTTTTTTGTGGATTGTTTTGATCGTTTTAAACCTGTGGTCCATTCTCAAAATATTATATATTAATTTTTTGTTTTTTACCAGCTTTATTAAAGTATAATAAAGTATTTTAAGTGCAAAAAACATACGGGATTACAAAGGAAACTAATTTTTCTGAATGCAGTAATACAACTATTAAATTTACAAGGAAGTAAATGCATAGATAAGAAACTTTTCACTCCCCTCTGTGCATAGTACAGATTTTATTTATTTATTGTTTTGGAGAAAAATAATTTGAGTTTCAAACCATTTAATTTAACTTTTTATCTTTAAAGCTATTAAAACAATTATTTTCTCTTTTGTAGTGCCTTTGTTCCATTGAATGTTCCCAATAACAAAAATTCTACAGAGTGGGAAAAAGTGAAGTCCCTATTTGAAGAACTTGGAAGTAGTCGTAAGTATTGTTTTTTTTAAAAAACATAGTAGTTTATATTTCCTGATACTTTGGACTTTTGAGAAGCAGTTTATTTGTATTTTGTTAAGAATTTAACCCCAGCTGGGCGTGGTGGCTCATGCCTGTAATCCTAGCACTTTGGGAGGCCGAGGGGTGGGGGGTGGATCACGAGGTCAGGAGTTTGAGACCAGCCTGGCCAACATGGCCAAACCCCGTCTCTGCTAAAAATACAAAAATTAGCTGGGTGCAGTGGCAGGCGCCTGTAATCCCAGCTGCTCGGGAGGCTGAGGCAGGAGAATCGGTTGAACCTGGGAGGTGGAGGTTGCAGTGAGCTGAATTGCGCCATTGCATTCCAGCCTGGGGGACTGAGCAAGACAGAGCGAGACTCCATCTCAAAAAAAAAAAAGAACTTAACCCCACAGTTTTTCTAACTCGTCATTTTGAACCTAATGCTAGACAAATTAGAAGTGTTGCATTCTTAAGGCTTGCTTTTAGCCATCTAGCTATTACGTAGCTATTTTCTTGACTTCTTTATAAAATTACCATGTTGAAAGAAAATTTAATCTTCAAAGTATTTTAGCAGTGAGGCTCTTATAATTTCTATGTGATTTTTAATTCACTTAGGATAATATAAAATAATATGTTAAAGAAATGTACTGGATATATTAGATTTTATTTTTAATTAGTAAGAGAGAACCTTATGTTTTTGTTTGAGATTAAATCATCTTTTATATAAAATGTAAATTAGAGGTTTTATATGAATTAAATGTTTTATTATAAATTTACCTCATCAAAATATTTTGGCATTGCTTTTCTAGAAGTTTTTCTTAACTTACTCTGTGTGACCTAGGTTTTTACAGAAAAAAAAGGCTCACGGATTAGGTTAAGAAAATTGCTTAATCATTGAAAAAATAACTGGCATTAGAAAGTGATATTAAAATATTGTGTATCATATTACTCAAAATTCCTTGTGCATTTGAACATAGTAACCTTATTTTCAAAGATACCTAGTGTACTTAATTCTATAAATACTATGCAGAAAAATTGCTTTTTTGACTATTCTAATAGGTACTGTACATTCTTTAATCAGCACTTCTTTCTTTTTACCCAGGTACAATACTAAACGATGATTAAATTAAGTCTTGCAGTCTGCTGTATGAGTTCTTAATTTTCTTGCTTTCCACTTAAGATCTCATGTTGTAAATTGTGATTCATTAATATCTTGCTGATACCAGCAAGAATAAGGGTAGCAGGCCTCGCATCTACTAATACTGAATTGTCAGATTTATGTACCTTGATTCTATTGCTGATAAATTAATGGCTTCTTTTCTTGGAGTTAACTCCTTTAGATATCTTGAGTAACTACTCTTCTACCCTAAACATTATTTCATAAGTTATACTTTGAGTATTAGTATAACTTGAATTGGTGATTAGATAGGTAGCATTATTCTGTTTTTTGTAATTCCATTCTCTTTAGTCTTTATTTTTTTTGTCTCCCAGTGTTAAACACCATATTCTAGAATACATGTTACTTATCACTCTAGATGAGCTGTCTAAGTCCAAAACAGTTACCCAACTATTCTTAATTTTTAGTCCTTTCGTCTCTCATCCCACCTCCTTGCATTGCATTTTTCAGGCATCAAGGGTATATGACCTTTTTATTGATTGATTGATTGATTGATTGAGACGGAGTCTTGCTCTGTCACCCCGGCTAGAGTGCAGTGGCATGATCGTGGCTCACTGCAACCCCTGCCTTCCGGGTTCAAGCGATTCTCTTGCCTCAGCCTCCTGAGTAGCTGGGACTACAGGCACCCGCCACCACGCTTAGCTAATTTTTGTATTTTTAGTAGAGATGGAGTTTCAACATATTGGCCAGGCTGGTCTCGAACTCCTGACCTTGTGATCCGCCCACCTTGGCCTCCCAAAGTGCTGGGATTACAGGCATGAGCCACTGCACCCGGCCTATATAACCTTTTTTAAAAAAAATGCTTTATATGTAGTAAAATGTGTAGATCTTATGATACATGTATATAGTCATTGTAACTGATTGCAGTCAAGGTGTAGAACACATCCATCACTCCAGCAATTTTTTCGCAGTATTCCATTCAGTTAATATCATCTCCCATGAGAGGCACCATTGTTATAATTTCTGCCACTATATATTAGTTATATTAGTTTTACTTTTTTTGAATATTGTAAGTAGAATTCTGATTCCATTTATTAATGATTCTTTTTTGTGTATACCTGGCATCTTTCATGAAATAATGTTGTGAAATTCATTTGTATTAGTAGTTCCTTTTTATTGCAGCAGAGTAATGCATTTTATGACTATACTACAACTTGTTTACAATAGGATTTATTTATTATATCATAAAGATATATGCAGCCAGATCATAGACCCCCTAATATATAAAGAGAATGCATCTTCAGGTATCTTCAGCACACATTTATTCATCTTTTACCCAAATGGGAATAATTAATAATGATCAATTTTGAGTTATTTGGTTCAGATGATTTTGACTATTAGTAATATTAACATTTCGATTGGCCAAATATGTCAGCATGTCTATTTTACCATTTCTAAGACACATAATTTTTCAGATTTTTACATCGCTGTTTTGGAGATACATTTTACAAGTGATAGTACCTTAAAATTATCAGCCAGATGTCAGACCCCTCCTAGTTGTATAAACACCTTCTCATGATACTTCTGGTATGATCAGTAAAGTAACAGCATCAAAATGTCTTTGATTTGATAAAAAGTAGTTTTAAAAAATTAAGGCTTAAAAATTTGCCTTGCGTGATTGTGAATTTGTTAATAATATGCCTTCTTTATGTGTTATACAAAACTGAGACATGAGTTTTAAGATGATAGATCATTATAATTTTATTAGTACTCATAAAAGATTAATGTCAATACATTAAATTAATCAAAACTTTGTATTTGATTCCACAGGACTTGCATTTAAACTCGCTCAATACAGGCCTAATAGGACCTGTATTAAAACTGGAAAAAGTGTTGCTCCTAAGAATATTCAAATTTGCATAGTATTTTATTACATAATTTGATATATTTATGTGAAAGTGTCATTCCTGCCCCTCACTCTTTGACCTTCCTTTAGATAATTTCCTAAATCCAATGCGTTAGCATAGTATTTTGTGTGTGTGTGTGTGTGTGTGTGTGTGTGTATTTTTAAACCTATTTTCTCGTTGTGTTTGCTTTTATTTTTCTGCCAAGTAGGCAAGCTTGTCCTTTCAAGTTAAAAAGTGAAATAAATCTTTAATTAAGATTTTAGTTTTTGATTATCTATTAAGAACCAATTTGAAAATTAAGAACAAAGAAACTGGAAGTCTCAAGACTGAGGGGAGAAGGGAGAAAGAGTCAAGGTCAGTGGCTTTCCTATGAAATGTTATTTCTCAGGGTCTGCCATTGAGAAAGGCCATGTGATCTTTTTAATCACCTTTTGAGCATCTGATATTTTGCTGATCTCTTTTTGGGCCCAATAATTAGCCAGTAATTTTCCTCTTAATTTTAAGACGTGAAGGAAAGAAAATCTCAGCTAGTCAGAAAGATTTTTTACAAATCAATTTTTAAAGAGTCCTTTAGAAACTCTTTTCTCCACTTGGAGTTAGCACTTCAAGAATACGGTAATACATATTGGTTTTTATTTCTTCAAAATGTGTAAGCAGCTCAGCTTTCTATGTTGATTTGCTAAATATAAGGATTTGAGTAGTATATATGTACATTTTTAACAGTTTTTCTTTCTTCACAGATGGTTTAGCTGCATTGTCATTTTCTATCAGTTCTCTGACCTTGATTGGAATGTTGGCAGCTATAACTTACACAGTAAGTGAAATGGGGATAATTGAGTTAAAATTGCCTTATAAAACAATTTTTTTACCTTAGTAATTTATTAAACTTTATTCTGTTTTCCTTTATAATATTTTGATTCTTTTTCAATTTTTCTTCAGTTTTCTTTACTTAAGGGTAAAATTTTAACTACTTAGCCATCATCATTTTAGCTGTATTTGTGCAATTTCATAATCAGAAATTTTATAACTTATGAACCTTGAAGGTGGTTATATACTGTTATAATAATCTATGCTTATAAATCTATATAATAGATTTATAATACCTGATATGCTTATAAATCTATATGCCTATAGATTTATAAGCATATTAATAGATTTATAATATAAGCATATAATATATAATATAAGCATATTAATAGATTTATAAGCATATTAGAACTCTGAACCATAGACCATATCTATTACTGGTTTTGCAGATTTACTCTACTTGGGGATATAGGGCTTTTAAAATCAGATATTTTATATAACTTGATACTTCTCTTTTATATGAAATCTGTTCTTATACTCCCAGACTTTTTTCCCCTCAGTCTTCCTGGAAGTGGTAAGGTGTGAATTATAAATGACTGACCAAGTTGTATACAGACTTCTCTTTGAGTCTTTTGCTCACATTGTAGATAAAAAGCTAGTAATAAATGCTTCTTTATTACCTATCTTGAGAGTTGTATAAGCAGCATTAATATTATCTGGAACCTTTCAGATTAATGAAGTTTATGTTGAAGCACTCTTAATTCTTGCAAAGATGAAAATTCTGGTTACAAAGGAAACATTTTTGGGTATTTTCTTAAGATGTCTTCCTTTAGACATAAAGGAAATGGCTATTATCGTAAGAGCAGAATTTAGTTTTGTCACATGATCATTCACGTGCCATAATGTATAATAAAAGAACCCCAAAAGACATACATTTCAATATCTTACAGGTGCTTACTTGGGTACTCAGTTTTATTATTCATTGAAATTTTTGTGTTTTTATGTGATACCACATAAGGAACTTGTCATCTAATATCATTGGGTGATTATCCTTCTATCTCACAGAATGTACAGCATAGTAGTTGTCTTTTAAGAAGTAGTCACAAGTTAATAACAAATTAGGAATTAGACCTGGATTTTAACTGCTATTATTCTGTGACTGATCTGCTATGCTAATCTTGGGTTTGTCCTTTAACCTTTCTGGATCAGTGTCTTCCCTATTAAATGGAAATAGAAAATGTTCCACAGGGATTTTTGAAGGTCAAATGATACTATTTGTAAAAGTGCTTTGAAACCTTTAGAGAAATGAGGATATAGCAATCAATGAAACATAAGTCAGGAGAAAAAAATAGAGAGAAATTCAGTATGTAATGTCAATGTCAAGAACTATGAAGGACCTAGGATATTTACCCTACTTGTAACCTGCCAGTTTTGTGGATGACAACTGAAGATGTAAGACTTCTACTCACAGCAATAGCAGTAGCCATAGGATCAACTTTTTTGTGTGTTGGTTCCCGGAGTCCCAGTTCCCTTAGGGCAATGGGGAGAGAACTAGATGAGACCTGCACATAATAGAGTGTATTGTAGAAGAGGAACCCTGAGCTTAGGGAAGCTGAATCTTTTATAATGGATGGTAAGCATGCCTGTCCTTTGCTCCAGGGAAAGATATTTTCTGCATCTACCAAGACTATTTGCTATACAAAGATCTTTGAAAAGATAGTACAGAAAAAAAAAGTGGTGGGTCGGCGGAGGGGGGGTCAATTAGCTCCTGGCTTGCAAAATATGCAGAAATGAAAGATGCGTGGAGATGTGTCTCCCAGTGGTCAATTGGTAGATACTATGAGGAAAAATAAGGCAGCATAAGTAGATAGACAGTAGTAGAGGCTGAGACTACTGTAAAGATCAGGAATAGTTTCTAACATCTGAACAGAGACCTGAATGAAGTGAAAGTAAGCCATGACAGAAGAGTAAGTGTGAGGATCCTGAGGTGGGCACATACATGCTATATTCAGATACTAGCAAGGAGGCAAAGCCATTGTGGCTGGAATTCAGTTGACAAGGGGGAGTAGTAAAAGTTTCATTGAGAGGTAGCAAGAGGCCATGTCATGTGAGCTTTATAGTCCACAGTTAGGGTTTTGAAGTTTATACTGATTGAGTTTTGAAGCCCCTGGAAGTTTTTAAATGGAAAAGGCATGGGCTCTGACAAACATTTTAACAGTATCACTCTGGTGGCTCCGAATTAAATAAGCTATGAGGGTAGCGAGTGGGAGTGGAGAAAATAAGATGTTACTAAAACTATTTGAAAGAGAGCTTCTTTGTAGGAATGATATTATTGGAAAGAAACATTTTAAACTAATATTTTATATTTAAATGGAAACTTTGAAAATTATTTAAATCAATTAAACTGACATAGTATTCATACTGAATTGGTTAAGCTATCCTTAAAAGAACTTCACTTTTCTAGAATACAGCAGGTCCTCAAATAACATCTTTTTTTTTTTTTTTATGTTGTTTTCCTATAATGTTGATGTGAAAAAAGAACAGTTTCTGGCTAGGGCCACTGTGTGGAGTTTGCATGTTGTTTCCATGTCTGCGTGGGTTTTCTCTGGGTACTCTGGTTTCCTCCCACATTCCCAAGATGTGCGTATTAGGTGAATTGGTATGTCTGAAATTGTGCCAGTAGGAGTTAGTGTAGGTATGTGTGAGTGCACCCTGCAGTTGGAATGGCATCCTGTCCAGTGTTGGTTCCTGCCTTGCAACCTGAGCTAGTGGGATAGGCTCCAGCCACCCGTGACCCTGAACTAAGAATAAGTGGCTTGGAAAATGAATGAGCAAATGAATGCAAATTATTGTAAAATAAAAATTCATGAAGTATACTACATACAAGTGCATAACAATAATTGCAATACAAAAGCGTTCAGCTAGCCCAACACTGTTGTTTCTTTGTTTTTGTTTTTGAACTGTGTGGTGGTAGGAGGAGCTCTTTATAATTTTCACTTTGCAAACATTTATTCCTTAATTTAACCCACTATGACCACAACCATCGTCACTCACTAATTCACCAAAAGTTGAGTATTTTGTTTTTATTAATCTTTCCTAAATGTATGTAGAGCTTACATTTATTTCAGTATTTAATATTAGAAGTGCTTTGAATCTTTATTTAGAAGTTTGGTGATGTTCTTGTGACCAGAAATATGCAATAGGAAGTTAGCTTTTGTTTACGTCAATTAGTCTGTAGTAAAATTGGTTTTGTTGCCAGGCACAATGGCTCACGCCTGTAATCCCAGCCCTTTCGGAGACCGAGGTGGGCGGGTCACCTGAGGTCAGGAGTTTGAGACCAGCCTGGCTAACATGGTAAAACCCCATCTCTACTGAAAATACAAAAATTAGCCGGGCTTAGTGGTGGGCTCCTGTAATCGCAGGTACTCGGGAGACTGAGGCAGGAGAATCGCTTGAATTCGGCAGGCAGAGGTTGCAGTGAGCCGAGATTGCGCCATTTCACTCCAGCCTGGGAGACAAGAGCAAGACTCCGTCTCAAAAAAAAAAAAAAATTGGTTTTGTTATACATCCTTTCACTTAAAGTCCCAGTTTCCAAGAATCCATTGATGACGTTATGTGATGATTTACTGTATAGAGGGCTGGGCTGAAGGATATTGATAAAACAACCAGAGGACCTTATAATGGGATTGAGGGTGGGAACCAGGAACACATAGAAGAGTTGCTAAATAGGTAGAGAGGGGCCACTTAAGGCCTAAGGCCAAGGGAGAGATTCCGATGTAACAGCCCACTAAGATCCAACTTCCTAGCAGTTATTGGTTTTCTTTAAGCAGCATAAACAATAAAATTATAATAATTGGTGTGGAGAGGCTGAAATGTGGATCTCAAGTCCATGGGCCTCCTGACCTACTTTCCCATCTAAATTTCTTCATCTTTATAGTGGTATGATATTTAAGTAATAAAGTAGTGAGGATTTAATTAAATAATCCACCAAGTCTTGGAATCTACTGGCCACTTAATAGTCACTATTAGCTTAAACAGTTGAATATTCACAGTTTCATATGGTTCAAACTATAGTTCCCACCTCTTTCCTCTCTCAGTGAAAATAAACCAAATGCAAAAAGCAGTTGTATCATGATCAGTGAGAATGTTTCTTATTCAAAGGTAAGTCAAAAAGGCATTCATAATTGAATGGTGGTTAGTTGGGGTTGGGGGAGTGTGGATAGAGAGATAATATCATTCGAATAGCACTACAAGTACTCAAAGCTCAGGTTTTGCTGCCAAGCCATGATTTGGCCAGTTTTAATACCTGTGGTGTATAGAGGGAGGGGAAGAGGAAGGTAGATGATACCCTGTTCAAGAGGGGCATCATGGTGTGTATAGCTGAGCTCTGGTCATGAATGTTGAGTTTGTTTAAAATCTATTACCTGATCCCAAGCTTCCCCATCTGTAAAAATGAGCCAATAATACTTACCGAAATTTTAGTAAAAATTCAGTGAAAACCAACAATTTATAGATATGTGGTTTTATTGTAGATAGGTAGTTAAATAGTATAATTATCATATTTGCTTGTAGTTGGGATACAAAGTTTTCTCCTAACTTACCTTGGAAAAGGTTGAGAACTGGACTTTCCTTGTGGCACCTTGAAAGAGGGTATAGAAAATATGCATGAGGACTAGAATAGGTTTAATCTTAATTAAAGTACCCAGAGTGGGAAATTAATACTTGAGTACTTTGACCCTAAATATAATATGAAATGTAAAAATCATGTTTGTTATGGAATTTGTAACTGAATTTTTTTTTTGTATTGAGGCTAGAGAAATTTTTTTATCTTATGTGTCAGTCAAGTGTGAATTTCTTAGTTATGTATTATTGTTTATTTTTGAAACTAGTTGATTATTTAAATTTTACTGATTCTGACTACTGTACCCTGTATTAATCAATGCCAAATAATTGGACAGTGAGCTTTAGGAGAAGGAGGTCAAACAGCATATTAGTTTGCCTATTATTTTAAGCTTACATTGAAAGGGAATTGATACTTACTAAATTTAAAAAAGTAAAACTTAACAGGCACGGATATATATGTAGATATTCTAATTTTTTGGTGCCACCAAGTGGGGAAATGTTGAATAATGATGTCTTCAGCAAAATGTATCGTATGGACCAGTGAACTGCCTATAGAAGCAGTGACTGCTAAATTGTTTACTATATACCTCTATCCATAAAACTTTAAATATGTCCACCAGGATATTTATGATTATAAATACATATTTACATATTATTATGCTAATCTTTGTACATTTAATGTAAAATATAAACTAATAGGTTAAAGAACATTAAAGTGATAAAGATTCAAATATAGAAATAAAACATTTAATATTTTCTTCTTGTACCCATCAAATGTTGGTTTGCCTCCATGTCTTAGTTCAGGTCAGTATAACAGATGTACCATAGACTGGGTGGCTCAAACAACAAACATTTATTTCTCATGGTTCTAGAGACTGGGAAGTACAACATCAAGGTGTCTGGTGTCTGGTGAGGGCCCTCTTCCTTGATTTGCAGTTGGCTGTCTTCTCATTCTATGCTCATATGATAAAGAGCAGGGAGAGAGAGGAAGCAAGCTCTATTGTGACCCTTCTTATAAGGGCATTAATCTTATTTATAAGGGATTCACCCTCATGACTCAGTTATCTCTTGAAAACTCCACCTACAAATATCACACTGGGGATTAGATTTCAACATACGAATTTTAGGGGAAAACAAACATTCAGTTCATGTTACAACACCTTATGAATCACAGCAGTGGTTCTCAATAATATTTAGAGAAAGAAATTCCCTTTAAAAGTCAAATTTCTCAGCCTATGTGATAGCATATTTCACTGAATATATGCTACCGATTGTAAGGTGCACCGTTACTTTATGTGTCACTATAAGGAAAAATCTGACAAGTTTTTCTTAATCATTTATAATCTTTGTTTTATATTTAGTGAGTGAGATTTGTTGGATTTGTCTGCATTCATAACAAGGAAAATATGAAATGAAAGGCGTTCCTAAAACTTTATATTTGGAGTGTGAGAATTCTATATCACTTTTTGAATTGGTTATTGATGTTCATGTTTTACTATACGACACAGATGGTTTTTGACTTACAGTGGAGTTACATTCTGTTAAATCCATCGTAAGTTGAAAATATTTTCAGTTTGAAAATGCATTTAATACACCTAAACTACTGAATATCATAGCTTAGTTTAGCCTATCTGAACATAATAGCTTAGTTTAGCTTATCTTAAACTTGCTCAGAACACTTACATTAGCTTACAGTTGCACAAAATTATCTAACACCAAGCCTATTTTACAATAAAATATCAAATATTTTCTTATGTAATTTATTGACTACTGTACTGAAAGTAAAAAAGAATGGTCTCATACCATCACAAAGTATGAAAATCCTAAGTTGAACCATTGTGACATGGGAACCAACTGTATTGTCTTTTATTTTTATTGATACATAATAGGTATACACATTTTCCAGGTACATGTGATAGTCTGAGGTGTTCATATAATGTGTAATGATCAAATCAGGGTAATTGGAATATCCATCACCTTAAACATTTATCTTTATGCCAGGAATATCTGAATTATTCTCTTCTAGCTATTTGGAAATATACAATAGATTATTGTTGACTGTAGTCACCCTACTGATCTATTGAACACTAGGTTGTATTTTGTCTATTTAACTGTACTTTTGTACCCATTAATCAAGCCTCTCTTCATCTCCCCTCCCTACTCCCTACCCTTAACGGCCTCTACTCTTTTAGTCATTAGTTGTAGTCACTGTGTTAGGTGAAATAAGCTGGACTCAGAAAGACAAGTTTCACATGTTTTCGCTCATACACAGAAGCTAAAAAAGTGTATTGTCTTTTATGCTATCAAGAGAATTGATGTGCAGCTTTTCTTGTGTGTTCTATTCTTATCTCTGGGATTTTCTTCGAAGCTGCCAACACACCTATCCTGTAAATTTAAGATGTTTTGCTGTTGTTTCTTGTCTTGCCATATAGAAGGGAATCCTTTTGCATATACCTAAGCAGAAAAATGCTTCTCTTTTGGATATCTTCCTTTCTTAAGCTTATGAAGCACTTGACTGTTGCTTTTTAAGAAAATACAGAATTATGCCCATTATTCTAATGAATATTTTCTTTACTACCGATGCATCTTCATTCTCTTTCTCCTGACTTACACATTAACTTTTTGCTTTAATGTCAAATCATATTATCTTTTAAGACATAAGTGGCAATTAAACTCAATAATTGTACCAAGAATGCATGTAATTCAACTGAAGTGACTGTAATGTAACTTGCTGTGACCAAATTTGTGAATGTGCATGTAGCGACAACTATGTCATGGCTTCTGCCTAGCCTTCAATTATATGATGCCTTCAATTTTTAGATGCATCCAAATTTCACTGATATTAAATGTAAGAAAATATATACGTCTTAGACTCAGTGAATACTTAAAAGGAAAGTCTTGAGTACCTGTGTTGTTTCATTAATCATAATAACATGTACATCTTTGAATAATAGATTTCACAAATATGTGGAAGACATTTATTAAGTCTACAGGTAGTATTTAGTGTTGACCCTTTACAATAATCTAAGGCCTGCAGAGTTGGAAACCAGCATTCCAGATAAAGGAGAGAGATATGTAAAGAAAACGTGCCCTTCTAAACTGAGCGGTAAAAGAAGTTATTAGGAATGTAGTTTGTATATATTATTTTAAAACATTTTAGTTTTCAAATACAGTTGGTGATTTATTCTTGGAAGTCAAAATAAATTTGGAGACAATTAGGGCCAACCTATTAATAGAAGCATTTTAAACTATACAATCTCTTTAGTTTTCTGATTTTTTTTTCTGGAAATTCACTAGAGGGCAGTAGTAAGTAATAAAAGTTTTGTGTTTCTGAAAAGGATAGCCTTTTTGTACATTAAAAAAAAAGTCTGAAGTGAAGTTCGTGAAGTTCAAAAGATTGTTGTTTAAAGACCTTAAAAGTTATAATGTTTTATATAAGGTCTATGTCAAGCTTATCATAATCTAAATATTGTAGTTAAATTTCCTGATAATTATTGAAAATGCAGTCCAAAAACAAGCTAAAAGCTTGGTAACCAAACGATGGCACCTTTCTTCTACGTTGTCTTCGGACAATTAAAAATTTAAAAATAGTGTTTTGTTCTGGTCTTATGTTACCGCAAGTTGTTACCAGAAACTTTTTTATTTTATAAAATATTTTAAATTAAGCTATTTAGAAATTCAGTTCAGCTCTTCTAATAAGTATATCAATTCCATTTAAGGAAATAACTTTGTGTGAATTAAGAGCTGTCTCTTCCTAAAAGCTTATTGGTCAATTATTATCTTCTTGGAGAAATTATTTTATTAATTTAATAATAAATGTTTGTTCTTGAAACAAAGGTAGGAGGAAAAAGAATTGGGACTTAGTCATTACATACCAGATAGTCTACTGTAGTTGTTATTAGTCTGGCCTAGAAATCTGTTCAGCCAAGTTTGGCAGATCTAGTGATAAAACAAATGTGCAGATGAATAATGTTAATATACCTATGCGTTATAATTGAGTTATAAGCAAGGGACATTTACAAGTCAGGGAAGGTTTCTCAGACGTATTGTAATTAAACCGAGACCTGAAGGGCATTAACAGTTGTTAATGAAATAAGATGAGAAGGTGGGCATTCTAGATGAGGGCACTACATGGAATAAAATGTGTATGTTGGACAAAGCCTAAAGTAGCATAAAATTGTAGTGTTTTAAGAACTATGAACAATTCAGAAGCATGAGATAAAGTTAACAAGTTGGTAGGGATCAGGTCATGAAGTGCTTTATATGTAGAATTACATTAATTAGAGTCTTTTCCCAATACCAACCAATAATTGTACCTTTCATAAAAAAAAAATAGCAAAACAACTTTTTAAAACAATTTTATATGTTCATATACATATAGAGGTTGGGAACAAGTAGAATTGCTCTGGTTAAAGTAGCAGCAGATTCCTGCATGGCTAGCTGCCTTATCTTCTGTAGTGGCCCTAGTGGCACCTTTCCAGATTCCTAGGAACTCATACCAGAATGCTTTGAAAAATACATTTATTAGTCCTGTAGAATCTTAAAGGATGTTAATTAGAGGAATGACATATATTGACTTGGGTATTAGAGTGAGATCACTTTAGAAACAGTGTAGAAGATGGATTTGTAGAAATTGAGACCAGCAGACCAGTTTAGGATAATTCAGAAGGCCTTGTGTTTGACAGTAGACTGTAAATAAGGGCCATGTTGTTAATACTGACTAGAGCAAAAGGTTCCTTGGGAAACAGTATCGAGTACTGCAGTTAGTGCATTCAGGGAACCTAATCCATCCAACACAGAATAACAAGCATTGAGGACAAATAGGCCTAGATTGGAGGTGGTTGAGGGGACAGGGAAACATACCTGCATATAAGCTGGGCTTAGCAAAATATTGCCATGGCATTTTGTTGTAAAAAGCAACATTCTTTTGGATTATGAAAATAATATGAATGATGTGGTTTGGCTGTCTGTCTCTACCCAAATCTCATGTTGAATTGTGATCCCGAGTGTCGGCGGTGTGGCCTGGTGGGAAGTGATTGGATCATCGGGGTAGTGTCTAATGGTTTAGCACCATCCTCGTAGTACTGTCTTGGGATAGAGTTCTCACGAGATCTGGGTGTTTAAAAATCTGTAGCACCTCCCACTTCACTCTCTTCTTCCTGCTCCAGCAACATATAACGTGCTGGCTTCCCCCTTGCCTTCTGCGACAATTATAAGTTTCCTGAGGTGTCCCTAACCATGCTTCCTGTACAGTTGGTGGAATCGTGAGCCAATTAAACCTCTTTTCTTTATAAATTACCCAGTCTCAGGTAGTTCTTTATAGCAATGTGAGAACGGACTAATACAATGAGTAATGAGAATTGGTAAATAATCATATAATACTATATATTAATCAGAGTCTTAAATTATTCTGTTACTTTTTATCAATAATGTTTAAAGAATATGGAAGTACTAGAATAACCAAATTAAATAGGTTAAAATGATAATAAGGATAGGAAAATCCTATAAGGAAATGTTAAAGGAACTATCAGGTACTTTAGTTCCCATAGGCTTTATTCTTTGTATTTTTCAATGTTTTGAGGATATATAATTTAATATTAAAAATATAAACGAGATGCTTTTAATTTTAAAAAATATATTTAGAGGGTGCAAGTGCAGTTTTCTGACATGCATATATTGCATTGTGGTGAAGTCTAGGCTTTTAGTGTAGCCATCACCCAAATTGTGAATGTTGTACCCAGTAGGTAACTTTTCAACTTTACAATATACATTTTAAACCCAATTATATATTTTTCCTTTTATATTTCACCAAAGTATACATTTTGAAAGTATACATTTGATAAAAATTGAGGTAATTAGAGGGAAATTACTCTACAGGTTGAGTATCCCTCCCTAATCTGAAAATCCAAAATCTGAAAGCTTTCAAAATTTGAAACTTTGAGCTCAAAAGAAATGTTCCTTGGAACACTTTTAAAAATTATTTTTAATTTTCGTGGGTACGTAGTAGCTGTATAGATGGAGTACATATTTTGGTATAGGCATGCAATGCATAATAATCACATCATGGCAAATTCGGTATCTCTTCTGTCAAGCATTTATATACTTTGTGTTACAAACAGTCCAATTATATTCTTTTAGTTACTTAATTTAATTTAATTATTTACTTTTGAGACAGAGTTTCACTCTGTTACCAGGCTGGAGTGCAGTGGCGCGATCTCAACTCCCTGCAACCTCCACTACCCGGGTTCAAGAAATTCCGTCTCCTGCCTCAGCCTCCCGAGTAGCTGGGACAACAGGTGCTTGCCACCACACCCGGCTCATTTTTTGCATTTTTAGTAGAGATGGGATTTCACCATGTTGACCAGGCTGTTCTCAAACTCCTAACCTCAAGTGATCCACTCGCCTCAGCCTCCCAAAGTGTTGGGATTACAGGCATGTGCCACCTTGCCCAGCCAGTTATTTTAAAATGTACAACGAAATTATTATTGACTATAGTTCACCTGTTGTGCTTTCAAATACTGGGTCTTACTCATTTTTTTTTTTTTTTTGTACCTAGTAACCATCCTTACCTGCCTCCCACTGCCTCACTACCCTTCCCAGCCTCTAGTAACCATCCTTCAATTCTCTGTTTCCACGAGTTCAATTGTTTTGATTTTTAGATCCTACAAATAAGTCAGAACATGTGATGTTTGTCTTTCTGTGCCTAGTTTATTTCACTTAGCATAATGACCTCCAGTTCTATCCATGCTGTTGCAAATGACAGAATCTTACTCTTCTTATGGCTGAATAGTACTCCATTGTATATATGTACCACATTTTCTTTATCCATTCATCTGTTGATGGACACTTAGGTTGTTTCCAAATCTTGGCTGTTGTAAACAGTGCTGCAACAAACATGGGAGTGCAGATATCTCTTTGATATATGGATCTCCTTTCTTTTGAGTATGTGCCAAATAGTGGGATTGCTAGATCATATAGTAGCTCTATTTTTAGT
This sequence comes from Homo sapiens, assembly GCF_000001405.40. Lineage (NCBI taxonomy): Eukaryota > Metazoa > Chordata > Mammalia > Primates > Hominidae > Homo > Homo sapiens. Next base: position 69,726,331 of record NC_000006.12, on the reverse strand, counting down.
TTTTTGAGGAACCTCCAAACTATTCTCTGTAGTGGTTGTACTAATTTACATTCCCACCAACAGTGTACAAGGGTTCCCTTTTCTCCACATCTTCACCAGCATTTGTTGTTGCCTGACTTTTAGATAAAAGCCCTTTTAATCAGAGTGAAATGATAATCTCAGTTTTGATTTGCATTTCTCCGATGATCAGTGATGTTGAGCACCTTTTCATTTGTCTGTCATTTGTATGTCTATTTTAAGAAATGTTTATACCAATCTTTGGCCCACTTTTTAATATGGTTATTAGGCTTTTTTCTGTAGAGTTGTTTGAGCTCCTTATATATTTTGGTTATTAATCACTTGTCATATGGTAGTTTGCAAATATTTTCTCCCATTCTGTGCCTTGTCTCCTAATTGTGTTGACTGTTCCCTTTACTGTGCAGAAGCTTTTTAGCTTGATGTAATCCCATTTGTCATTTTTTGCTTTGGTTGCCTGTACTTCTAAGGTATTACTTAAGAAGCTTTATCCAGACCAATGTCCTGGAGAATTTCTCCAATGTTTTCTTGAAGTCGTTTCATAGTATGAGGTCTTTGATCTTAGGTCTTCAATTCATTTTGATTTGATTTTTGTATGTGGCAAGAGATAGGGGTCTAGATTCATTCTTCTACATATGGATATCCAGTTTCCCTGGCACTGTTTATTGAAGAAGCCGTCTTTTCCTCAATGCATGTTCTTGGCACCTTTGTCAAGAATGAGTTTACCATAGGTGTGTAGATTTGTTTGTGGGTTCTCTATTCTGTTCCATTGGTCCGTGTGTCTGTTTTTATGCCAGTACCATGCTGTTTTAGTTACTATAGCTCTGTAATAGAATTTAAAGTCAGGTAATATGATTCCTCCAGTTTTGTTCTTTTTGCTCAGGATAGCTTTGGTATTCTGGGTCTTTGGGATTCTGTATACACTTTAGGTGTGTGTTTTGTGTGTGTGTGTGTGTGTGTGTGTGTGTGTGTGTGTGAAGATTGTCATTGCTATTTCGATAGGGATTGCATTGAATCTGTAGGTTGCTTTGAGTAGTATGGACATTTTAACAATATTGACTCTTCCAATCCATGAACATGGAATATTTCTTCATTTTTTTGGTGTCTTCCTCATTCATCAGTATTTTATAGTTTTCATTGCAGTGATCTTTCACTTTTTTGGTTAAGTTAATTCCTAGTTATTTAATTTTATTTGGGGCTATTGTAAATGGGCTTACTTTTTTAAATTTATTTTTCTGATTGTTCACTGTTGGCATATAGAAATGCTACTGATTTTTTGTATGTTGATTTTGTATCCTGCAACTTTACTGAATTTGCTTGTCAGTTATAATAGTTTTTTGGTGGAGTCTTTAAGTTTTTCCAAATATAAAATTATATCATTGCAAACAAAGGTAGTTTGACTTTTTCCTTTCCAGTTTATATGCCCTTTCTTTCTTTGTCTTGTCTGATTGCCCCAGCTAGGACTTTCATGTTGAATAGCAGTGTTGAAAGTGAGCATCCTTGTCTTGCTCCAGAACTAAGAAGAAAGGCTTTCAGTTTTTCACCATTCAATGTGATACTAGCTGTGGACCTCACATATATGGCTTTTATTACATTGAGGTATATTCCTTCTATACTCAGTTTTTTGAGGGTTTTTATCTTGAAAGGATGTTGAACATTATCAAATGCTTTTTCAGCATCAATTGAAATGATCATGTGGTTTTCATCCTTCATTCTCTTGATATGATGTATTACAACGATTGATTAGAAAGATCATTCATTATGACCAAGTGGGATTTATCCCTGAGGTGCAAGGGATGGTTCAACAAATACAAATCAAATGAACCATCCCTTGCATCTCAGGGATAAATCCCACTTGGTCATAATGAATGATCTTTCTGATGTTGAATTTGGTTTGCTAATATATGGTAGGGGTTTTTGTATGAATATTCATGAATATTGGCCTGTAGTGTTTTTTTTTTTTTTTTTAAATGTGTCTTTGGTTTTGGTATCAGGGTCTTATAGAATGAAACTAGAACTATTTCCTCCTCCTCCGTATTTTGGAGCAGTTTGAGTAGGACTGATATTAGTTCTTCATTAAATGTTTGATAGAATTCGGCAGTGGATCAGCAGTAGGTCCTGGGCTTTCCTTTATTGGGAGGCTTTTAATTACAGTTTTGATCTTGTTACTCGTTACTTATTACTGGTCTGTTCAGGATTTGGATTTCTTCATGGTTCAAGTTTGGTAGGTTGTATGTGTCTATGAATTTATCCATTTCTTTTATATTTTCCAATTTGTTGGCATATAATTAGTTGTTCATAGTAGCCACTAATGATCCTTTGAATTTCTGTGGTATCAGTTGTAATGTTTCCATTTTCATCTTTTATTTTATTTATTTGGGTTCTGTCTTTTTCTTAGTCTGGCTAAAGGTTTGTCAATTTTTTCTTTTTAAAAAACCAACTTTTTGTTTCATCTATCTTTTTTATTGTTTTATTCCAAATTCATTTATTTCTGCTCTGATCTTTATTTCTTTCCTTCTCCTAATTTTGGGTATGGTTTTTTCTTTATTTTTCATTTCTTTAAAATGCGTCATTACAGTATTTGTTTGAAGTTTTTCTTCTTTTTTGATTTAGGCACTTAGAGCTGTAATTTTCCCTCTTACTGCTACTTTCGCTGTATCCTGTAGGTTTTGGTATGTTGTATTTCCATTATCATTTGTTTCCAGAACTCTTTCAATTTCTTTTTTAATTTCTTCATTGACCCACTGGTCATTTAGGAGCATATTGTTTAATTTCCATGTGTTTGTATAGTTCTCTAAATTCCTTTTGTTACTGATTTGTAGCTTTGTTCCATTGTGGTCAGAGAAGATGCTTGATATTATTTCAATTTTTGTGAATGTGTTAAGATTTGTTTTATAACCTAACATATGGTTTATCCTTGGGAATGATCCATGTGCTAAGGAAAAGAATATGTATTCCACAGACACTGGATGAAATGTTCTTTAAATGTCTATTAGGTCCATTTATTTTGTAGTGCAGGTTAAGTCTGATGTTTCTTTGCTGATTTTCTGTCTGAGAGATCTGTCCAGTACTGAAATTGGGGTGTTGAAGTCTCCATTGTTAATGTATTGGGGTCTGTCTCTCTAACTCTAATAATATTTGCTTTATATATCTGGGTGCTCCAGTGTTGGGTGCATTTATAATTGTTATATCCTCTTGCTGAATTGACCCCCTTATCACTATATAATGATCTTCTTTGTCTTTTCATACAGTTTTTTGCCTTGAAATCTATGTTCCCCAATATAAACATAGTTACTTTTGTTCTTTTTTTGTTGCCATTGGCATGGAATATCTTTTTCCATTCCAGTCTGTATGTCTTTGTAGGTGAAATGTATTTCTTGTAGGCAACAGATCAATGGGTCTTGGATTTCTTATCCATTCAATCAGTCTATGTCTTTTGATTGGAGAGTTTAGTCCATTTACATTCAGTGTTGTTACTGATACGTAAGGACTTCTGCCATTTTGTTATTTATATTCTGGTTATTTTACGATCCTCCCTTCTTTCCTTCTTTCTTGTCTTCCTTTTAGTGAAGGTGATTTTGTCTGGTGGTATGCTTTAATGTCTTGCCTTTATGTTTTTAAGTATTCGTTGTATGTTATTTAATTTGAGGTTACCACAAGGCTTGCGTATGCTATTTTATAACCCATTATTTTAAACTGATGACAACTTAACACTGACTACATATACAAACACACAAAAAGAAAACAAATAGAAGCGTGACATTTTAACTTTATCCTCCTGCTTTTAAACTTTTTGTTGTTTCTCTTTACGTCTCATTGTACTGCCTGTGTCTTGAAAAGTTTTTTTTTTTTTTGATTGGTTCATCATTTAGTTTTCTACTTAAGACAAGACTAGTTACACACCACCATTGTAGTGTTATACTATTCTTTGTTTTTCTGTGTGCTTACTGTTCCAGTGAATTTTGTACCTTCACATGATTTCCTCTTGCTCATTAATATCCTTTTGTTTCAGATTGAAGAACTCCCTTTAGCCATTTCTTGCAGGGCAGGTCTGGTGTTAATGAAGTCTCTTAGCTTTTGTTTCTCTGGGAAGATCTTTATCTTTCATACTTGAAGGATATTTTCACTGGATATACTATTCTAGGGTAAAATTTTTCTATCTTCAGCACTTTAAGTATGTCATGCTGTTCTTTGCTGGCCTGTAAGGTTTCTACTGAGATGCTGTCTGGGAGCCAGGAATTGGAGTAAAAACCTTAGCAGTTTACCTGATGATCTGTGGCTAAGCTGACATTCACACCACCACAATACAAAGTCCTACTTGCTCTTCCCTCCCCTTTCCACAGGCAGAGGAGTCTCTCCCTGTGGCCACCATCGACACTGTTCCATGGGGTTCCACCAGGCCACTGCTAATGTTCACTTAAAGCCCAAGGGCTCTTCTGACAGCTTGTGGTGAATGCTGCCAGGCCTGAGACTCAGCCTGCAGGGCAATGGGCTCCCTTCTGGACAGGGCATGTCTAAAAATGCTGTCCTCTAAGAGTCTAGACCTTGACTTGGGGACCTCAAGAGTCTGCTTGTTGCTCTGCCTTACTGTGGCTGAGCTGGTACCTGAGGTGCAAGACAAAGTCCCCTTTACTTTTCTCAGACAGAAGGAGTCTTTTACCACAGCCACCATAGCTGGGAATGTGCTGGATCACCCCTGAAGCCAGCATGTCCCAGAGTCCAAGGCCCACAATGTGCTTGGTAGATAACACTGCTGGTTATTGAGGGACCAGGGGCTCTTTAGTCAGCAGGTAATCAATCCTGACTACCCTTCAAGGCAGCAGATCCACTTTTGGTCCAAGGTGTGTCTAGAAATGTCATCTGTGAGCTAGGCCCTGGAATGGGGGCCTGACGACTCTGGCACAGTATCCTGTTGTGGCCATGCTGGTATCCAAGACGCAAAACAAAGTTCTCTTTACTCTTCCCTCTCCTTTCCTCAGGCCAAAGGAAAGAGTCACCTTTGTTGAGGTGAGCTGCACTTCATGGGGTTGGGAGAGGAATGGTGCAAGCACTCCCTTAGCTGTTGTCTCCCTGGGTCACATGCCACCCTAGTCCACTGTAAGCCCAGCCTAGCACTAGGAGTTGCCTAGGAATTGCAGTCCTTGTTTCCTAGACTGCCTTTTGAGTTTACCTAGGATTCCAGAGCATTTTGCCCACAGTGGCAAGGCTTGCTGAGAAACTCCAGTTCCAACCACTGGGATGAGTGATTCCCCTCTGGCTGGTGTTGGTGCAAATGTTCCTTCTATGCATGGGCACTAGCTGAGCCCAGTATGGCTCTATTGTCAACGGTGATAGGACAGCACTGAGTTCAGTGTAAAGTCCCCTTAGTCACCACTGTGCTGTCCCTCCTGAAAGCGAAAAGATTCTCTTTCCATGGTGCCTCATGGCTGCCGCTGGGGGATGGCGGAGGGGTGGCATTGGTGATTCAAGACTGTCTCTCCTGACCTCCTCAATGCCTCTTTTAGTAATATGAAGTTAAAACCAGGTACTGTGATTGCTTACTGGATTTTTGGTTCTTGTGACAGTACTTTTCTGTGTGTAGATATTAAAATGTGGTTTTCCAGTGAGGAAGATGAATGGTGTAGGCTTCTATTCCACCATCTTGTTTCATCTCTCTTGGAGCATTTCAGATGTTGGATTTTCAGATTAGGGATGCTCAATATACCAAATATACCAAAAGTCCAAAAAATATACCAAATATACCAAAATATACCAAATATACCAAATATACCAAAAGTCCAAAAAATTCTGAAATCCAAAACACTTCTAGTCCCAGCCATTTAAGATGAGGGATACTTAAAGTGTATGGTATCCAAATTACATTTTCATCTAATAGTAACAGAATCTTCTTCCACCCCGTCCTTTTTTGGGATAAAAGGGAAATAATGAGAATACTAACTTATGTTTTAATAATATTTAAAGTGCAAGGTTTTTTAAGTGTTTCTCCTTTGGAAATACAAGGATTTGGATATTGGGTAATAATTTCAGCTAGGTAAGTATCTAAATACAACGTACTGTAGAGTTGATATTACATGATAGAACTAGTTGATTTCAGGATAATTTTTATTCATGTTTTTTGTTCTTCTCCCTTAATTAAAAAAAAAGCTGATTTGTTAGAATTTATGCTTTGCTATTTGAATTGTGGTTTAAGCAATGTTTAATCATTGCATAAAAGAGATTTAGTGAAGAATATTAGAATATTAAACTAATTAAAATTAACACTAAAGGTATCTTAAGTCATTCTTGGAGTTGACAGCTAGGTAGCAGAGAGCATGAGAAAAAGCATTCAGGATCACCCAGGGTATTTTGGTGTTTGGGGTCATGCCTAAAACGTGGCATTTATCACTTCTGCTCACATTCATTGTCCTGAACTCAATCTCATGGCCCATCTAACAGGGGGCACGGGGTAAAGTGTGCCAGAAGGAAAGTGAAAAACATTTAAGTACATAATGTAGTATCCACTTCAGAGTTTGTTGCTGCCACCAGGAGGTGATAGTTGTCAGTGTTTCTGCTAAGGAAATATGGTCAGTAATGATTCTGAATAATGGTTATGTAGCAGATGCCATTAAGTATTATTAATGATTATATTAAAAAGCTGTCATTTGGGACTGGAATATGAAATTGGGTAGTATATATAATAACATGTTTATTCTTAATGCTGATTAATAAGTTAAAATTACTTGGAAAATATTTAAAATACTTAGCAAAAAGATTGGTTATAAATATTTAGAACTTTTAAATAAACTTTATAATGTAGATAATTGATATGCTAATCAAATAACATGTATATATTAAAATACTTATTTTACCAAAGGTTTACTATATATACTTGGAGAAAATTGTTTTTTATAGAAAATCATTTTTTTAAATTTTTTTACTAATTTATAGTATCTTAACCTTCGATTAGTCTGAATTTGTAATTATTACTTTGATATAAAGTATTGTACAGTAAATTTACAGTAAATTTGCAACTTAACCTTTGAGGAATAGTATTATAAATTTGACTCTGTTTAATGCAAAATAAACGGGAGAATTATGAGACAATATAATGTTCACTCCCATATACCATGTTTTCAGTGACTGTACTCTTTCACAACTGCTGACTCTTATGACTTTAAAAGACATTTTTAACCTAAAATTGTGTATAATATGTTTGAAACATTATTTCTAAAACATTTCAATTGTTTTTCTTTTAGGCCTATGGCATGTCTGCGTTACCTTTAAATCTGATAAAAGGCACTAGAAGCGCTGCTTATGAACGTTTGGAAAACACTGAAGACATTGAAGAAGTAGAACAACACATTCAAACGATTAAATCAAAAGTGAGTTGATGTTTTGGTGTAATTGGGAAGCATAAAACTACTTTGTCTTAGAGCTGCTTTCTGATATGACTTAGACATTGTCAACCCCATAACTTTTTACATTGTTTGAATTTTTTGCAGCATATCTGGTACAGTTTGACTGTGTCCTCACTTAAATCTTATCTTGAATTGTAGTTCCAATAATCCCCCGTGTTGTGGGAGGGACCCAGTGGGAGGTAATTGAGTCATGGGGGCAGTTACCCTCATGGTGTTCTCATGATAGTGAGTGAGTTCTCATGAGGTTTGATGGCTTTATAAGGAGGCTTTCCCCCTTTGGCACTTCTCCTTCCTGCCGCCACATGAAGAAGGACGTGTTTGCTTACCCTTCTGCTATGATTGTAAGTTTCCTGAGGCCTCGCAGCCCTGCGGAACTGTGAGTCAATCAAACCTCTTTCCTTTATAAAGTACCCAGTCTCGAGTAGTTCTTTATAGCAGCATAAGAATGGACTAATACAGTACCCTTACAAAACCATGTCTATATTTTTAAAAATTTGTCTTCTGTGTAATGTAGGACACTAGCAATTTGAGAATTTCTATCATTGTTCTAACACTTAAAAAACAGAAGTTTTTCTTATGTATGATCAAGAACTTACTAGTTCTCAGGTATCGTCGTTTATAATATTATATTTTACTATAATATTTATGTTCAAGTTTTATTTACTAGTTGAATAAGCTAAAGATTACATGTAACCCCTTGCCAATTAAATGTACTTCTAAAAATACTGTAAAAAGTTTTTCTTCCTCTGTCGTCTTCAAGTAACAGATAAATCTTACTCAAAGATCATGGTAAAAAAATAGCAAGTCCTCTAAATTTTTCTCCTAAGCTAGTATGATTCTGATAAATAAACCAGACAATAACAGCACACAAAAAAGAAAACCATATACCGGCTTTCTTATGAAAGTAGAAGCAAATATTTTAATACAAATAAAATATAAGTGGCTAGGTACGTACTGGTGGCTCACACCTGTAGTCCCAGATTGCTTGAGCTTAGGATTTTGGTACCAGCTTGGGCAATATGGCAAAACCCCATCTCTACAAAAAAAATACAAAAACTTAGCTAGGTGTACTGGCATGCCTATAGTCCCAACTACTTGGGAGACTGAGTTGGGACGATCACTTGAGCCCAGGAAGTTGCGGCTGCAGTGATCCATGATCGTGCCGCTGCACTCCAGCCTATCTGGATGATGGAGCAAGACCCTGTTTAAAAACAAACAAACAAACAAAAAGTAGCAATTCAAAACCTGTGCTATAATAAGAGAATATTTCATAATCATCAGATTAGGTTTATCTCAGAAATGCAAACATGATACATCAGAAAATACATTAAAGTAGTTTAATATATTGAGATTAAATGTGAAATATAAACATCTTAGTAGATGTCAGAGTATTTGCTAAAAGTTAATTTGTAGTTACATTTTTTTAAAAAGTCTTTTCAAAATAAAGATAAGAAAATATGGAAAGGAAGCCTCTAATGAGCATAATACTTAATAGTGAAAGAATAGAAACATTCCCATTAACGTCAAATATAGGAGTAATGTTAGTATCCTTGTTACTTTTAGCATATATCTGGCAATGTGAGTCAGATAAGAAATAATTTAGAATTTACATATAAGCATGGAGAGGAGGGGGAAAAAGGAAAATAACTTTTTTGTTGGCAAATATCATCTACCATGATAATCTAAAATAATCAACTGACAAACTAGTAGAACTAATAAGAGTTTATCACAGTGCCTAGATGTAAACATAAAAATCATTAATTAGTTGGAAGATGTAATACAAAATAATCCCATTCACAATAGCCACAAACTGTAAAATAATAATATATGTCGAGAACAACTCAATATATTTTTTAAAAATTCTTTGGACCTCTTTTAAATTTTCATCTGTGTCAAATTTTTATCAGAATTTGGGGATTAGATAGACTGTTTGTGAGTATATAAAATATACAACTTTTTAAAGAAAATTGAATGTTGTGACATGTGCCTGTACATATAAATACATATGTATTTTAATATTTAAAATTAATTAATAATTAAATATTTATTTAATAATTAAAGTTTAATCTAACAGTTTACCTCTAGGAAATTATCCTGCTGAATTGTATGTATATGTTTGTACCCAGGTATGTAAGAATGTTTATGGCACATTGTTAATGGCCCTCAACAAAAATTTAAAAAAGAAATAATCTGCATGTTCAAAATAAGTTGTTAAATCTAGATACCATCTTGTAATGTGCAATGATGAAAAGGAATGAGATATATTTATAAATCTATATGTAGCTTGAAGAATTATGTCATGTAAAATCAGACTATCTCAGTTCAAAATCTAGCTCTACTGATTGTGCACATAACATCTGTAGGCCTTTTTTTCTCATTTAATAAATGAATATAATACTATTATCAGCCTCAAAGAGTTATTCAGAAGATTTATGAAAAATAAATATAAAAAGAGAAGACCAGTTTTATGCACAAGAAAGGTGCTCAAGACACTTCTCAAAAGGAGACATACATGTGGCCAAAAAATCATATGAAAAAAGCTCAACATCACTGACCATTAGAGAAATGCAAATAAAAACCACAATGAGATACCATCTCATACCAGTCAGAATGGCTGTTATTAAAAAGTCAAAAAATAACAGATGCCAGCAAGGTTGCTGAGAAAAGAGAAGGCTTAAACACTGTTGGTAGAAGTGCAAATTAGTTCAACCATTGTGGAAAGTAGTATGGTGATTCCACAAAGAACTAAAAGTAGGACTACCATCCAACCCCAGCAATCCTATTAGAGGGTATATACCCAGAGGAATATAAAGCATTCTGCGATAAAGACACATGCACACAAATGTTCACTGCAGCACTATTCACAATAGCAAAGACATGGAATCAACCTAAATGCTCATCAATGGTAGACTGCATAAAGAAAATGTGTTACATATACACCATGGAATAGTATGTAGCCATAAAAAATGAGATCATGTCCCTTGCAGGGACATGGAGGGAGCTGGAGGCCATTATCCTTAGCAAACTAACACATGAACAGAAAATCTAATACTGCATGTTCTCACAAATGGAAGCTAAGTGATGAGAACACATGGACACATAGAGGGGAACAGTGCATACTAGGGCCCACTGGAGGGCAGAGGGTGGAAGGAGGGAGAAGATCAGGAAAAATTACACATATAATAAGACATCGTAAATACATTTGTATATGTGTACGTGTGTGTGTGTGTGTAAATAGAAAATTTGTTGAAGGATATTTAACTGCTTAACAGTAAAAACCATAGGAAAGGGGAATGGTAATATGGTAATTGGAGACAGACAGTGTGAAGGGAAGCTTTCATGTTTTACTTTTTTTCTTAACCAGGGGTTTGTTATTCCCTTTAACTACATTTTAACCTGTATAACTACATTTTTTCTTTCAAATGAGGTAGATGTTCACTGCTGAGTTTACATCTTAGTATTTGTTTCTCTGATCAAAATTATTCTTATATTCGTTTAGTCAATTGGCAATGCAGAATGGAAATTCATCCCTCATTCCACTGAAGCATTCACCAAGTAGGCAGATAACTTGGGTTTGTTTCAAGTGGATCCTTTAATCAGTTTACTATTTTTTTTTCTAAAATAGTGAACGCCAGCATTGAGACAAAATTACCTCATTTGTAGTATCCTTTTGATACGATAATGGAAATTTTAGGGGAAATTGTTATGGTTAAGATATAAAGTGCCGAATCCTTCTCATACCACACACTTGAAGTATTGTTACCTGGATTTATCTTCCAGAAGGGAGTGTTCATTTTATTACTCTGATCTTCAGAAAATCCCTCTTAGTTTTCGTTTTCTGGGATCCAGTGATAATACCCAATGTACTTAGAGGAATGGAATATAGTCTGTAGTATGTAATGTGTGGTCTCTGGACTAGTAGCATCTGCATCTCCTGGAAATTTGGTAGAAATTCAAATTCTAGGCTCCACCCAAGACCTACAAAATCATATCCTCTGGGGATAGGGCCTAGATATATGTATTTAACAAACTTTCCAAGTGATTCTTATGCATGAAGTTTGACAAGCAACAAGATAAGTCGTGGGAGAGGATGATTGGTTCCAGAAGATCATAGTGATGCCGATATGTAAAGAGATTGTTGTAACTGTGTAAATCTCTTTATTAAAGGTTACATAGGTTTTCTCTGCATTATAGTTATGATTTCAAATTGAGGCTGCACTAGGATACATGGGAAGAGCAATATGTTGTGTATCTGCTAGGAACCTATTTAAACCTTAATAGGAATATTAAAGACATTCTGATACCTAATATATCTACACTTTAAAAATGTAATCCTATACAAATATTTTTCTTGTTCCTGCTGATAAAAACAATTTTATATTTTACCTTTTCTGTATTTAGTAGTTGTTTTATTTTTGTACCCAATTGAAGATAGGAGCAGGAGAGTTCAGTGGGAAAGTGTATCTATGAGATATGATGAGAAAGGTACTGCTCATGGTTACAGAAAGTGTCGCGTAAAAATAGATGGAAATTATCTGTCAGATAGGTTGGCCAAAGAAAGCTTGACTCATTTGCCAAAGTACTTGGAAAACAAGGAAGTATCAGTTCTTAGCAATTGTTACAAAAACCTCTGTATGCCATCTGTGCTTGTGTTGCTTCATTCTGCTAGCATTTGAATTGGGCTGAGAAGCATCAGTTCAGGTAACATAACCACTTGACTAAAGAGAGGGAAGGGGCAGAGCCAAATATATTGAAATAAGTGATACAGTGAGTTTGGAGAGGAGGGAGAATCATTGAGCAAAGTACATAGTAGTTAACACTTCTTATCAAACATACTTTTTGTGGAATGTTTTTACAAATGGTTATCTCTCTCCACATAACTCTACCATGTATTGGGATCAAGAGGAAGGTAGGCATAAATGTACACACATCCACATTTTTATGCTGACCTTGGTTATCCTATGTTTATTGTCATATTGCAGTTGTCAGGTTTTTTTTAGTTTGTAAATTTGCCTAAAGAGTGTCCATCCTGAAAAGGTTTTGTTGCCTGATCTGCTAAATCTGCTGGGTACTTTATTAAGATGTTAATGGTAAAACTTTTATTTTGTTCTGTTATTTGCAGAGCAAAGATGGTCGACCTTTGCCAGCAAGGGATAAACGCGCCTTAAAACAATTTGAAGAAAGGTTACGAACACTTAAGAAGAGAGAGAGGCATTTAGAATTCATTGAAAACAGCTGGTGGACAAAATTTTGTGGCGCTCTGCGTCCCCTGAAGGTAAATGAAGTTTTTAAAAATTATGCTGTCACTCTTCCCCAAGTTTATGTAGTACCTCTTGGAGAGATTGAGCTCTCCTTTTGAGGCATTACAGCATGGTACTTAAAATGGATTTGGGGGTTTAATCTGGTTTTAAATCACAGCTCTCTTTGGTAGTTTGGGTAAGGTGCATAACCTTTCTGAGCAATGTATTACAACAATTGTTGGGAAATTAAAATAAAAATATAGATAAGTATTGCAATATGCTGCTAGCATATTCTTCAAGTTTATACTTTCCTATAAATTGATCTGGGACTTAGAGCTTAGGAGCCTATGCTTTCTCCTAGTAGATTTACAGATTCAGGTCTTATGTTAAGTGTTTAGTCTATTTTGATTTGGTTTTTGTGTATGGTGTAAAATAAGGGCCTAGTTTCATTCTGTTGGCGTGTTCATTTTTTCCAGCACTATGTTGGATTGACTATCCTTTCCTTAGTATGTATTCATGGTACGCTTATCAAAAATAAATTGACTAGGTTTGTGGATTTATTTCTAGGCTCTCTATTCTTTTCTATTGGTGTACATTTTTGTTTTCATGCTTTACCATACTGGTGTTTCCTCCCACTTTTATGGAGATGCAATTGTTTCTTTTAAAACTGCACATAGTTAATTAATGCAATTTGGTGAGTTTAAATATACATATTCATTTATGTTGCTATCACCACATTCTGGGTAATGGGCATATCCATCACCTCCAAAACTTTCTATGTTTTCCTTTGTTGCTGTTGTTGATTTGTTAACATTTAAAATGAGATCCATTCTTTCTAAGATTTTATATGTACCACATATTATTGTTGACTGTAGGCCCTCTCATGGCAGACCTCTGGAACTTATTCATCTTGTGTAACTGCCTCCCCTTAGATGACAACTCTTTTTCTCTCTTTTCTGCATTCCCTGGTAACTACTATTCTAATTTCTATATCTATACTTTTTCCTATTTCAGGTGTCTCACATAAGAATTGTGCAGTGTCTTTCTGTGCCTGACTTATTTCACTTAGCATAATGTCTTTCAGGCACATCCATGTTGTCACAAATAAGAGGATTCTCTTATTTTTTAAAAGGCTGAATAATGTTCCAATTATGTATGTGTGACATTTTCTTTATGAATTTATCTATTTGTATGGGTTGTTAAAACTGTGAGAAACAAAATGACTTTAAAAAAAAAAAACATAGGAACTCTGACAGTAATAGAATTTGCCTCATTGTTAGATTATGTTTCTGAAAGTATGTTAAAGATATTATTTGACATGGAAAATTATTATTTTCTTTTTTTGGAAACCATTGTTTGCCAGCCTTGAATTCTTGGGACTATGGTACTTAAACCTAATTACCTAGAATGAATTAAGATCACTTTAATATGGCTGAGACTAAAAAGTAACAAAAACTGTTGGCCACAGACTTCCAAATATGCTCATTGTATATCTGGAAGCATTTCAAACACCAGACCTTTGTATACAATAGCACACAAGTTGTAATTCAGAAAATTCAGTCAGTGGACTAACTTGAAGTTAGGCAGAATGAAGCTGGAAAGTGGGTTTGTGCTAAATTTTAAAAGAAGTGGTTCAACATGGACAGACAGAGGGGAACAACACACTCTGGGGCCTTTCAGAGGGTGGAGGGTGGGAGGAAGGAGAGGATCGGGTAGAATAACTAATGGGTTCCTTGCTTAGTACCTGGGTGATGAAATAATCTGTACAACAACCCCCATGACGCAAGTTTACCTATGTAGCAAACCTGCATTTGTACCCGTGAACTTAAATGTTAAAAAAAAGAAAAAGAAATGGTTCAAAGAACCATTCAAAGATGAGTCAGTCAGGTTCAATTTGGGTGCTGCTTTCTCCACCTTTTATAATTAGAAAGAAATGCACTAACTGCTCACCCTAAAAAGCGCCTGGTTTGAAAGAGATTTTTAAAAATATACCATAATCAGTTAATTTTTCTATATAATCACTTTTTAAATCTTCTGTTAGAATAAATTTTTAAAAAATTCATCCCAGTTTTTTTTACCCCAAGGTGATTTGTCTTCATAGCACTGAAAGTATGATGAAACTCTCTCCAGCTTTATTTTAATCCTAAATTGTTTTTAGGTTTTTATAAATATTTATAATCTGGTCTCTAACATCAGCTGCCTTCTTTTATATATGCTATGTTCCATTTCACCAAACATATGTTTAGAAGGATTTTCAAATCAACTTTACTAAGTGTACAGACTGGTTTTGCCCAATATAGATAGATAGGGCATCCACATCACTCGAAAAATCTACCTCATGCCCTCTCTTGCTCCCCTGAGCTCAGACTTTAGGTAATTATTGATGTCCTTTCTATCATTAGAGGTCAGTTTTATGTGTTCTGGAATTTTAAATAAATGGAATCATAGAGTGTACAATCTTTTGTCTGATGGCTTCTTTGGCATGGCACAGTTTTTGAGATTTGCTCATGTTATTATTTAATACTATTTTTTTGCCCAGTGGTTTATTCAGTTTTATTGTTCGGTGGTATTACAGTGTGTGTCTGTATCACAATTTGTTTATTCACTCACCCTTGTTGGTGGAAATTTGGGTTGTTTCTGGTTTGAGACTATAATGAATAATGCTAATATGAACACTTTTGTACAAACCTTTGTGTAGATGTGCTTTCATTCATTTCTTTTGGATAAATACTTGAGTAGAATTTTTGGATCTAACGTTTAATATGTTTATAAGAAACTGCCGAAGTTGTTTTCCAAAAGGGTTACAACCGTTTTGCATTCCCACAGCAATAAGAGATTGCCCATTGTTTCACATTCTTGTCAACTCTTATGTAGTGTCTGTAAGAGTTATTCTTATGAATATGCAGTAGCATCTCACAGTTTTGCTTTGCATTTCATTGGTGACTAAATGATATTTAGCATCTTTTTGTATGCTTATTGGCTATTTTCTGTAAAATGTGTGTTTAAATCTCTTGGCCATTTTCTAAATTAGGGTTTTCTATTATGAGTGAGATACAAGCGTTCATTATATAGTCTGGATCTAGCACTTTGTCACATATATGTATTGTATCGTCTCCTAGTTCGTGGCAAGTTTTCTTTATGTTTTTGGTTTCTTAACTGTAATTCAGATGTTTCTTAAATTTTGATGAATATTAATTTATATGTCTATTTTTGGTTCATATTTTTGTGTCCTCAGAAATGTTTGTCTATCCTAAGGTAAGAAACATTTTCTTCTAGAAATTTTGTAGATTTACATCTTATGCTTGGGATCATGACCCCATTTAAGTTACTTTTGTGCTATGGTATGACTTAAGGGTTAAGGTTCATTTTATTTTCTATGTGGATATCCAATTGTTCCAGCATAATTTTTTTTTCAAGACTATCCTTTGCTCATTGGCTTTCCTTGGAAGTTTTGTCAAATAAATTGATTGTAGTGTAAGTGTGGGTCTATTTCTGGAATCTCCATTCTACTCATTGATCTATATATGTCTTTATGCTAATACTTGGTTAATAGAGCTTTATAATCTGCCATGAAGTTAGGTAGTATAAATTATTCAGTTTTATTTTCCTTTTTCAAAATCATTTTGGCTTTGCCAAATCCTTTGCATTTTCATATAAATTTAAGAATCAATTTATAATTCCACAAAACATCCACTAGGATATCTATTGGGATTACTTTCACTCTTATAGATAAATTTGGGGGAGAATTGATATATTCTATCCATGAACATGATATCTATTTATTTACATCTTAAATTTCTCTCAGGAATGTTTTGTAGTGTTCAAAGTAGAGGTCTTAAAAATATCTTGATAAATTTACCTCTAAGTATTTTTTATAGTCTTGCAAATTATGTTGTTTAATTTCAGTTTTTAATATTTGTTGTTAGTATGTAGAAATTTGTCTTTGTATCTTACTCTTATATCCTGCAACCTGGTTAAATTATTAGTTCTAGTACCTTCATTGTAGCTTCCTTAGGAGGTTTTCTTTTATACATGATCATATCAGCTGCTAAAAGACAGTTTTACTTCTTCCTTATAAGATTTGTAATTGCTTTTATTTTTTACTTTTCTAATTTCACTGGCTGAAACCTCCAGTACAGTTATTCTTTTTGTTAGTAAATGTGTCATTTCTGAATATTGATCTAAATTTTTACCCATCTTTCCATGTCTGATCCTAAGTTAGGAATAGGGTAATAGGCATGCCTGAAGGAATCTCTAGGGGTACAAACTGATCGTTATGTAATTGAGGGTTTAATGTGTATTATGAGGAGATAAACACTGCTTTTTTTCCTTAAATGAGATATGAAGGTTGCTGTTCATTTATCTCTGTGTTTGTCTACAATTGGTGTAATTCAGAAATAGGAAGCCAAATTTTCAATTAATGTTTCTTTTCTTTTTTTTTTTTTGAGATGGAGTTTTGCTCTTGTTGCCCAGGCTGGAGTCCAATGGCGCAATCTCGGCTCACCGCAAGCTCCGCCTCCCAGGTTCAAGCGATTCTCCTGCCTCAGCCTCCTAAGTAGCTGGGATTACAGACATGTGCCACCACGCCTGGCTAATTTTGTATTTTTAGTAGAGACGGGGTTTCTCCATGTTGGTCAGGCTGGTCTGGAACTCCTGACCTCAGGCGATCTGCCTGCCTCAGCCTCCCAAAGTGCTGGGATTACAGGCTTGAGCCACTACGCCCAGCTCATTTAGTGTTTCTTAAACATTAACATTCAAGTCAAACTAGAGGAAGAAAGTGGATCTAGGTCCACTTGCCCTTCTATACAGCTCTCTCTGTGTATACTGAAGGTAATTTAAGACCTTTGAGAAGTTCCTGACATTAAATTTCTTAGAAGTTATGTTCTATCTCAAAATTTTGTGCCAGTGTTACCTTTTATTCTCTACTATAATTCATGTTTGTCTTATTATGAAATGAATTAAATTTAAATTTTTGCAAATGTAAAAAAAGTTACAATTTTTAAAATTAGTAGAGGATTTTTTTTTTTGTTCCCATGAAGATGCCTGTTGATCTTGTGATTGCCATGCATTTCCCTAGCATATACATAACTTATTTCAGAAGCATAGGCTTTGTGGTCACCTAATCCTGGGTTTGAGTCCTTGCTCTGCTCCTCACCAACTCTGTAACTTCTTACTTAAGCTTTTTGAACCTCACTTTTCTCATTCTTAAAATGGAATTATATACTTACTTTATTTTGTTGTGGGAATTAAATGAAATAATGTATGCAGTGCAGTTCCTTTTGATGTAAACAGCTCAGAAAATTGCAGCTGCTGCTGTTATAGTTCTATATGTAGGATTTTTGAAGTTCTTAAATCCTACCATGGAAATGAAGGGAGATTAGTTTTGTGCTGAAGACAATTATAAAAATAAGCACCTAATTAGAATAAGTTAATAGCTCTTTAAAACAGCCTTTATATATAATATTGAACACATTTCTAAGCCTACAGTCTGATGTTCATTAAATACTTGAATAAACTCTTCCCTGACAGAAGAGTATACTTTGAGCTTATACAGCTAATTGGCCTGGGTAACTTCTAGATCATTAGGTTTTAAATGTAACTTGAGATTTTACTATATATACTTCTTATGCTTATACACAAAATTATAAATTTATGTTTGTAATTATATTGCATATATTTTTTAGATTTTTTTATTGTGGTAAAATATATATGCCTCAGTCTATGATTTGGAATATTTTTAGGTGTATATTCAATAGCAGTAAGTACATTCACAATGTTGTGCAACCATCATCACTATTCATTTTCTGATCTTTTTCAAATGGAAACAATGTATTTATTAAACGGTAATTCTCCATTCCCTAGTGATTTCTCTTTTGCTCTCCATCAGTTTGCCTATTCTAGGTACCTGGAGTAAAGAACACAGGAAATATAACATACACAAAATTATCTAACAGTAAGATATTATTGAGACTAAATATGTCCATAATATCAACAAATGTGAATACACCTAACTCACCATTAGAAGAAAATTTGTATTTTCTTCAGAAAGAAGATAGATCCAATGTATGCTATTTAAAAGAGACACACCTAAAACAGTAGTTCAAAAGGACTAAAAATAAACGGTGTTTAAAGACATACTAGACAAATGGAAACAATAAGGAAACAATGATCCTATTAGACAAAATAGAATTCAAGCCAAAATACACCAATTGTAACAAAGAAGGACACATTTTATGGTAGATACAGTGCCTTTTTCTTCACCTAATGATGCCCTCATCCAGGAAACCTGTGACATTAAGTGGCAAAGGAACCTTACAGATGTAATTAAGGTTATAAACCTTAAGATATAAAGATTATCCTGGGTTATTCAGGTGGGCTCAGTCTAATAACATGAACCTTTAAAAGCAGAGAACTTTCTGGATTAGAGTCAGAGAGAAGTGATAAAGGGTACATCAAAGATATTCAAAGTGCGAGAATGACCTGACTTGCCATGACTGGTTTGAAGATGGAGGGGGAAATGTGACAAGGAATGCAAGCAGCCTTAAGAAACGGAGAGATGTTCCCAAATGATAGCTAACAAAGAAAGGAAAACTCCAACTCTACAACCTTAAGGAACTGAATGCCAGCCAACAATCTGAAAGAGCATGAAAGTATTTCTTTCCCAGAGTCTCCAGAAGGGAACATAGCCCTACTCTTGGTTTTGGGCCTGTGAGACCTCGAGCAGAGAATCCACTGAGCTGCACTGTGCACAGACAGCTGACCCACAGAAACTGAGATAATAAGTAGATGCTGTTTCAGGCCACTAAGTTTGTGGTGGTGTGTCATTGGCAGCAGTAGAAAATTTACACACTTTTAAATATGAAAAGCCACAATTTAGAATGAAGATATAATAACTGTGGTTATCTATGTACCAGTTAGCACAGCAGCCACCTTTATGAAAGCAAAAACTATGGGAGATTCCAGAAGGTAGAGATTGAAATATAATAGTAATAGGAGAATAACAGCATTCTCAGGGTAAAACATTTCAAGTGGATGAAATAGAGTAAGAATATAGAAGACCTAATAATCAGTAAGGTATAACTTACAACTTTTAAACTTTACATCTAGATAATAGAAAATAACCTTTTCTCCAAATGTACAGGGAACACAAAAGTTGATCGTATTATTAATTGTATCCTGAAGAAAGTATCAGGAAGTTTCAAACAGTAGATATATTACAAACAATTTTTCTCTGATTGCAGTGCGTTAAAACTAGAAATTGTAACAAAATCAATAGATTAACATACTTTTCACTTGAAAATTAACCTTATATTCAGCAACTTTTGAGTGAAAAGAAAGGGGAAATAAATTACAGAATTTCTAAAAGTTAATGATAATTGAAACATATTAGAGTCTGTGGGATACCTTTAAAATAGAGATCAGTCCCTGATGTGATTCTGTCCTGTGCGGCTGTTCTCTTGAGCTGTGGTTGTTTATCTCCATCTGCCTTCTCTCCCACCTAAGTGTGTGCTGCCACCTGATGGAAGATTTGATGGACATGGACATAAACCCCCGGAGGCCCTGGAACTATCTATTTGGTTGTGAACTACAGGCTGACAAAGATTATCACTTTAAGGTGGATAATGATGAAAATGAGCACTAGTTATCTTTAAGAACGGTCAGTTTAGGGGCTGATGGAAAAGATGAATTACACATCGTTGAAGCAGAGGCAGTGTATTACAAAGGCAGTCCAATTAAAGTAACACTGGCAACTTTGAAAATGTCTGTACAGCCAACAATTTTCCTTAGGGGCTTTGAAATAACACCACCAGTGGTCTTACGGTTGAAGTGTGGTTCAGGGCCAGTGCATATTAGTGAACAACATTTAGTAGCAGTGGAGGAAGATGCAGTCAGTAGATGAAGAGGAGGAGGATGTGAAACTCTTAAGTATATCTGGAAAGTGGTCTGTCCCTGGAGGTGGTAGCAAGGTTCCACAGAAAAAAGTAAAACTTGCTACTGATGAAGATGATGATGATGATGATAATGATGAAGATGGTGATAATGATGATTTTGATAATAAGGAAACTGAAGAAAAATCACCAGTGAAGAAATCTATATGAGATACTCCAGCCAAAAATGCACAAAAGCCAAATCAGAATGGAAAAGACTCAAAACCATCATCAATACCAAGATCAAACGGGTAAGAATCCTTCAAAAAACAGGAAAAATCTCCTAAAACACCAAAAGGACCTAGTTCTGTAGAAGACATTAAAGCAAAAATGCAAGCAAGTATAGAAAAAGGTGGTTCTCTTCCCAAAGTGGAAGCCAAGTTCATCAATTATATGAAGAATTGCTTCCGGATGACTGACCAGGAGGCTATTCAAGATCTCTGGCAGTTGAGGAAGTCTCTTTAAGAAAATAGTTTAAACAATTTGTTAAAATTTTTCTGTCTTACTTCATTTCTGTAGCAGTTGATATCTGGCTGTCCTTTTTATAATGCAGAGTGGGAACTTTCCCTACCATGTTTGATAAATGTTGTCCAGGCTCCATTGCCAATAATGTGTTGTCCAAAATGCCTGTTTAGTTTTTAAAGACGGAACTCCACCCTTTGCTTGGTCTTAAGTATGTATGGAATGTTATGATAGGACATAGTAGTAGTGGTGGTCAGACATGGAAATGGTGGGGAGACAAAAATATGCATGTGAAATAAAACTCAGTATTTTAATAAATTTAAAAAAAAGAGAAATTAATAGCCTGAAACACACTTACCAGTAAAAGTGGAAAAAAAAAAAACAAATGTCCAATCCCAAAAAAGCTAGCAGAAGAACAAAAGGAATCACACAGAAGAAAATAAGATAAAAGCAGAAAGCAGTGAGGTAGGGAGAAGAAAAACAGATGAATTACAACAGTCCCTCTATATCTGCAGATTCTGCATTTGCAGATTCAACCACCCATGGATTGAAAATAGAGTCCTAATTTAGTACTAATAAAGTAATGATTTCTGCATATGCATATGTTTTAATTAATAGACAGACCACTACCTAACTTCATTAAAAGGAACCAGGGCTGCTTGGAGAAATGTCTGATTCTAGGACTGTGGCTGGGAAAGCACTTAATAAGCTTGGAACATCTGATGCCAGAAAGTAAGAAGTGTTTAAGAGAATAGTGGGCGTATAATAAAAGGAACCAGTTTGTAGGGGCTCCTATTGCCTAAATCTGGGACCATTTAGGTATCAAAATAATGATAATAACAGATGATAACTAATTGAATAAAATATAAGTCTATATTGACATAAGTAAATACATTAGTAAATGATGGGGAAGGGAAACCTCTTCCCTACAGTAGAATTCCAACAAATAAATATAGAAGCAATTAGAAAACCAGCATTTGACAAATACCACAGAAAAAAACGTATTGTTTCTGGGAAGAGGCATCAGTGGATACAAAACTTGAAATTAAAAGTTTGGTGAGAACAAGATTTTGCATATTCTGAAAGTATCTCACCACAAAACATATTAATTACAGAGGGGGAAATAATAATTGTACAATGGAGAAACCTGACTGAAACCACCTTACTACATGATTTAAGTTAAGCTCATCAGTAATGGGGCAAATAGACATGACTGTGCCACTTGATATGATGTATTGAGAAGGACTCAACACTTCTCTGTCTGTGTCATTTCTGGAAAAAAGCATAATCTAAATATAATCATGAGAAAATAGGCAATCCAAATTGAGAGACATTCTACAAATTAACTTCCCTGGACTCTACAAAATGTCAAGGTTATGAAAGACCTCGTTCAAGAGAAATTGATATATAATAATTAAGACTTGTTCAAAAGAGAATGATAAGGTAACATGTTAAAATTTGGAGAATATGAGTGAAGTGTATAGTGGAATTCTTTGTATTGTTTTTGCATATGTCTTATTCCATTTTTATTGATGTTACCTCTATAGTTTAATTTTTATTTCAAAATTGGCATTATAGCTAGAGTATAATATGTAGCTTTTAGGTCAACCCAATGTGGTCATCACTGACATGATTTTGTAACTACTAATTTAAGTTCTAGTATTTAAGTATGTATAGTTTTCTTGGTCTTTATAAAATATTTGTATTTTTTACATTTGTTCTGTGTTCTGTTAAGTCACTGATTAAGCAGTCTAACTCTGGGTCAGTCATCTCTACAGATTTGGAAGATAGCTAAGAGGGTTTTTTTTTTAATTTTAAATTTTTTTTTTTTTTTGCCAAAATGGATACCAAAGAGAGGGAATCTTAACTTCAAATGCTGTTTCTATATCATGTTCTCCTACTACTAATTGGCATTTCATAGTTATACTGCTACAAACTATTTTTTGTTAACAGCTATTAGGAAGGAATGTTTTTCACTTGAGAATCCTAAGTATAAGTCTGTGTTGCTTTTCAGTTCACCACAGTACCAAATATAGATGCCTGAATCCAGTAGAAAAAAAAGTATAACTCCTTTATACCCTCTACTAATGAGCAGTTGTTACTATAAAGGAGTCACTTCAAAATCTTTTGCAATGAAACCCTTTTTAAATAATGAATTCTCTTGCGGAATCCTAGCATGAAAAATAGTACATGCAATATCACTCTCTTTTCAAGAGATGACTATAGCCTTCTTGGACCCCTCTCGTCAACTCTCTCCTTCCCAGTGAGCCCCAAAGGCACCCAGCCATAACTGAAGAATTCCCCAGAGCACAGGTCCAAAATTACTTCCAAAAATCATCTTTTCAGGCTAGGTAGTTTCATGTGTTACTTCTTTTATTCTCTCAGGATTCTAAAATTTACTTCCACAGTCCTGTGAAATAAGATGAAAAAATCTCCCTACCATTCATGATTTCATAACATTCATTGATCTATTTATATCAATTCCAGTTAAAGGAGGAGCCCAACACACTTAACTGTGCTTACTGGGACTCTTCTTTTTGGATCTGGTCTTGACAACTCTTTAGCCCAGTTGTCCCCGCAACTTGGGGAAGATTTCGGGGAAAAAGAGCTTAGGTTTTTGCTAACATAGATTTCAACTCTTTTATATTCTGAAACTTTTCATTAGAGACTCAGTTATAATATTTTTCTTCCTCTTTTTCTACCATCTTTAATATAAAGTTCATACAATTGGGAGAAATATGTTCCACTACTTACAGTGCTTAGGACATTTTTTCCACAGAAACATTGTTTTACCTGACAATTTTTTCAGTGTTGTTAGTACTCTGTTTCAGGAATAGTATCACTTGTATAGGCTTTTATGGATTGTAATATAATTTAACCACTATATATATCATTTATATATATTATTACTTCTATGGGAAAATGTTCTAAATTTTCTATTTTAACTAACAGGGTAATATAACCTGCATTTCATGGTTTTGGGGTGTGTGTGTGTGTGTGTGTCTGTGTGTTAGTCATAATGTACTTTTCAGTCTCATTTCAGTGTAATAGAATAAAGACTTTGTATTTGGTCTAACAAAGAGTTTCATTTGTTTACTTATTAGTGAAGACTTTTCAAATGCTTTGTCTCTTTTATGTACATGTTCTCAATCAAATAGTCTCATAATGAAAATTCAGGTATAAATGCCTGGAATTGTATACTAAGTTAAAATGTATCTTAGATTGTTTTTGTTAGATCATTGTCATATTCTAGCAACTCATATTGAATATAATGATTTTGTGCTTTTAATATCAACTTTTAGAACTATATTTTAATGAATATATTTTTGCTTTTAGATCGTCTGGGGAATATTTTTCATCTTAGTTGCATTGCTGTTTGTAATTTCTCTCTTCTTGTCAAAGTAAGTACAGTAGACACATTTTCTAAAGCACTTATACAAATTCTATGATAATATACATTTTGTTGCTGAATGCCATTAGTGTAGGCTGTTCATCTTAAGTAGCTTTTTTACTTGAAGTGTTCTATAGCATTAACTCAAAGAATGGCTAAAACGTCCAATAATAGAGTGTTTCTTTATTCTCCATCAATTGAACAATAGCTGTGAGATATTTAAGTGAGGTTTAATTTGTTATCCATTGTTTTCTTTGACTCAGGTGTATTTGCATGCTTAAATTATATTTTTTCTAAATTTGCTGAAAATTTGATAGTATAACATAAATTTCATTCTTTGTAATTTTTTTTAGTTTAGATAAAGCTCTTCATTCAGCTGGAATAGATTCTGGTTTCATAATTTTTGGAGCTAACCTGAGTAATCCACTGAATATGCTTTTGCCTTTACTACAAACAGTAAGTAAAATATCAATCATTTTATACTGTAGCTGCTAGAGTATAAAATGCTAGAGTCTAGCAAACATTCTGACATCCTGTTGCACATAAAATTATTATGCTAAAAACCTATGAATAGTTTGACATATGCTTATATTATTTTCTAGTTTTACTTTTTATTTGCCTGTAATTTACACACTGACATGTTGCTTTAAATATCATATTGATATATTCCTGGACTTTTATGTTATACATAATTTGACTTGGGATATATTATATAACATGAGGTGACCTTCTCCAAATTATTTTTGGTATTAATATTTAATCAAGTCTTTTATCTCATAGATAAATGCAATTTTAGTTTAATTTGCTTTAGTATTTTTCTTAAGATAATGGTATTAAAAATTTTGGTAATAGTTTGGTACTTGTTAGTTTTTTGAGGATTTTTTTTTAAGCACAGTAGCCTAATCTAAATCAAGGTTGATACTGTAAACATTTGCCGGATGAGAATAATGAAGTTTTTAGCTTATTTTATATGACTGTTAGAGTGCTTATAGTTTATATGTTAAATTTAATTTCATCTTTTTTTTTCAGGTTTTCCCTCTTGATTATATTCTTATAACAATTATTATTATGTACTTTATTTTTACTTCAATGGCAGGAATTCGAAATATTGGCATATGGTTCTTTTGGATTAGAGTAAGTATATATTACAGTATTATTTTTTTCTCATCATTTTGTGTGTGATCTCCATAATTACAAATTATCTTAGATTTAGAATATAGTAGCTGTATCTTTATACCACAAGTGAGAGAAATACTAGCCTTTTCACTTCATGTTGACATAAAAGTACTTTTTATCTAGAGCAGTGGTTCTTAAATGGGGGTGATTTTGCCCCCCGGAAACATTTGGCAATATCTAGAGATATTTTTAGTTGTTATAATTGGGGAATGCTAGTGGCATGTAGTGGGTAGGGGCCAGAGATTCTATTAAAAATCCTGTAGTGCATAGGGCAGACTTACCTAGCCTAAAATGTCAATAGTTCCATGGTTGAGAAACCCTGGTCCAAAAGTTATATTATTTCTTAGTAGAAACACATTCGAATATAATAGATACACTGAAGCTCAAAAGATAGCCCTCCCTATTAGTAAAGATTACCATATCATTGGTTATTTTCTTCAAATGCTTATTTTGAGATAAATTAACAATTTTAAAATGAAGCTGTATCAGGTAGACACTACTTCCAGCTGTGGGTAAAAGAGAACTCAGTTAAATAGTGGCTTGAACTAATAAAAGATTTCTTGCTATGGAAAAAAAGAATCTAGTATTGCTTCAGTAGCTCAAAAAGTCAGATCCAATATCTCTGTAATTCTTTGAGTATCTCTGTCATGATTGTAGTATGGCTGCTGCAGTTCCTTTTATCCTGTTCATATTCTGTGAAGAAAAAGGTAGTTAGGAGAAAGGGGTAAACAATTATATCAATAAAACAAGACTTTTACAGAAATCCCTAACAGACTTCTGCTTTCCTTTTCATGTTTAATATTTTATCACATGGCCACTACTGGCTGTGAAAGAACCTGGGAAATGTAAATTTATGAATGATCTTATTGTCATCCCATCTAGAACTGGAGTCTGTACTACAATAGTACAATTGTGGTGTACTACAATCTAGTAATAAAACAGGGAGGTGATACCTAAGTTGCTAAAATAAAAGCATTTGCTATGCTATTGAAATGAAGCAAGTTACCTGGTTCCTTATATTTCAGTTACCATGTGTTTTCATTTCCCTTTAGTATAGATAAATGTGAAAAGCTCTTTAGTAAGATTATCAGAGTTTTTCATAAACTAATTTTTATAGCAAAGTATAAGGAGGTCACGAGTATTTCATAGAAATAGATGTTTATAAACACATGACATTGTCTATTCTTATGCAGTATTATAAAAAATTATATAAAACCATAGTATATTACTGATACTTGTAGTTTAAATTCATACTTCTAATCTTTAGATAGAACTAGAGGTAGTTCACAGTTAGCTCCATGAACTTCTAACAGATGCTGTTACACAATAAGTTTAGAAGATTTCTCTGGAAATAGACCATGTGAATAATCTTAAAATTATTTGGGATGATTAAGAACTTTTAGTATTTACTTTGGAAGAAAAATAATGGTTGATTGAACTGTGTAAATCATTTCCCATAACACAAGAAAAGGATTTAATGCTTTATAAATGAAATATATTGCTGAAATTTTGTCACTCTTTTCTTTCCAGTTATATAAAATCAGAAGAGGTAGAACCAGGCCCCAAGCACTCCTTTTTCTCTGCATGATACTTCTGCTTATTGTCCTTCACACTAGCTACATGATTTATAGTCTTGCTCCCCAATATGTTATGTATGGAAGCCAAAATTACTTAATAGAGGTAAGTGAAATATTTGAAACTTGATTATTTTGATATTTTAAAGATAGTGATATTTAAAATGAAATTTTAATTGTGATGGTTAGCATAAGATATTAGCTCATCAGATTATATTTAATATTGCTAAAACTGGTTTTTTATTTCTATTTTTAGCATATTTATATTTGTTTCATACTGTTGTTTTTTTGAAACAGCACACAGAATTTCATTACAGTAGTTTCTTAAATGGGTCCCATGGTGCTAAGCTACTGAGCTTTACCTTAGTACTTTATTAAAACTCAAAATACTTCCTCTAAAATAACGTTTTAACGAATTTTAATAATATGGCTCCCAAAGAACATTTTGGTGAGCACAGCATGTCCGTTCATTGGCACTATGAATCCCCTAGAAGAGGCTTTATAAAAATTTTATATGTAGATAACTATACATTCTTTTAACATGATGGGTATCCTCATATGCTGATTTATTGGTGGTGGTGATCTCTCAAAAGCGAACTGTGGCTTTTAGTTTTAATAGAACAGTAAGTTTGGATTTTCTGACGATTCAAAATATTCTGACCATATCTGATTCAAACTTTGTTTAGTTTTTTTCCGTTTTTAAAAATACCTTTTGCTCTACTTCTTAACTGTTCAAACCATATTTATGTTTCAGGGCCTGATCAAGCATTGCTTTAGTGGAGTCTTTCATGATTAAATCAGTGTGCCCAGATCATTTCTTTTTTATCCTGTTCTTCCTTCATTCTTTCTTTACTTTAACATGCAATTAGAAAGAAAAATCTAACGAACCTATCAACCCTCAATCAGTACCATCCATAATATTGGTGAGTGTTAAAAGGCTATTTCATTGAAAAATATTTAGTTATAATGTAGGTGAAACAGATAAAGCACTGATCATGATGGAGGTACATGAATGACCTGAGTTTGGGAAACAGCATCCTGGAAAACCACCTGAACCATATTTCTCACTTCTTATACCTTTTTATTCTCTTCTTGCCTCATCCCCTTCACCTACCTCACTAGGTCATGCTTATTAAACATCCTTCTGTGAAGGAATGAAGGAAGATTATGCTTTTGCTTGGACAAAAGATATTCTTTGCATGTTCCACAGTCTGAAAATAGCATTCCTTTCAGATGCTATACTTTGTATTAAAAATGGAATTTGTTTGTTCTGGGAAGAAGCCATGTTGTTCAACACAGGACCTAAAGGATTATTGCAAAAAGCCTTAATGTTTAATTTACCATAATTATTTTTCTTCTAAGAGCAATGTTGCACAAAATTTACATTTTGGAATGTTAGATAGATGTAGTTAGTATACAGAGTATACAGTTCATAGTGATTACTTTTTAAATCCAAATGTATTTATTAATGCGGTTTTTATATTTTAACTGTATTTTTATCTTTCAGACTAATATAACTTCTGATAATCATAAAGGCAATTCAACCCTTTCTGTGCCAAAGAGATGTGATGCAGATGCTCCTGAAGGTAAAAACAGCTTGTTTTAGAACTTACAACTTTTTAGGAAAAGAATTTCCTGGCATTTTGCTGTGTTAATCATTTGATGCATTTGTTTTACTACGTGGTAAGAAGGAAACTTTTAGCAAGTAGAGGTTGGTAAATCTCTTCAGTAGAATTTCTTGTTGATGAAAGGATTTGCATTAGAGAAAGAACCATTAAAATTACTTAGGAAGTAATTTTTTATTTATTTTATTTATTTATCACATTTACTAGTATAATAAGAAATCACTCTTAAGTGATTTTTTTTCCTTAAAAACATAAAGGAGTTTGGTGGAATCTACAGTTCTTAGTACCAAGACCAAAAGTACTTATGACCTAGAACAATTTTTAATTCATCCATGTCTGGTTATTTAATTTAATAATAATAGTGTTAGTTATAGTAGCAGTTAACTTTAAAAACATACAGTTGTTTTCAAGGCATTGTGTTAATTATTATATGTGTACTCTGACAAAAATTCTGTGCTCTTAACCTCTGTGTATTTTTAGAGTATCTTTTTTTTTTTTCTATGTGAGTTGTTTAGGTGATTTTTTTTTCTTTGAATGTTATAGTATTCTTATTAAGGATTTCTGATTAAGGATTCCTGATTTATTCTTTCAAAATTTGTAAAAGTGTTTTCTAATCTTGCCTTCAACATGCTTTTATTTTATGGTAAAGTAATGTGTCAAATATAGTGTATTTCTGCGTGAATCATTCATGAATACCATTATGAAAAACACAAATTCTGAGTTTTTTTATAGCAGGGTCAACTATGTAATGTAATAGAGTATTAGGAACAAGTATAAGGTACAGGGATAGGCCAGAGGAAGACGCAATTAACTCTGCCTTGTGGGGATCACTGTGGAGTAGTAGTCAAAAAAGAAACGTTTCAGGAAAGAGATAGCAGAGCTACATTTTAAGGTTATCTGGTATGCACATCAAGGGAAGGCTGTTCTAGGCAGAAGAATAAAGTGTACAAACAATTACCTTAAATTGCACAGGCGTGTGTTCAAGAGAGTTTGAAACATTGGTTTTGTTTAGGGGTTGGAGGGAGGAAGGCAGAGTCATGAGTCATATCATAAAAGGCTTTAGAAAGTGACTAAAGAGGTAATGAAGTGTTTGAAGTAAGAAAGTAGAAGTTATGATCTGATTTATTTTTAGTAAGTTAATTATAGCAGTTATATAGATAATGGATTTGAGAAATTGAGACCAGACTATGGAAATCACTTAGGGGAGGGAGAGCTATCTAAAATAATCCAAGAGAGTTGAAAGCCTGAACTAAACAGTGGTCATGAGGGTGTGAAATAAAGCAATTTAAGAAGTAAATTGAAAGAATTTCTGATTGGTTGTAGAGCAATGGTGAGAGAAACAGAAGATTCTAGCATGACACTCTAGTTACTGAGTACTTTGATTAATTTTGGTGTTACCAGCTGAGATAAAAAATACACTGGGAGGCCGAGGCAGGCGGATCACCTTAGGTCAGGAGTTTGAGACCAGCCTGGCCAACATGGCGAAACTTTGTCTCTACTAAAAATACAAAAACTAGTTGAGGGTGGTGGGGCACCCCTGTAATCCCAGCTACTTGGGAGGCTGAGGCAGGAGAATCATTTGAACCTGGGAGGTGGAAGTTGCAGTGAGCTGAGATCGTGCCACTGCACTCTGACCCAGGCGACAGGGCAAGACTCTGTCTCAGGGAAAAAAAAAAAAAAAAGTACTAAGGTTAGAAAAATTGTAAAAAAAAATGATTAGTTGACTTGAGATGTCTCAAAAATGTTCAGGTGGAGGTCTCATAAGCAGTTGGGTATACAGTTAGCCCTCCATATTAATGGGTTCCAGATCCATGGATTCAGCCAACTTTGGGTCAGAAATAATTTGGGAAAAATAAAAGATAACAAAGAAACAATTTAAAAAAAACACAAAAAGCAATACAACAACTATTTGCATAGCATTTACATTGTATTAGGTGTTATAAGTAATCTAGAGATAATTTAAAAGATGTGGGATGATGTGTATAAGTACATCATTTTATGTAAGGGACTTGAGCATTCGTGGATTTTGGTTTCCAACAGAGTCCTGGAACCAATCCCTCAGGGGTACATATGAGTTCCTGTATATGTGAGAAACTCAGAGGGTAGAGAGTGAGAAGAGAATGGACACTGGAACCCAGGATAATCATTATTTAAGGGCAAGCTGATAAGGAAGGTATGGAGAAGAAGGCTGAAAAAAGAGAAAAAATTTAATGTTAGAGATAAAAATTAATTCCATGAAGAAGATGTGCGGAGTCAAGAACTTTTTTTTTTTCTTTTAGTTAGGAGAGACTTCAGGGATAATGGGATGGAACTAGTGGAGCAGGAAAGATTGAAGAAAAATGTCAGAAAGGATGAATGATAGACCAGTATCATCCAATTCTGCGCAATATGGTATTAATATCCAGGACAGAATGCTTTAGATAGAATGAGGGATATTTCCTTCTGTACATTGCAAAGAAGGAAGCAAGGATATGGCCTCAGATAGTAACAAGTTACATCTGAGGGTAGGCAAGAAGTGGCATATCTGTATAATTATCTCAACTGGCTATAAAGGATGAGCTCAGGACATATACTGAGAATTAAGCGGGCTGTGGGGTAGACAGTTGATGAAAGTAGCAAAAGCTTTTGATAGCCTATGAAGGGGATTAGGAAAGGATCTAACTGAAGGTAAGTTAATGATAGGTAAATATGTCGAGGGACAGAGGTGAAATTACCAATTTTATATTTTTATTGAACAAGTCTACACAACTTGTATAATTTTTCTCCATCAGTTCTTAGGTTGTTTGGGGGAAGGAATGGATTGAAGAACTGAAGGAGAATTGGGGATTTAAGGATGGAAAGCAAAGGACAATTTGAAGGTTAGAAAATAAACAGTGACCACAGAGTCCAGGATTTGTAAGGAAATAAGGGAAGAGACTAAAACTGAGAGAAAGGATTAAAATCAAGAGATGAGATGGATAAACATCTGATGGGGATAACTTTATTTTGTCTGAAGAAATAATAGTAAAATGTTGTTAGTATAAATAAATAGAACAGAATTTTCCAGTTAATGATGTTAGTTCAAGATTTTTTACTTTGAAATGTATACGTACATCACAAGTAGGGTTGATAGTTGAAGTGCTTTGAGTTGCATATTTAGCTGGATGAAAACAGATTGAAAAATTAGTGTTTAATTGGTTTGTAATTTGTTTTTAACTAAGAAGTCAATGACCTTGAAGGTCTAAAATAGATTCTGTTGTTCAAATTGTTACAATAGTATTGAAACATTAGCTGTAAAACAAAAACAAATTGTAGTTTCAAAATTATGTTGAACTGATAACGGGGCCTTTAAAATGCCCTGATATTACTGGACTGAGTGAATTTTTTATATTGTAGGTCAATAAGACTTAATCAAATAATACACTTGACTGTAACTTTTTTATGAATCAGATTCAGTATTTTTCTTTTACAGTCTAATTTATAGTAGTTAAAAATGATTCCCTTTGAACTACTGAATATTTTTTCTTAAACATTTTAGTTGACTCATTCTTTGAAATGTTATTTTGCAATACAAAAACATACCCTTTAGTTTTATGGGTTTATCTTTCCCAACTTTGTTTTGTTCTATAGCACATCTCTAAATGTTAAATTTGCCAGTACATACTTAGAAGAGGAAGGTAGAAATAGTATAACTAAATTTGGGGTGGCAGGGTAGTTTTTTTAAGTGAATAATAATGGTAGAGAAAGATAACCAGATTAGGACATTGGATTAGACACATAAGGGTAGGGATGCCACCCCATCCCTACCCTTAGGATGAGGGATGGTGAGGGACTTGTATAGCAGTATACACTATTCTTTACAACATATTTCATGACAACATTTGACTAAATGATACTATAATAAATAACTCATAAGGCATTTGATGGCACCTTTGCAATGTATCCATTGCAAGTAACAGAATTTTAGAGAATGATTTATAGATTTAAAAACAAAAATTTTAATTTTCAGTGTTAAAATTAAAATTCTTTCTGAGAAAAGTTAATCTCCCTGGAGAGATATTAAAGCAGCAATTTCTAAAAATCCATATGTTGCTGTCTTATCAATATTAAACATATTTTAGACTTTTAAAATTAATATTGTTTATATATGAGGCGATCTGACATTTATTCAACATAGAAAATATTGCTGGAATCCTAGTTGTGTTTAAAATGATTAGGTTTCAAATGAGTCATTTGTCTAAAAATAATTTAAGTACTTTGTGTTTAAAATAATCCATTAAAGAATAGAATAATTTAGCAGTAATCCTAAAAAGAATGCCTATCTTACTATTTTTATGAAGTTCTCTTAAAACGACAATATTACTTAATTCATCCTGACAGGTAATGCATAGTTTATGTTCAAAGTGAGTCAACTGAGCAAATTAGGAATCAAGTTTTAAATTTTACTGCTATTATTCCAAGGGGACCTTTACATGTAGACAATTTATGTGTAAATGTAAATACAATATGTAAAACAAATAATTATTTAAAAGACCATGTACATTTGGAAACTATAAATATTTGAGTCAAAATAGGAAGATGAAAGACCAATATACCTTAATGGACAAAAATAGAAGACATTGTCAGTACTGGGTTTGATTTTGGGAAAGAGAAAGTACCAGAGAAAACACATGTTCAGCACTTACCTTCAAAAAGCATGTAGCCTAATGGACTTGGATAGGAAAATAAATAATTATAATAAGAGAAAAAATAAATGGCAAGCTGTAATGAAATTGTAATCAAAATGCTGTGGTAAAGCAAAAGGAGATGGTGATTTATTCTGCCCTGGGGGGCAGTATAACCTTTCTGTGGACCCAAAAGAGTAAGTTAAATCTAAATGAATAAAGAGAAAATAACATATGGATATTTCAAGCAGAGAAAAAAACCTGTATTAACCAGGCATAAGGACATAAATATATTTGGTATGTTATCATAGCAATGAATGGTGGCAACACTATTGAATATTTGGAGACTACAGTTAGGGGTGAAGCAAGATAATATGTTTCCAAATGATCATTTATAAAAATTCATTAACCTAAATTTTTATTTCTGCTGCCCTGCTTAATTATTTTATCTTTGTTATTGTAAACTTGTGTTGTCTTATTTGGACATTAAAGTGACTAGAAATGGAATGATCTCTATAAATCAAAGTTGATTTTTGTGGTTTTATTCTGATTAAGCATATTTGCTTACTGTATATATGTAGAGAGAGAGAGCGAGAGAGAGAGAGAGCGCACCTTAAAAAATAATCACATGACCAATAGGGTTAGGATTTAGCTTGAGGATACCATATTACTAGGGCAGATGATTAAGACAACTTAGCAAATGCTAAAATGGAAACCTATGTACCAAACTACATGAATTATAAACAAATGAGCAGACAAAATTAAAAGCTAAAGCAGGCTTATAATTATATAAATAGGAAGTACAAAGGGGGAAAATGAGAATTATTGTAAATAATAATGTAAGAAAGAATAAGTAAAATGTGTATTGATATCTTACATTAAAAAGTAATTGAACTTTAAGTTCTGGAGTAAAAAAGGCCATCATCAAGAGGTGATTCAAAATACAGTCTCTATAAATAAAATTTGTTTACCAAGCTTTCTTTCTTTTTTTTTTTTTTTTTTTTTGAGACGGAGTCTCACACTGTCGCCCAGTCTGGAGTGCAGTGGCGCGATCTTGGCTCACTGCAACCTTCGCCTCCCGGGTTCATGCCATTCTCCTGCCTCAGCCTCCTGAGTAGCTGGGACTACAGGCACCCGCCACCACGCCCAGCTAATTTTTTGTATTTTTAGTAGAGACAGGGTTTCACCGTGTTAGCCAGGATGATCTCCATCTCCTGACCTCGTGATCTGCCTGCCTCAGCCTCCCAAAGTGCTGGGATTACAGGCTTGAGCCAACGTGCCCGGCCCAAGCTTTCTTTCTTTAGGTAACAAGTGAGCACATTGACTTATTTTCACAGAATCTCAAGTACCTATCCTTCTGAAACCATTTGTCTAAAATATTATGTAAGTTAAAGAATCCCCTCATTTTTTGTATGAGAGTCATAGATATGGGAATAAAGGCCATAAAGAGCCACATAAGTTGTAAACAGTTTTAAAAATATGAACTAGAATGTTAAAGAAGAAAAAACTTTAGAAAGGTCATCTAGCTAGTTTAATCATTTTTGCAGATGGAGAAACTAGGGTACCAAGAGATAAAAGTTGCACAGATAGTATAAGACTTAGGACTTTTAATGCAAATGTCTGGATTCCAGTTTTTTTTTTTTCAACATTTAACATTTTTGTGTTTTGTTTGAGTGTGAGAAAATGAAACATTATTGCATCATCTGTCCTTTAAATTGTTAAAAAAAAAAAGAGAGAGAGAGGCCGTTGCTGCTTTTTAAATATAATGGAAATGGTTGTTTGAAGCAATAAAGGAATGAAAGTCATAGACAATATGAAGAAAAAACAAAGGTAGAAAGGCTAAACCTGGGTTATTGGAGGAGACATAAGAGTTTGGAAGAGGAGAGATAAAAAGAATACTATGGCATTATAATATGCAATAAAGTATCATGTTTAGAGATCAATAGTGTTGATGCTTTGAAGAGAAATTTAGCAACTAGCAAATCTTAAATTGTTAGGAAATGCAGTTTTAGTAGGATTGTATGGACTGAAGTAGAGAATTAAGTGAAGAAATTTTTAACTGAGGAGAATCCCTTAATGTGGTTTTGGTTTGGAATTTTTTTCTTAAATTTTTGTAGATACATACTAGGTATATATATTTATGAGGTACACAAGATATTTTGATAACGGCATGCAATAAATAATCACATCAGGGCAAATGTGGTATCCATTACCTCAAGCATTAATCCTTTAATTGTATTACATAACTAAAAAAGTATAAATGGATTGATTTGGGGTTTTTTTATCTTATATTTAAAAATAACCTTTAAAAATCCCACATACTGAATGCCACATGAACTAAAAGCATGAATTTATTACCAAAAGTTGTTTGTAAATCTAATATTTCATATGGAATCTTACTGAACAGCATTCAGGAGATTTCTTGTTGGCTAATTCCTCTTGAGTCTTTTTGCAAAGTAATTGTATTCTTTATTCCATCTATCTATTGTTTACATTTATGTATTGAGGGAGAATGTAGAGTTTAGTTTTGAGCATTTTTGTTTGAGTCGTTCATTAAACATCAAGTGGAGATCTTGAGTGACAATTAAGTTGTATCTGGAGTTCTGGAGAAAAAATGTATACTGGATTAGTCAGGGATAGATGGGAAGTAAAGTTGTGAGACTGGATGAGAACTCTCCAAGAGAATGAGTATAAATAGACTTGCAAAAATCTGTGTTAGAATTATCAACACAGATTATGACCCAGCCAACTGAAGGAAAGGAATAAGATCAGCTCAAAATATTGGCAGAGGACAAGAACTAGTTTAAAAAAAAAAAAAATGAATGAATGAGTGAATGAAACCCTCGCAGTACATTGTATGCTAATACTATTCTCCTATATAAGGGGCTTTGAGTATCCGTGGATTTTGGTGTCTTAGGGTGGGAATGGGAGGGTGATTCCTGGAACCAATCCCCCATGGATATTGAGGAACTATTGTAAATTTACTGCTTTCTCTCTCGTTATTTTTCAGATTTACCTGTCTACTCCAGCATATCATTGCAGAGTACCAGATTTAATTTTAACAATTCATAATAAAGTCTAAAACATTTTTAAAGCTGATCAATAAATTTTAAAAATTTGTTAATCCCATAAAATGGGGAGAGTTGGCACCAATATAATATTACTCTGATAAACAATTCTGGGGCAGGAATATTTCCATGCCTCTATGCTAAATAAAACTTAGAACAAGCAAACATAGTTGTATGCTTGCTTTAGGAAAATCTCACTCTTGATGGTGAAACAACTAAAATAGCTTATTTATCAAGACTGATTTCCCAAAAAGACTTGCTTCAGGACTTCCCATTTCATCATTCTTACCAATCCAAAACTATTTTGTCAGTTCTAACCAGGTTCTCACCTTGAAAAATGCTGATTAAAGTGGTCCAGCCCACCCAACCCTAAAACCTTGTAAATATCCTTCTCTGTCTTTCCTCTTCTTGTTCTTCCTCACTGAAGTCAGTCTGCTAAACTTAGCTTTGCTAGATGAGTGAGGTTTTTTAATGTTGTTTGGAGAGTTGACAGTATATAAGCTAGTTATGCTGAATAATATATGGGGAAGAAATCAAGAATTCAGAATCTTAACTTTCTTTTCTTATTTTTTAACTGTCTGCTAGTTTATCTGTATGGACATGCATGTCTGACCAAGCTATGAAATCTCCATTCTTAGATTGAACTTCTTTCCTTCTCGCCTCCATTTATTTTTCTCATCTACCCCCACCCCAAGTCATGGGATAGGGAGAGTTGTCCTATTCCTTTTCTGTCTCCTAAAGTAGTTTACCCTTATAGAAGTCTTGAAACCAGATTCATATTTTATCTCATTTTAGTAACTAGTATCCAAATCCCACCAAGTTTACATAAGAAATAGCAAAACAAAAGGAACCAACTGGGTATTTATCTACCAATGAAGATACTTTAAATAGCAATACATACAAGGTAATGATCTAACTTTGTATGTTTTGACATAGAAAAGTAAACACCGTGAAAGTAGGTGAAAGAGTATATATATTACCTCATTTTTAAATGCTTTCGTGCATAAACAAAATCTGAAAGTCTGTGTGCCTCAGGAAAGAAGTAGATAATCACTTTATTTTTTTTAAATAAATATCTTTTATTACCTCTGCAATTAAAAGTATTACACATTTTTAAGGATGAAACAATGAGAGACACAATGATGACATACATCTGCCAAGTAGATGCTGATTTTAGAGAAGACTTTTTTCCCAGTTTGTTGAAAAGTATGAGTAGGTAGGTAGTTAACTGAAGGTAACTGAAGGTAGTTACTGAAACTTTTAAAAAATTAAATTCTTAAAGTCTTTGTACCGTCTTTTCCCAGAATATGGAATATGTCTTTCTACTTGAACTTCTGAGATTCCTAAAGCAATACTGTTTAAACACTTACATTGTCACTAACAATGGATTTAAGTGAAAAAAAAAAAAAATCTCTGCCCTTCAAACTTTGGCCTGTGAGCTAAATAAATAAATACAAATACATAAAGAATGTGTTTTGCCAGAGAGGCTTACTTTTGTTTAAAACTGATGTTATTAAAAGAATTACTACACTAGTTGATACCTGATGTTGGATTTATCCAATTAAAGTTAAAATGTTCATGTTAAGAACAGCCAATTTTAACAGACTAAAATGAAGCTGGTCAAGCAATTTCACTAGAAACTAAGTCTTAAAGGGTGAAATAAAAAGTGACATTGATGCTTTGTGATGACAGTCTCCTAATATCTTCGTTAATACCTTCTGTGGTACTGTGAGCCTAATGGTAGTCCCTAAATATAATGCAAAATGAAATGGTGCTAGATTGCTCCTGTCTTAATTTAAAAAGCAGGTTTGAATATGGACTATCTACTTCACACTTCCTACCCCATATTAAGCTTTAGATTTCTGAAAGTATATAACTAAGAACATAACCCTCTTCAGGAGAATGTAGGTCATCTGGTTCTTTAGACGGAAGAACATGGGGCAGAGACCTTTAAAAAAAACTACGTGGTCCTTTTGTTTTATGGTCTGAAAATTTGGTAGTGAGGGTGAGAAAGTTAAGGATAGTTAGATTTAGCTTATAAGATTAATATAAGTCATCAACTCTACTAGAATTTTGATAATTTTGATAGCTTTATTTAGAAAGTTACCCTCTTTATTTGTGGAATACAATATTAAGTAATGACTGTGTTGCATTTCAGTCACCTTTCGAATATATTGACATATCTTCTTTAGTAATACGGAGAAGCACAATCCTGTTAGTCGTGAAATTCTAAGATAAATTTATAAATGTCTTAATTTCCAGTATTACATAGGTCATTTAATTTTACTTATCTATTATTCTTGTGCTTTTTCATTTAACAAATATTTGTTGATGTCTGCTCTGTGCTAGGTACTATTCTAGGTGCTAGGGATACAGCAGTGAACAAAACACTCTAGTATCCCTGTCCCCATGGAGCTTACTTAATATAAGGGGACAGACAAATAAATATGTCAGGTGACAAGTATTATGGAGAAAAATAAAGTGCCAAAGGAGATTAACTGGTGTTCAGAAGGAGGAATGGTTTGAAATTTTAGGTACAGGAGAAAGGGAATTCTTACTGGGAAGGTGACATGACTTTAAAGAAGTGAAGAGCAAACACAGTATCTGGAGAGGAGTATTGTAGATAGTGTTAACAGCAAGTACACAGCAGGAGTATGCTTGAGGAGGTAGAGGAATAGCAAGCAGATAATTTTAAGGACATCAGCTTTTACTTTCAAATGAAAAGTATCTGGAAGATTGTCAACAGAGGAATGGCATGATGTGACTTATGTTCTCACAGGATCACTCTGACTACTGTGTTGTATATAGACCAAGGCTTGGAAACTTTTTTCTGTAAATAGCCAGATAGTAAATATTTCAGGCTTTGTGGGTCATGCAGTAGTCTATGATAACCACTCAGCTCTTCCATTGCAGCATGAAAACTGCCATAGACATTACTTAAGGGATGGCTGTAGCTATGTTTCAATAAAACTTACAAATGATAGGCTTGATTTGCCCTGCGTGCCATAGTTTGCCTACCTGTGATACAGATCATAATGAGCCAAGGGTAAAAGCAGGTTGACAGAAGCGTTTTGCAATAATCCAAGGGAGAGCTTATGGTGGTAGTGGCAGTGGCAAAAAGTGGTCAGGATCTGGATATATTTTGAAGGTAGAGCCAATAGTATTTGCTTGATAGAGAGTTTGAGAGAGACAGAGAGAGAAGGGAGTCAGGGGTGATGCCCGTTTTTTAAGGGTTTTAATTAGAAAGTATTTGTTTAATATTTCACATTCTAATTTTGATAATATCTATAATAATTATCTTTAAAATGTATGTGTACCTATTAAGGTTATACATTTCTTTTTTCCTTTGGGCCTACTTGACTTTGTTTTGTTCTGGATATTCCTTCATAGAGAACTAATAGTGTAACCTATTAGGTTCTGAGCACCGCAGCTGGTTATTGAACATTATGGATGAAAGCATGTGTGTAGCTGTGATGTGGTATGTAGGTTAGGGTGTTACCTCAAGGTCAAGGAAGAAAAAATAAAGATGCTAACCTGTTAGCTATGTATGGGGAACTCTAAACGAGAATTATTAATCATGTAAAACTAATATAAAGAACTTTGCCTTATTTTGGTAATGTATTTATAAGAATGTTTATAATGAATAGCTCTTGGGGAAGATAGTATAAACTATTAGATAAAGACTTTGGACTATACTGACTTAAGTATTTCTTATACTACCACATTCTTCAAAGTAGTTATTCGCTTCTTCTCCACACCTAATCAGTTACTAAGAGCTGCAGAGTTTTTTTGTTTTGTTTTGTCTTGTTTTATTTTGTTTTGTTTGCCATAATGACCCTTACATCCCCTTTCCATCATGTCTCCCTTAAATTACTGTACCTTTTAGTGATTTTACCTTAACTTAGAGTAAAAGAAAGGTTATCAAACTTTCGCATGCATCAAAATCACTTGGAAGATTTGTGAAACCGAGATTGCAAAGTTGTGTGTGTGTTTTTGTTTGTTTGTTTGTTTTTGAGACGGAGCCTCGCTTGTCACCCAGGCTGGA
The DNA here is from genome assembly GCF_000001405.40 of Homo sapiens. Taxonomy (NCBI): domain Eukaryota; kingdom Metazoa; phylum Chordata; class Mammalia; order Primates; family Hominidae; genus Homo; species Homo sapiens. The sequence goes on along the minus strand of NC_000006.12, from coordinate 69,685,767 downwards.
GTGCAGTGATGTGATCTCGGCTCACTGCAGCCTCTGCCTCCCGGGTTCCAACAATTCTCCTGCCTCAGCCTCCTGAGTAGCTGGGATTACAGGCACGTGCCACCATGCCCAACTAATTTTTGTATTTTTAGTAGAGACAGGGTTTCACCATGTTGCCCAGGCTGGTCCTGAACTCCTGACCTCAGGTGATCTGCCCGCCTCAGCCTCCCAAAGTGCTGGGGTTACAGGCATGAGCCACCACGCCTGACCCAAAGTTTTTGATTTAGTGGATCTGAGGTGGGACCCTAGAATTTTCTGGTCTGGGAACCACACTGTGGAAACCACTCTTCCAAAGTATGCTGATAATGCCATTTCTCTAGTAAAAACTGTAAGTGCTCCCCTCACATCATCTGATAAATTCAGTCTAGGATTTAAGGACTACTACTATTTAACGCTTACAAGTCTCTAGCTTTTTTTCATACATGTTCGGACATGGCCAGATTCTTATCTACCTTTGCTTTTCAATGATTTGTTTTTGAAATATCACAAAAAATCTTCGCCCTACCCCTCCCATTTTCATCAGTCAGAATCCGGATCTTCTTACAAGGTTAATTTCTAACTCAACCTTCTTTTTTCAATCTCCAAACATGTGTGTGCTCTCTTTTTTCCTTTGAATTCCCATAGCATTTATACTTTTTATAACGTTACCTTATTCTCTCTCAATGTATAGTCTTCATATATCTTATCTCTATTCTACTTTTTATAGAAATGTAAGTTCCTTGAGAATAAGAAAATATATCTTTGTCTCCCTTAAACATTTGTAGAATTGAACCACATTCTAAAATTTGTTCCTTTGTCTTTTCTCTTTTTAAATAGTATTATTAAAGTAACATAAGATGTTAGTATGCCTAATATTTTCTAGCTTCTTGCTCACTTTATCTGTTGGATGAAACCCATTGTATTGACCTGAAAACTTCCTTCTGGGAACCTACTGATTTCCTGTTTTTATTTGGATTAATTCTTTTCTGATTCTGCTGCTCAGCTTTACAAATCATAATTATATATTATAATGCTACAATTTCTGTCCATTAGACTTCCGATGCATTGTAAATCATATCTTCTTTCTTGGTGAATTCTCCCAAGCCCTTAGTTTTACTAGGGTAAAAAATAAAATTCTTTATATGAAATACATATCTGAAAAGTGCTTATATATCTGAAAAGTATTCTGTCCTCACAATTAATGGATAGTTTGGCTGTGCTTAGAATTCTGCATGAGAAGTCATTTCCTCTTACAACTTTAAAGGCATTATATTATCTCCTACTTTCATTTTAACTGGTAAGAAATCTAATGCCAGTTTATTTTTTCTTCTGAAGGTACTTCATGGTTTCTTTCTATTTTCTATTTTCTCTTTGGGGAATTCTTTTTTATTATTTATTGAATATCTTCAATTGATTGTTTGTATTATCTCATTTTCATATTTTCTGCCTACCATTTACTCTATGTTCTTTGGTATGTATTCAGCTTTGTCAACCATATTATGAATTTTAATTTCATATGATAAATTGTTATTTTCCTGAGTATTTTGTTGTTCTGATTGTTCTTTTCAAGTGTCCTTATTTTATGGATGTAATATCTTTAATACCTGAAGATAGTAAATATTTTTCTTAATAGTTTCCTTTAAGTAAAATTATAATTTTGGTTATCCTAGTGCAGTTGTTTATCTTGTTTTCTTTTTCCCTCATGTTGATTGTTCTCTACATATATTTGATGATCCATTCACATTTATGCCAATTTGTATTTAAATATCAGGAACTGGGAAGTGTCATTGCTGGTAACTCTGTGCATGCATCTGGGACTTCTTGATCCTCATATTATATTTTAAAATAAATGGGAGGAAAACCATCTGTTTTACTGGAGACCTTTTAAATGTGGCCTTCCATCTTCTGGATTATTGTTGGAACCTCTCATCAGCTGATGGTTCTACTTCCATTCTCTTTGCTGATAAAGGATTGCTCCTGGCTTTATTCCTATACTAGAACAGTAATGAGGTCCTGAGAAGGATAAGAAACAAATGACTGTGCTAAGTCTGTTATCTTGAACCAGTAAGCTATGTTTTCAACAGGTTAAAATTTTTTTTGTGGTTAAATACTATACATTTCTAATCTTTTATTTGACAAATAAGAAGTTTGTGTTGATAACCTCATTTGATTTGATTATAGTAAACCCATAAGATGTGTAGCACAATAGTAGGTGATGAGATCGAACTATTTCTAAGAAGTGCCATACTTTGGTCTCCAGCATCTATATTTAGCTTCATATGACTGAACAGAGAACAGCCCAAGAATCTAATGTCACCCAAATGGCAGCTAATTAATTTACCCTAGAAAGTTTAACTATTAAATAAACTAGATGATCAAGGTTAGTGAATTATTACCAGAGAGAAAGAATTTGCATGGAAAATCAAATTTATAGTCATACAATGTCTAGGTAAACATGAAGTTAGAAAGAGGGCCTCAGTGATCTTATTGGCTGGTATCTAGCTTAGATAGCCTGATGTATTATGTCTATTGTCAATCAAGATTGCGATGCAGACTGGAAAATTGAGTATTGATCAGAGCATCATTTTTCTTGGATGTTGCTGGGGATCTAGAAAGTCTCCTGATGTTGAGGTTCTTTTTCTAGGTGACATTGCGGTTGTGTTGATAGAAGTTTAACTAAAATAGTATAGTAAAGTTGATTAGCTGTATGCTTTCTAAGTTCTCCAGTATCTACACCAAAGCCAACCTAAATAATTTTGTGAAACTTCTCAGCTACTCACAGATTATTGCTTAAGGTGGCTAACTCTGAAAACATCAGTCTTTTCTTTTCTTTCAAATGCAAATTTCTCTCTAAATTCCCAGAAATTTGATCTAGCACCATATACCACACATATCTGTATGTCACTTACAAAGAAACTGATATTTAGAAGCTAAATGAATTACCTCAAGGGTCTCATAGTAAATTAGTGTCAGACTCAACTAAATCTCAGTTTTCTGTCTTTAATATTTTCTAGTATATCCGTTTAAACTACTTTTATTTTATCAAAAGTTAAAGTAATAGAAGACAATTGCTTTATATCTGACTATCCTTGGACAATTACAACCAGCAGATAGTAAGTCTCAGTAATTTAGAGTTCACTTATACAGATTGTGATTATACCATTTCTACATTTTATATGCTAATACTTACCTTGTACTCCCTTTTAATGAGTGTTATATGGCCAATTAGTAATAAAATGAAATTAGTAGCATTCTTTCTTAAAAGGCAAATATATATTTTAGCACCTTGGAAATGCTTTAAACTTATTTAAATATAACCAGAGCTCAACACAGATTATACTTGTTCTTAAAAATGGTTACTCTGAAACTTATTCTTAAGTGCAAAATATCTGGCAAATATCTTTATTAACCTGATACAGTTTGTGTATTCTTAAAGTATAAGAAAACTGTGTCCTTCAAAATTTCTGTGAGTTTTGACATTCATCAGTTCTCTTCCCCTTTACCTAAATCTCCCAGTGAGATTTAACAAAACATTGATTTAACTGTATGCCACTTGTTAAATTTTAATATAAATATACAACTTTGGTTTTTATTATATATCTTCATTTTTTCTGCCTTCCCATTTATTTGGATGTATTTCATTAGTTTCCGAAATCTTTTTACGTGTATGTATTCCATCTGACGATAAAACATTAGGATTTTAAATCCTAAAAATCTCACAGATCCCAACTTTTTTCTTCCCATCCCTGAGCTCATTTTTTCCAGTTGTATAGTCTTCTAACTTGGTAAACCTCTTTCTACTTTCAATCTCCTCTTCTAGTCTGTACTCCACTCTTGTTATTCTTTCTTAAAACCATTTTATAAATAATTTCAAATCATATCACAATAAAATCCAAGCTCCTTAGCCTGTATACAGTTAAGATATATATGTTCATTATAAATATTCAATAGTAGCAAGACCCTAATCAGGAACCAATTGGCACAGTCATGGGCAGCCAAGAGCTATGAAGTGGCTTCTAAATAGTCTAGGCTTCTAAGTTTTTTTGGTCACTAGTCAAATAAATTGCTTGTTTTAAAATTATTCTCCATGTTACATGAGTGTTCTCAAATGTCTTCTATATATATACACGTAAAATAAGGCTTTGTTTTATAAAATGCAAATATAGAGTAATTAATTATAAATTGATTTCAAGTGAAGGTTTAACATGATGACTCAGTTGTGGCTTAAACATTAAATGTTTTTAAAATATGTATTTAAAATAAAAGGTATTATTTATTCTACTTAACCAAAGTTATCTTAGTGGCAGTCAAGATACATTAAAAGTGACATAACAAAGGAAACAGGAAATATATAATATAAAATTTATCAGATAAATCCTTAAAGACTGCTGTTAAATTACAAAAAAAATGGTGTACTTGCATTTCCTGTTATTTCTCTGTTTGATGATATGTGAGAAGAGATGAAGGAATGGTGGTAGTAGCAGGATTCAAAAGTCTTGATTTTATTCATATGCTTCAGATGCCCCTTTTTGGCCCTTTGAATTCTTTTTTGTATGGCCACTTTCTCATCAGAAAAAAAAATTATCTGAGCCCCCCTCCCCCATGTTTAGTGTTCATTGTTAACATCTAATCTTTAGTTTAATTGGAAGTTTAATCTTTAATTCAATTATATTTTCTTTTGAGGAACAACAGTCAGAAGTTTCTGGAATACTTCTGATTTTAGAACACAATTCCTAAATGAAATATCCAACAGTTTAAATTTACTTTGAAGGTAAAACCAAATTCAGAACCTTTATTGTGATTTTCTTAGTTGGATAATTATAGAAAGAAATCTATATATCTCCTAGATATCTGTGATTCAGGTGAGCAGCTGGAAGATGGCAGATGGTGAAGAACGGCACTCCCCTCCATTTATTCAGGGTGGAATTGTCACTTGAATAGGAAATATATGCATGCATCTTATTAGCAAAAATTTTTATATGGGTATATCCCAGTTAATAGAAATAAAATGATATATATGTATAAAGATGCATATAAAGAGCTGTTACTTATTGTGTGTGTGGATTTTTAGCCTTCTATCATTTTTCAACAACAACGCAGAATGATGATACATTTTTATGGTATTTTAAAAGGCTTCTGTCAAAGTCCACAACCTTTTAAAAAGGTAAACATGTAAAATAATGTGATCAAAAAAATATTTAAGATATGGTTTTGGTGGTGGGCAAGAGTCAGAGAGTATAAGCCAATTTAAAATGTCACTAAGTGGATTATTAGATGTCTGGAGAAGAATGATTTGATTTATCTTGCTTCTGCCAGCTCAGCCTCTGTTTTGTTAGCCCTGTTCTGGCCCTGAAATTTCTAATTTTGTCAAGTTCTGACTCCCAAAATATCATAAGTATGGAAATGAGTGAAATAACTTTTATTTTTTAAGTTTACAGCATTAGCAGTATTGAGAAAGTTGAGTTTTTCACAGGCTTATACTTGTAAAATGAAGCTAAAGTAATACTTAAACCATGAATGATACCATTCTTGTTTTTAAAATAATTATGAACAGGCATTTTTTGGGTAGGTCCAAGCCTACCCTGCTCTTCATTTTTGAAACATTCAAATTGGTTATTTAAAGGTATATTTAGCAGTGTATGCTGATACTGATTATACAAATTTGAATTTTGCCAAATCCATTTGTGTCTGTTTCAACTGTAGAGACAGAAAAATAATGGGCATGCACAGAGTAGTCATGATATTAATGACTAACCAATTATTTTCCTACTGTTGGACATGCGTGTCTGAAATCTTAAGACTTGCAACCATTTGAGTAGCTCTTCACAATTGTTCTCTATACCTTGCAGAGGAAAAAGGAAGAAAATTAATATTAAGCGCCACTTTGCCTGGGGCTTTTGATGTATATGTCATATGATCTTTATAGCAATTCTGTGAGGAAAGATGGTGATATCCCCTTTTTATAAGTCCACAGGCTCCACAGTTCAGATTTGCCTGTACACATGGCAAAAAAGTGACCAAATGCTATTCACCTCCAAGTCTGTCAGAGTCCGGAGCCTGGGCTCTTCGTTCACCATGCTGGACATTTTAGTTATGCTTTAATTTCAAGATATATTCAATTTTCTCATTTTTATACCCTTGGAATCTTGTCAGATTTCAATTTTTAAAAATTAGAAAATGGGCTATTTAATTAATATAAATTTAAAATATCCCCTTTTAACGTCAACAGTCATTGAATATGAATGGATTTGAGTACTCCAATGGTATTTTAGGATACTCAGTATATCTACTGGAAAAAAAATGACAAATTGAATAGCTATATCACTGTGAAGTAAGTTCTGTAATAAAAGTGAGAATAAAATGTGGTGGGAGCACGAAGTAAATGACAAATTTTCTATCCAGGAGTCTCTGCTGTGAGTCTGAACTCCCAGCACCTAGTGTAAAGCTGTACTCATCTATGGTAACTATAGGAGACAGAAATATGTCCAGCTAATGCTGCTTAAAGGCTTTCTGGTTTTCTTAGAAAACTGTGAATATTCATTCTAGACTTTTCTGTTGATAAAGAGAAGAAAGACTCTGAAGGGAGCTTTTGGGGGCTCAATAGATAGGAATTAGATTGGTAGTCCTTGCTCCTAAAAGGAAGAAGTTGCTTCTTTATTAAACTGTGTGATTTTTTTTGTTTGTTTGTTTTTGTTTTTTTTTTTTTGTTTTAACCAGAAAGAGACAGGTTTGTTCAGTTTGGTATTGAGCAATTCAGAAGTAAATGTTGAAGTACAGTGGAAGGGTTTAGAGTAGATAAAATTTAGATTATCTAAATCTTTACATCACATATCTGAAGCTTTATGTAACAAGTCTTATATGTTGATAAAATATAACTTTAATGCTATTTTTGGAAAACCATGTGACAGGAACAAAAAAAGTGTTATTAGATCCCTTATGTAATAAGCTGGACTATGTAGCCCTCAGCTCAATTTTATGTTTTGAGAGAAAAGAACACTTACTTATTGAAGCTGAGAAGAGAGCTCAGAAAAATAGAACTAAAGGTGTATTTTCTTGATTAACAATAGGATATGAGATTGGTCTTCTAATTGCATGTAGGATCTTTTTGCCATTGTCCATTTTGAATAAAAATATGTAGAAATTATAATTTATTTTGTAATTAACAGACTGAAAAGAAGTAGGCCTTCTGAAATTTGTGAGGTTAGTATCCTCTATTAGATGCAGCATATATAATTTTACACTCAATTACATAATGTAGTTGACCCTTGAACAACACAAGTTTGAACTGCATGGGTTCACTTATGCCAGATTTTTTTTCAATAAAAGTTTCAGTTGCCTCTCCTGCCTCCTATTCTACTTCCTTCACCTCTTCCACCTCTGCCACTTGAGACAGCAAGACCAACCCCTCCTCTTCCCCATCCTTCCCCTTCCCATCAGCCAATTCAATGTAAAGACAATGAGGATAAAGACCTTTATGATAATCTACTTCCACTTAATAGTAAATATATTTTCACTTTTTATGATTTTCTTAATAACATTTTCTTTTCTTTAGCTTACTTTATTGTAAGATCATAGTATGTAATATACATAACATACAAAATATGTGTCAATCTATAGTTCGTGTTATCAGTAAGGCCTCCAGAAAACACCAGGCTATTTAGTAGTTACGTTTTGGAGAAGTCAAAAGTTATATGTGGATTTTTGATTGTGTGTGGTGGTTGGCAACTCTAACCTGTTTTGCTTGAGGGTCAACTGTACTGTGTTGCCACAGGCCTCTCTGAATGGCTTGAATATGTGTAGATGACTTTGCAACTAATGGAAATAATGTATTTGTACAAAACTAATATGGGGTTTACACAAATATCAAATAACCAGTCTGCTACTTTCTCTTTGAGAGTTACATTTTATTTGAAGGAGAAAAATATATGATTTATTTTTAATTACATCTATAATGCCGTCTAAAGTTCAAACAGGAATCACATCAGTAAATAATGATTTTCCTATTTCTTTAGAAGTAGTAGTCATCCATTCAATAGCAGTCATAAAAAGATAAAAGCTGAAAGAAACCTCTCAAGCTTGAGCTGCCGTGAGAATTGGTTTCTTAGAAAAGTGTGTTGGGGATAAGAAAATGATAGCACACACTGTAACATGCTAAGTACTTTGAACTGAAGGATATTGGAAGACCCCCAGAAGCAAAGTATCCTTTCAACCTTCCCTTGCCCTTCTTTCTTCTGTTCCCCTTTCTCTCCCAAGGCAGACCATAGAAACTGGAACTTCTCTTCCCCCAACCATGTCATAGAAATTAGAACCCCACTTTTCCAAAGCCAGCCATAAACCTAGAAATATTATTCTAACCTTCCCCTGCCTTTCTATGTAGGAGCTGGCCATAAAGAAATTCTATGACCTACCTTGTCTAATAGTAGGTCATAAGACCCTCATTCCAAAAGGAGTTCTGCCCTATACCTTGAAGGAGGGGATGCTGTGTAGAAAGACCAGGAAGAATCTGAACATACAGACCTTGCTGGCTTTCCCCGCTCAGTCTGTTACCATTTGGTTATACACTTTTGTCCAATTACTCTCTATTCTTAGCTCTTAGCTCTCCATTCTTCATTGACGAAGCTTGAAAATACACAGTTTTCCCTTGAGTCTTCATTTCTGAAGCCTCCTGTGTCATGTAAAACTGACTAAATAAATTTGTTATGCTTTTCTCTTGTTAACCTGTCTTCTGTTATAGGAGTGTTGACCGTGAAACTTACAATGGGTGAGGAAAGGTATTAGACCTTTCTGCCCCTACAAGTGCAACTTAATACTGACCACATCTGATTACTTTGTTCTTTCTTCTTGATGTTCATCAGGAAAACTTTTTTTTTGTTTTATGATATGTCTGACACTCCAAGTAAAAATGATTCTTCTATTTCCAGTAAAGCAAACTAGTCAAGATGATTTTTTTATACTTAAGATCTGGATTGCATTGGTGGCATTCATTTTTTTTTTAATATGTCATATTAATTGGCAGTTTTTAACACTACATTAAGGTGATTGAAAGAGTGGGCTTTGGAGAGAGACCTAAGTTTCAGTACCATCTCTGACACTTACTAGCCATATGATCTTAGTCATTAGCTTTGGTTAATAATCTTTTAGAGAAAGTATTAATCATCAATTTTATGAAAGAACCTATCTCACCATAGTCTTTTATTTGCTTTCACAGATCAGTGTACTGTTACCCGGACATACCTATTCCTTCACAAGTTCTGGTTCTTCAGTGCTGCTTACTATTTTGGTAACTGGGCCTTTCTTGGGGTAAGTGCAGATATCCCACGCGTGATTTGACCTTCCTTTATAAATTATAGTTAAATGTGTAAACTCTTTTTATCTTACTAGGCCATTTGTATCATAGTACTGTCATTGAATTTTAAAGCATTACTTTCCAGATGATTTTAAATTTGAAAAATAACACATGGCTTATTTAAATTTACAGGTATTTTTGATTGGATTAATTGTATCCTGTTGTAAAGGGAAGAAATCGGTTATTGAAGGAGTAGATGAAGATTCAGACATAAGTGATGATGAGCCCTCTGTCTATTCTGCTTGACAGCCTTCTGTCTTAAAGGTTTTATAATGCTGACTGAATATCTGTTATGCATTTTTAAAGTATTAAACTAACATTAGGATTTGCTAACTAGCTTTCATCAAAAATGGGAGCATGGCTATAAGACAACTATATTTTATTATATGTTTTCTGAAGTAACATTGTATCATAGATTAACATTTTAAATTACCATAATCATGCTATGTAAATATAAGACTACTGGCTTTGTGAGGGAATGTTTGTGCAAAATTTTTTCCTCTAATGTATAATAGTGTTAAATTGATTAAAAATCTTCCAGAATTAATATTCCCTTTTGTCACTTTTTGAAAACATAATAAATCATCTGTATCTGTGCCTTAGGTTCTCCAGAGTGATGTGGAATTTTAAAGTGTCTCTCTCTGATTGCCTCCAAATAATATTTACAATATAGCTGATGAATGTTACTCCCATATGCAAATTGTTTTCAGTTTTCTGCATAAAATCTTTAGCACCACTCAAGTAGATTTCATGAAAAGATTTCAAACTCTAGTTAGTGCTCTAAGAGCATGGCGTTCCAAGATGTGTTATATTGTTCAAATATCAGTCCATTAGATAACTTACAACCTCTACAGTATTTAAGGCATACATATTGTTATAGGTAGCTTTTGTTTTGCATCTGACCTCAAAATGTGTATTTCAATATAAATAGGGGTATTGTCAAGAATAATTAATCCTGGAAAAAAAAATCAGTTTATGGATTAATTTAAGATATATGGCATCATATTTTGGTTTTAGAGATAATTTTTCATTCTAAAGATTTGAAATTTGCAAAAGATGTAATGAAAGCTGTATGACATCAGTAGGGTATTTTGAACACATTCTGGATAGTGAGAAATAATAAAAAATTATATTCTAGTTTACTAACATAAGCACATTAGAACTCATAAAAAAGTATATATCATGATCCTTGAGGTAAAATATCATTAAGTTTCTGAAAAAAAGTTTAGGAATTAACAACTATATCTAAGTTAATTATTCTCTCCCTTAATTTTTGTGCCATTTTTCTCTGTTCTGATTCTTCATCTCTCTTGATAAACCTTCACAGCTTTCGTATTTGGCTTCTGCTTCTGCAACTACCCTTTAGCATTATTCACCAGGATTTCATTCCCTTCTGTTCTTATTTTACATTTTCTTTTTTCTTTTTTTTTAAGATGGAGTTTCACTCTTGTCGCCCAGGCTGGAGTGCAATGGCACGATCTCAGCTCACTGCAACCTCCCCTTCATGCATTCAAGCAATTCTCCTGCCTCAGCCTCCTGAGTAGCTGGGATTACAGGCATGTGCCACCATGCCTGGCTAGTTTTTGTATTTTTAGCAGAGATGGGGTTTCACCATCTTGGCCAGGCTGGTCTTGAACTCCTGACCTCATGATCCACCCACAGTGGCCTCCCAAAGTGCTGGGATTACAGGCATAAGCCACCACGCTCGGCCTTATATTACATTTTCTTTGTGGACAATCTCACATACCCTTGGCTTCTATCTATACTACTTGTTCTTAAGCTCTGAACTTTGAGTTATCTTTTAGCTAGAAATTACTGCTTCAACTGTAACATTTTGAAAATTGAAGTATTCACTTTTGTGGGGGCAAACTAAGCCTTCTTCTGCATTCATTTTTTTGACAAATGGCACCGCAGACACTTGATTGCCTAAACAAAGAATCAGGTAGATCTCCATATCTCTTCTGTATAACTGACTCATCAAACAATCATGTCATGTTAATTTCTACTTCCTATCTTTCCATTTGTCCCTTCTTCTCCACTTTCTATGTTATAGGCTGAATTGTGTCCCCTTACAATTCATATGTTGAAATCTTGTCCCCTGGTACTTCATAGAATAATACTTTATGTGGAGATAGGGCCTTTTAAAAGTAATTAAAGTAAAATGAGGCTATTGCGTGAAGCCCAAATCCAATATGACTGGTGTTCTTATAAGAAGGGGGAGAGACATCTAGAATGTGTATGTACAAAGAAGAGGCCATGTGAGGATGCAATGAGAAGGCAGTGGTCTGCAAGCCAACAGGAGAGGCCTCAGGAGAATCCAGTGTTGTCAACCCTTTAATCTTGAGGTTCCAGCTTCCAGATCTGTGAGAAAATAAATTTCTGTTGTTTAAGCCACTGAGTCTGTGGCATTTTGTGATGGCAGCCCAAGCAGACTGATAAACTCTGGTTCTTGAAATTCCTCACTGGGCTTTCTGCAAAGTCTTGACTCCTTTCAGTCTTTTCTGAACATTTAAAATACAAATCTGATTATTTCATTTCTTTACTGCAAAAAGCTTTCAGTTATTTTAGAATGAACTCCATAAGCCTTCATGGGATAGATAATGCCTTTCTGGTGTGCATCTCTTCTGACTCCAAGTTCCCCTGCCATCCCCACACCAGTTATATGAGGCAGCTAACAAATGGCTCCTATTATTCACATGGCTATGAGTCTTCACATCCCCACTCTGTCGAACTATTCCTTCTGCTTTTGATGCCTGTCCCTTCCTTTTGTCTTCTAAGAAAATCCTTATTCTTCAAGTCTCAGCCTTAGCATTATCTCCCTAGGTCCCTCCTCCCCCAGGTTGCCCACACACAGGTGCTAGCTCCTCCCTATCCACATGTCACCCTGTACGGTATATTGTGATTTATTGCCTAGACTCTAAGTACTTAAACACAACATCTGGTTTTTCAACTTTGTCCTTGGTGCCTAGAATAGCTTCTTACACATGGGAGGTATTCAGTTGACAGGTGAATTTGTTAGAAAGAAGCCTTAAGCTTTGTCTATATGGTTTAAGCATACAAAAACTATTTTGAGTAAGGAGGAATATTTAGCCTGTTTTTGAGGTTGATTTTGAAACCTACAAGGTTAGAAGTATTTGTCTTGAATACTCCATATACTTTTCATTACTTTTAGTAATGTTTTGTTGGTTTCTGTCAGACCAACTTCTTAGCTTTTGATTTTGTTAGTTGTATTTTTTAAATGTATTTTTTTCATCCTAGATTCTATAAACTTTCTACATATTTAGAAGTTTACTTTTATTCTAACACTAAGGTATTTTTTTCCTCCCAGTCATGTGGAATGCCTTTATTAACTTTGCATTTTCATGAAGCTGATTTGTGTTATGAATTCCACTAATGAAGAACATATTTCCTTTGAAGTCCTTCTGGAAAATACCTAAATTAGAGATCATCTAAAGTGACAACTTTCCAAAAGGCCAAGGCTGTCATGTTCCATGTAAACTTCAAACAAGTGATTATTCATCCATGCAACAAGGTACTGGCAGAATGAGGACCCTGGAACTGACTTCTAGCTCAGTGCTACCATACCAAAGGAAATGAAAAATGCATATTGCAAAAGAAAAGGAAACACAGGAGCTTCAGGAAAGCAAAAAGCAATACAGAAAATAATGTTTTCCAAATATACTACCGAGCTCTTCAGTGAAAGATACGTACATAGTTCAGTAATATACTGTTTTAGAATCATTTCATAGGCAAAGCACAGTAAACACTGATTACAGCACAGAATTTAAGTATGACCTTGACCACATAAAAAGACAGTTGTGAAAACCTGGAAGAATGAAGAAGAGGGGTGGAAAGAGACCTAAGGGGAAAAGAGTTCATGTTGATATCCTCATTTTATGAGAGGGATGATGGGGAGAAGAGAGAAATTAAGAAATATGTCTCTGGTAGAGGGATTATATATCTTGAAGGGTAGCAGAGTATGCCACCCCAAAATATGCCATTTTGGCATACAAATTATTTTGAGCTTGTAACAGCAGATGCAAGAAGGATGCTTTGACCACCCCTTTTTCTTCCTAAAACAGGACATAAAAACTCCCATATGGAAGATGTCCTGTCTATACCAGAAGGAAAGTTAAATTTTTGTCATAAGGGCTGAGAAAAACCTGTACAAACCAACCTTGTTAAAGAAACCCTTATTGTATTAGTCCATTTGTGTTGCTATAAAGTAATACCTGAGTCTGTGTAATTTACAAAGAAAAAAGTTTATTTGGCTTACTGTTCTTCAGGCTATACAAGCAAGCTGGTGCCAGCATCTGCTTCTGGTGAGGCCTCAGGAACCTTACAATTATGGTGGAAGTAGAAGGGGAAATCTACGTATCACATGGTGAGAGCAAGCAGAGGAGGTTCCAGGCTCTTTTAAACAACCAGCTCTAGCATGAATTGATAGAGAACTCACTACCACTAGGACAGCACCAAACCCGGTTACTCATGAGGGATGTGCCTCCATGACCAAAACACCCCCCACCAGGCCCCTCCTCCAACACTGGGGATCACATTTTAACATGAGATTTGAAGGGGACAAACATGCAAAATATATCTCATTTTCCCAGTTACTGTTCCACCATTTTCTGCCCTGGCCCCAGCCCCTTTGTCTTGCCACATTTTTGTAATTTACTACTCTTTGTCCAATTCAATATGAAGTATTCAACTCTTACTAATTTGTTTGCTTTTCTCCTGTTAATTTGTCTTCTATTACAGAGCCCCAGCTGGGGCTCCTAAAATGGACAGAGAAAAGATTTTTTCCTCCCCTACAGCTGATTAAAGCTATGGGGGTAATCAATACAGCATCTAAAATGGTAATACAGGTTGATTATCCCTTATCCAAAATGCTTGGGAACAGAAGTGTTTTGGATTTTGAGTTTTTTTGTTTTAGAATATGTGCAGAATACATACCAGTAGAGCATTCCTAATCAAAAAATACGAAATCTGTAATGCTTCAGTGAGCATTTCCTTCAAGCATCATGTTGATGCTAAAGAAATTTCAGATTTTGGAGCATTTCAGATTTCAGATTTTCAAATTAGAGTTACTCAATGTGTATAACAATGTTAGGAGATGGAATAAAAGAGAAGCAAGAAGAAAATGTCTCAAGAAATTCTCTTACTGTAGGAAGTCAGTAGACAATATTTAAATATATTAAAGATAAAAAATACGTAAAGGAGAAATTTTATCAGAAGATAATAGCCATTGTGATTATATGTAAATATGTCTTGGAATTTTCTGGCAGCCGAGAAAAAAGATGATGGATAATGAAGATTTTACATTTGATAGAAGGAAGCACTCAGTTTTCCTCCTGATAATTTTTTCTGGCACCAAAATTTAGAAGGAAGTTACATTGTGAATTATTATGTAAAGAATGTTAACGAACAAATGTCTTTGCTAAAGTTTAAATAGAAAGACCATATGCAAGGAGACAGAATTTGGGATCTCCAGGAAAATCATTTTGGCTATCAAGAAATCTCAACATGGATTAGCTTTGTGTGTATGTAACTTATTCACTCAGCAAACATCTAAACTTGTAGTTATTTCAGGCACTGGATCGCGGCTACTGAATTTCTACAGTTAAAGAAGATAAGACCCATCATTTCAGAACTTGATCTAGGTAGGAATTAGTAGCCAAATGGCCTTTGGTAGTAACTGGACCTTGTCAATATCTACTAAGATTGTATGTGTCTGATATGATGAATAAATATACATAAAAGAAATCACTTTATCAAGTTACAGTTATAATCAAAGATACTCCAATTACCAGAATTTTCATATTTCCAAACCACAATACATCCTCTCCTGGAAGCATAATCAGCAGGTTACTTGATGACTGTGGGATTGAAGTGATGTGAGATAGGTAGCAAGGGGCATTTCAGGCATTTTGTGATGACGCTTGATTAAATATCCACCCTTCTTCAGCAGAGACCACTCTAAGGGGACCAGATTGCCCAAGTTGCCCGGATTGAGTTGTGCTGCCTTGGACAGTTCTCAACACATATATTGGCTATGTTTAAGTCTCAAGTGACATACTTTATTAGATTTGTACATATAGATTAAGCTACACCTCAGTTCTAGGAAAGTCACTCTTCTGACCTTTCTCCCTCTCCATGCATATTTTAATTTGGTAAGTTTTATTGGGGGCTACCTTATTCTTCTCATTGGCAAAATCACGAGAAGCACTTCTAATACCACCCATAATCTTCACCTGTGATTTCACAGGGAATTTGAACACTTTCTTTGTAGAACAGAGTCCATAAACAAAGATTAACTTATAACCTAGGGATAGGATAGCATTTCTCTGGAGAACTAAGCCTTTATGGTCAGGAATATAGTTTTCTGTGTGGTTCCCCCATAGGCTCATATCTGCTTCAGCTCTACACTGAAGCTGCTGGATAGTGCTCAAGACAAGTACGTGTGTAAAGCAATGTCTTCTGTTGCCCTAGAAGACACTTTTGATAGCAGATAAGGAGACAACAAAGTTAACACTTGGGGAAATTAGGAAGCACTCAGAGTACCTCATTTCCACATCAAGAGGTGATGTTTCTGTTGACCAAAACAAAATTTGTATCTAAAAGAAATTATTTTTTTACTTGCTCAGAGTTCATTCAGTGGCTCCCCAGGAGCATCTATGATATACTAGATTCTATTCTGGATCTTATTCTAATATTTAATGAAAAGCACTACCAAACTTGATATCTACTGTGCTTACCAGTTTAAGTTCCACTTTCTACTATATTTACCTGAAGCTTTTTGAAAACCTGAAGTGTGTGTATAAGTAAATATTTATACACACACAAAATCTCCATTGTGGAAGACCAGTCTTCCCAGTAAAAGAGTAATTTAAAGGAAATGTAAGTTTATCCCTGATGCATACAGTAACTCCAATGCTGACAAAATATAATCAAGCCTTAAAAGACTTCTGTAATGAATTTAGTGACTCATTCACTTGAACCAATACTTGAGTGCCTAGTATGTATTGGAAACTGCTATAAAATGGAGAAACAAATGAAAACACAAAATCGTGCCTATTTTCAAAGGTGTTTCGAAGCCAGGGGGGCAAATAGACTCAGAAAATTATAATGTCACAAATGCTATAAATGAGAATGCAGTGAGGCTAAAAGTGATACTCCCTTGAGCTTAGGAAAGGCTCAAAACTCTTGAGATAAGCAAATGCTAACCAAATTACAGGCAATAAATTCTTTTAAGCAGAAAGAATCTGGCTTTGGTTTAGTGAAACTATAATGGCTTTAGACAGTGGCAAGGAAGTAACAGTGGGGAAACGTCCTGAAGGGGCTGTGTGACTAGGGGCTATGTGACTAGGGGGCTGTGTGACTAGGGGCTGCGTAACTAGGGGGCTGTGTGACTGGGAAGCAGGGCTGCTGCATTAGAGGTGAGACAGATGGGAAGCCCGGGAGAAGAGTAGGGGCTGCTTCAGCAGTACAAACATGTGAAACATGGTAACCAGATGTCTCCCTCAAAATTACACTCAACCCTGGGAAAAAGGGAAACCCCAAATCAACTGACATTAAGTTTCTGCTCCCTAAGTGGTATGAGAAACAAACTAAGTCATTACAGACATAAATTCTATTTCTTGCATGCCTAAGTTTGCAAAATAAAGTTGTTCATAACCAAAACTAAATATTCTTAGTTACATCACTAGTAAATATTCTGATTTTAACTTGCCACTTAATTGTTCTGTAAATTAGTTACTCCACTATGGGAATAGAGAAAACATTTTTATACTTACATTGTCAAAGTAAAACCTCCTTAAGTTGTACTTACTATTTCAGAATGTTTGATTATTCTCAAGGTTTGTGAACATTTTCTATGAAGGGCCAGATAGTAAATAGGCTTTCACGACCACACAAGGACCCTGTCCCCCCACCCCCCACCCTTTTTTTTTGTTTTCCTTTTTACAACCCTTTAAAAATAAAGATAAATAAATAAATAAAATGCTTGGATTTGTTTTCCTGGCTGTAGTATGCCAACCCCTGAATTGTTCCATTAATCACTTTGCTTAAGGTAGTTTGAGCTTGATGGAACAAAGACAAGTAGGCTAAAGACAAATACAAACTTGGGAGATTGTTAATGAGAAAGAACTTTTTTCAAACACTTTTAGCACATTTCACAATTTTTTAAAGGCTAAACAACTTTTATTCTGAGTTTAAAGGTGATATGAACTTGTAAAATAATTCAAACAACTCAGAAATTGTGGCTGAACAAGAAAGTGAGTGAGCAGAATACGCATTGATCTTCAGATTTCTTTGGGGATCCATTCATCCCACATCTTCTCATATGGAACCCAGTTGGAGAAATGATGGACAAACTGATCTCTAAGTGACCTTCACCTCTAATATTTGTGACCGATTTCTTTCTTTTGGTTAAAGAGAATTATAAGTGAGACTCCAGGGTTAAAAATTGTTGAGTACAAGAGGTTTTTCTCTTTGTGCCGCAGTTTCCTCATCTGCAAAATTGGGATAATAATACTAACCGGTTCATGGGACTATTGAGGGCACTAAATTTGTATAAAGTGCTTAGTATAGTGCCTGTGAAGTGTTAAACTCAATATTTATTAGCTACTATTGTTACTATTTCTAAGATAACTTTATTTCATAATGCTCTTTAACCATCAGGGCTTCAAACCCTTTAAGAAATGCACCTTAACCCCTTTTTCACTTTGCTTCATTGCTTGTCTTCCTGTACCTTAACCCTAGGTTAAGTAACTAACGAGTCAAAAACAAGCACTTAGTTGTATTATGAGAGCTCAAAGCATAAAGAACCCTAAAGGGTAAATATTTTTGAGACTAAAAAAAAGGTTTCTGTAATGTAAATCATGCCTATTATCATCTCTATATTTTTGCTTAATGATCTTATTTTCTTCAAACTGTATTTCAAAACTCCAAATAATGAAATGCAAGTATAACACATTACAATTATTTCAAGCTTAGAAGCAGTCAGAGCACTTAATTACCAAGAACAAGCCATTGTGTTCCACCTTTTTCACATTGCTGTCTTGAAAAGACTAGTGTAGTCTTTGCCTATCAGTTTTGTTGTTCTGTTTAATATACAGAATGAAAGCTTTCTCTTCAAATTCCTCATGGGAACATTGTGAATTCACAACGAACATTTGTAAACCTTTTTTTTTTTTTTTTTTTTTTTTTTGGAAACAGAGTTTCACTCTGGTTGCCCAGGCTGGAGTGCAATGACGTGATCTTGGCTCACTGCGACCTCCACCTCCTGGGTTCAAGTGACTCTCTTGCCTCAGCCTCCCGAGTAGCTGGGATTACAGGCACCCGCCACCATGCTTGGTAATTTTTTTGTATTTTTAGAAGAGGCGGGGTTTCTCCATGTTGGTCAGGCTGGTCTGGAGCTCCTGACCTCAGGTTACCGCCCACCTCGGCCTCCCAAAGTGTTGGGATTACAGGCGCGAGCCACTGTGCCTGGCCTTGTAAAACTTACTTTTTTTAAGAATGAATAAAAAAATTGTGTACATACCATCATTGCAGAGTACAAAAAGTAAAATGGAATGAAATTGCTGTCACTTGACAGGCTAAAATATGCAATTTATTACATAAGCATCTGTTTCCTCATTTACCTCCAGTAAGCTTACTGCCCTCAATAGGCTGGTAAAAGTAGAAAGAGAAGACTTACCTGTGACTAATGTCCATCCTCATACTGCTGTGAAGAAATACCTAAGACTGGGTAATTTATAAAGAAAAGCAGTTTAATTGACTCATAGTTCTGCATGGCTGGGAAGGCCTCAGGAAACTTAGAATTTGGTGGAAGGGAAAGCAAACCCAAGCTTCTTCACATGATGTCGGGAGAGAGAAGTGCCAAGTGAAGGGGAGAAAAGCCTCTTATAAAACCATGAGATCTCCTGAGAACTCACCATCACAAGAAGAGCATGGGGGAGCCGCCCCCATCATCTAGTCACCTCCCACATTGTCCCTCCTTCAACACATGGGGATTACAATTCGGATTGCAATTCAAGATGAGATTTGGGTTGGGACACAGCCAAACCATATCAATATCTAACATGGTTTGTTTAATAACTGAATGATTTTTGGCAAGTTATTTTGCTTCTGTAAGTGTGTTTCTTCATCTGTAAAATGAAGTCACGTTACCTACTCTGTTGCATTATCAAAAGGATCTACAGCACCCAGATTGTAGTAGACACTCAACCAGTATCACCAAGAGCCACTCTAAACACATAAAGTTGGAGACCTAAAATGGAAAAAATTGGAAAGCACAAAGTTGGAGGCTAAAATGAAATTGAATGCTTTTGAGTAGGGTATATAAACTCCAGTTGGCCACTCTCCCCACCCAGTAGTATCATACATTTGCAAATACATACTCCATACTCCTAGAAGACTTTTGCCTTGGACCCTGGGCCCTTGGTTCTGTCCCTGGAATTCAAATGGATAAGCCTCCCAGAGGAGTAGTTAAACCAAAAACACTCTGAGATCTCATAATACCAAAAACACAGACACATATAAAAACACATATTTTTCCCCATCTAGCATTTTCTGTGAGCTGACTGAACAGAAGAGGAGAGCTATGAAGACATATAAAGCATTGGCCCTGCCCAGTAAAGAACTTTTCCATTCACTGATGTGTTTTTTTTTCCCCTGAAACTTGGAATTAAAATTACATACTATAAAGTTTACAGAAACAGAAAGTAGATGTGTGGTTACCAGGGGCCAAGGGGTGGGAAAAACAGATATTAATCAAAGGGTACAAACTCTCGGTTATAAGATGAATAAGTTCTGGAGACCTAGTCACTGTACCTAATAATAATGTAAATTTTCTAGATTGTAAGTATTTTCGCCACGAAAACACACACAAAAAACCTGTGAGGTGATAGACACATTAATTAGCTTGATTGTAATAATCATTTCACAATGTATACATATATCAAAACATTGCATTATACAATATATATGATTTTTGCCAATTATACCCCAATAAAACTAAAGAAAATAAATTTTAAAAGTTACAATAGTATATTATGGCTAGGACAGAATTACATAGTATGTTATGGCCAAGGCAAACAAATGCAGTAAAATGTAAATGCAAAATACAATGAATTAATTCTCTGTCTTAACTTTAATTCTTCTCAGTCCTAATATTTTTCCTCTTTCTCCTAACGCTGTAAAAACTGAACATCTCCTTTTTCATCTATGCTACTTAAGGTGTCAATTTTATGTGTAAAAAAATATAGTTTCACAGGAATCAAAGATGAACAACCCCCAGTAGCCTTTCTCAACGTGGTAGCTGTCTGTTTTCTCAACCTCTCCCAATTTAGTTGTTGAAGTAATTTCCCTGGGGGATTTTTTGCTTCTCTCTTTCAAAACTGTCTTTCTCTTCCCTTTGGTTTGACAGAAAAAGAAGAAATTTCAACTATAGAAGTCCCACATTTCCCAGCATGACTCTATTTTTCTACTCAGTAAAAGTAGTTTCTCACCTTTTCTAAGCCACAGTCAACTCGCTCTCTACTGGATTTCTTTATGCCTATTGCAAATTTTTGCCTTGATCCAGGCTGCTCATATGTAAAAGGGTCATACTTTTCACTCAATATATATCAAAGCAATATTGAAAAATGTATCTACCTACTCAGCATATTTAACCTGTATATGAATTTGTCCCCCTACCATAGATTTTTAAATGAAATAATCAAAAACCATCCAAACAAAAAACAGGGTTTGCTCTCACTACCAAAAAATCACAGCAACTTCAAAGTCACACTTTTCTGTTCTGATTGTCCTTTTGAAATAGAGATATAAAAATTTATGTATTTATAAAATTAAGCGCTTTTAGAACCATCAAAGAAGATGAGAGTCATTAGGGGCCACAGAAATTTCTAAAGGTTCCATAAAAGAAAGCCAGGGGCAATGCCCTGGCTGCAACCTCAGAAGCCCCATGAGAGGGGTTTCCAGTTCTGCAGTAGCAATTTAAACTATTGGCCCAGGAGCTTGACTGGTTTTTAACAACTAGCATGAGCAACCTTGCCTTTGTCATTTCTCTTTGTCATATGCCTTTGTCATACCTGGTTTTTGCTTAGTCCTCCATCTCAGTATCCCAGTCTCATTTCCACCCATTCTCAGCACCCTACCTCCATCCCCCTTTCGTTTGCTGCTGCTCAGCAACCTCGCTTGATCCCTCTCTCCACCTTGGCTTTACTGGAACAGCCCCTAGAGAAGTACTGGAAGACTGTGGAGCCTGGCTGACCCTGGGCCTGGATGCAACTCAGTTGCTTATTAGCTCTGTGATCTGGGGCAATTCGCTCTGAGGATTCTCAATAGTGTATACATATCACCTACTGTAATGCCTTGGCTTTTAGTAGGCATCCAATAAAAGGTAGTTGCTATTATTTTACACATTGGTATTTCTCCAAACAGAACTAATTCTGCCCAACCATCTCTCTATCTTAGTGGTTGGAATAATGGTTTGCTAATTTCTTTCATCCAAGCCTCCCCTCTCCCCTGCATCCTTGGATAAAAATTATGTCTGTTGGAAATGTTTAGTCGTTTAGGCACAGCAGATGTTTTCCATGAAAATAAACTTTGGCAATTGTTTCAAGAGTCACAATTTTTGAGAGTGTAGAGACCTTAAGGAGTCTCTTGTCTGATATTCAATTAATAGATACTGAAGAGGTAGTCTAGCTGTGATATATGAATCTTTCAGGATAAATCTTTCTTTATATTTACAGCAGCATTCCTATGATATTATTTGCCTGAGAACAACAATTTTATAAGGAGTTACAGTTATCAAATGCAGAGCTCTCCTTCACTCAGAAACATGTGGTGAGCTTTTACTGCGTGCCAGATTCTGGATGAAGCTGGAATTACAAAGACTAGTAAGGACCACAAAACAGAATCCTGTCACAACTTTGAGGAAGTCACATCTCATAAGTGGGCTCACTCAAGAGCTCTCAGAAAAGCACAGATGTGATGACTGTAAATGACAGTGTGAGGCCAATAATATCGACAGCCTTCATTGTGAAACCTTCTGTACACATTTGGTTGGTGACATTGTTTCCAGAATCTCTCATCATCTTCACTGCAAATAATTTGTGACCTTCCCTCCAAAGAAGCTCTTTATATCATTGTGAGCCATTTGATCTGTGATGGTGTTTCCCAGCCATCAGCAGGTGTCCTAGACCCCACCTCGTGAGACACATGTATATAGTTTTATTTAAACTCATAGCTGTACCCAACAAGCAAGTAATCAGTCAGAAAAAATTCCTAAATTTTTTCTGACCAGAATGCCAAGTAGGGCTGTTTATTCCACCTCATCGAGAATCAGACATGAAAGAAGTAAGGATTTTTGCAAACAAATAAGCAAAAATCCTTTTAAGTACAAAAAACTTTGGATAAACACTGTCAAAGGTAAAGGATTGGGAAATATTAATACTGGGCTTTGACTTACAATGTTAGGATTTTAAAAATAAATATTTACAGGCAGTAAATAGATTCCTTCATACTAGAGAAGCACACTGCTCCATTAGCTTACCTGCTGAAATCACTAACAGAGCTTCCACTCCTGTTCCCCAATCTCTCTTATCTTCCTCAAGCTGTAAGGCTTTACAATTTGGATATAGTGTAGTTAGTGCATTATTGTAAATAATGCTAAAAACATCACACAAATCCACTTTTTGAAAACATTCTTTTTACCTGAATGTTTAATCTTATTTTTCCATTTTTATTAAGATTTGGAATAAACAATTTTAAAAGGAAAGCATCTATAGTTAAAAGGATCAAAGTGGGGGCAGGATATGCCTTCGTTTTTTTAGAAATTCACTATGAAAACAACTTTTTGGAAATTTAAGTTGTTCAGGGAGACACATCTGGGGTATACATAAGCATCAGTTTATGCTTTTGATAACTTAAAAAGTAATGGAATCTTGCAAACTTGGATAATACTTTCATGTTAGACTTGTACTGTGTCCTCACTTTTGGAAAAAAGGGAAATGCTGGTTGGTATGGTGATTTGATGTTTCTGTGATCTTTCTCATTCTAAATAACTTCAAATTTCTACTTGTGTATGGGATATGCGTGTGTGTGTGTGTGTGTGTGTGTGTGTGTGTGTGTGAAATTTGTATCATTAAAACTAAGTTACATTTACAAGGCAAAGAGGCAGCCTTTGTACTATTTTGGTACTTTGACTTCTGTAGCCTTGTGGTTTCCAAGTTTGGGCCCTAGATCAGCAGCACAAGAAAAGTGAAAAGTGAAGAAAGAAGGAAACTAATGGAGATGATTTATTCAGATGGCTCCCTGAAAAGGCTCCATATTTTCCAGGTTTTTAAAACAGCCCTTCCTTTGTCCTTTCTATTCTATTCAGCTCTCTCTGTT
The DNA here is from genome assembly GCF_000001405.40 of Homo sapiens. Classification (NCBI taxonomy): domain Eukaryota; kingdom Metazoa; phylum Chordata; class Mammalia; order Primates; family Hominidae; genus Homo; species Homo sapiens. The sequence goes on along the minus strand of NC_000006.12, from coordinate 69,662,006 downwards.
TAATTCTGTGTTTTTGACTCTTTCCAGACTAATAAGACTGTTCTCGGCTTTGACCATCTTCTCTTTTAGTTTGTCTGTTGAAATTTTTAATTGCTTATTATACATATATATTATATATGTATATATTTAAATTTTAATTAAATGATTGAGTTTATACATGATTATATGGTAAATATGTTAAAATCAAATTACAAGTGCTTTTTTTCAGAAAGTCCATTTTGTGTTCTATTTTCTCCTTATGATTTATTTATTTTTTAAACTTTTAGGTTTGGGGGTACATGTGAAGATTTGTTACATAGACAAACACGTGGCATGTGGGTTTCTTGTACATATTATTTCCTCACTCAGGTATTAAGCCCAATATTCAATAGTTATCTTTTCTGCTGCTCTCCCTCCTCCCAGCCTCCCCCCTCAAGTAGACACCAATGTCTGTTGTTTCCTTCTTTGTGTTCATAAGTTCTTATCATTTAACTCCCACTTATAAGTGAGAACATGCAGTATTTGGTTTTCTGTTCATGTGTTAGTTTGCTAAGGATAATAGCCTTCAGCTTCACCCATGTTCCCACAAAAGCCGTGATTTAGTTCCTTTTTATGGCTCCATAGTATTTCATGGTGTAAATGTACCACATTTTCTTTATCCAATCTGTCATTGATGGAAATTTAGGTTGATTCTATGTCTTTGCTATTGGTGGGAATAGGGCTGTAATGAACATTCACGTGCCATGTGTCTTTACGGTGGAATGATTTACATTCCTCTGGGTGTATACCCAGTAATGGGATTGCTGGTCTAATGACAGTTCTTCTTTTAGCTCTTTGAGGAATCGCCATACTGCTTTCCACAATGTTAGAACTAATTTACACTCTCACCAACCATGTATTAGTGTTCCCTTTTCTCTGAAACCTTGCTAGCATCTGTTATTTTTTGACATTTTAATGATAGCCATTCTGACTGGTGTGAGATGGTATCTCATTGTGGTTTTGATTTACATTTCTCTAATGATCACTGATGTTCAGCTTTTTTTCATAAGATTGTTGGCCACATGTATGTCTTCTTTTGAGAAGTGTCTGTTCAAGTGCTCTGCTCACTTTTTCATGGGGTTGTTTTTCTCTTATAAATTTAAGTTCCTTATAGATGCTGGATATTAGACCTTTGTCAGACATATAGTTTGCAAATGTTTTCTCCCACTCTGTAGGTTGTCTGTTTACTCTGTTGATAGTTTCTTTTGCTGTGCAGTAGCTCTTAAGTTTAATTAGATCCCACTTGTCAATTTTTGCTTCTGTTGTGATTGCTTTTGGTGTCTTTCTCATAACATCTTTGCCGGTTTCTATGTCCAGGATGGTATTGCCTAGGTTGTCTTTCAGGGATTTTATAGTTTTAAGTCTGTAATCCATCTTGAATTGATCTTTTACGTGTGGTGTAAAGAAGGGTTCCAGCTTTAGTCTTCTGCATATAGCTAGCCAGTTATCCCAGCACCATTTATTGAATAGAGAATCTTTTCACCATTGCTTATTTCGGTTTACAAGTGTCTTTTGAGGATTTTTGCATTGATCTTCATTAAGGATGTTAACCTGAAGCTTTTTCTTGTTGATGTTGTTGTGTCTCTGCCAGGTTTTTGGTATCAAGATGATGCTGGCCTCATAGAATGAGTTGGGGAGGAATCCCTCCTCCTCCATATTTTGGAATAGTGCATGTAGGAATGGTGCTAGCTCTTTTTTGTACTCTGGTAGAATTTGGCTATGAATCCATCAGGTCCCAAGCTTTTTTCAGTTGTTAGGCTATTTATTACTGATTCAGTTTTGCAGCTCATTATTGATCTGTTCAGGGAATCAATTTTTTCCTGCCTCAGTCTTGGGAGGGCGAATGTGTCCATGAATTAATCCATCTTTTCTAGGTTTTCTAGTTTGTGTGTGTAGAGGTGTTCAAAGTAGCTTCTTATTTTTTTTTTTTTTTTTTCTGTAGAGTCAGTAGTCACATCCCCTTTGTCATTTCTAATCATGTTTATTTGGTTTTCTTCTCTTTTCTTCTTTATTAGTCTAGCTAGTGGTCTGTTTTATTATTTTTTTTTCAAAAAGCAAACTCTTGGATTCGTTGATATTTTGAATGGTTTTTCATGTCCCAATTTCCTTCATTTCAGCTCTAATTTTTGTTATTTCTCATCTTCTGCTGATCTGTTCTTGCTTCTCTAATTATTTCATTGTGATGTTAGGTTGTTAAGTTGAGATCATTTTAAATTTTTGATATGGGCATTTAGTGCTATGAATTTTCCTCTTAACATTGCCTTATCTGTGTCTGAGAGATTCTGGTATGTTGTATCTTTGTTCTCATTAGTTTCAAAGAACTTCTTGATTTCTGTCTTAATTTAATTATTTACCCAAAAGTCATTCAGAAGCATGTTGTTTAATTTCAATGTAATTGCATGATTTTGAGCAATTTTCATAGTCTTGACCTCTATTTTTATTGCACTGTGGTCCAAGGGTGTGTTTGGTATAAGTTGAGTTCTTTTACATTTGTTGAAGATTGTTTTATGTCCAATTTTGTGGTAGATTTTAGAGTATTTGCCAGGTGATGATTAGAAGAATGTTTATCCTGTTTTTTCCTTGTTTGTTTGTTTGTTTGGGTTGAGAGTTGTGTAAAGGCTTATCGGATCCATTTGGTGCAATGTTGAGTTTAGGTCCTGAATATCTTTGTTGATTTTCTGCCTCAATGATCTGTCTAATAGTGTCAGTGGAGTGTGGAAGTCTCCCACTATTGTTGTGTAGGAGTCTATGTCTCTTGGTAGGTCTCTGTGATGGTTAATACTGAGTGTCAACTTGATTGGATTGAAGGATCCTGAGTGTGTCTGTGAGGGTGTTGCCAAACGAGATTAACATTCCAGTCAGTGGGCTGGGAAAGGCAGACCTGCTTTTAATCTGGGTGGGCACCATCTAGTTAGCTGCCAGTGTGGCTAGAATATAAAGCAGGCAGAAAAATGTGAAAAGATGAGACTGGCCTGGCTTCCCAGCATACATCTTTCTCCCATGCTGGATTCTTCCTGCCCTCGAACATCGTACTCCAAGTTCTTCAGTTTTGGGACTTGGATTGGCTCTCCTTGTTTCTCAGCTTGCAGATGGCCTATTGTGGGACCTTGTGATCATGTCAGTTAATACTTAATAAACTCCCCTCTATTTCTATATCTATCCTATTAGTTCTGTCCCTCTAGAGAACCCTGACTAATACAGTCTCTAAGAACTTGGTTTATGAATCTGGGTGCTCCTGTGTTGGGTGCATATACATTTAGGATAGTTAGATCTTATTGAGTTGAACCCTTTACCATTATGTATTGCCCTTCTTTGTCTTTTTTTTTTAAATCTTTGCTGGTTTTAAATCTGTTTTGTCTGAAATTGGGATTGCAACCCCTGCTTTTTTCAGTTTTCTATTTGCTTGGCAGATTTTCCTACATCGTTATATTTTGAGCTTATGAGTGACATTACATGTGAGATGGGTCTCTTGAAGACAGCATACTATTGGGTCTTACTTTTTTATCCAGTTTGGCACTCTGGGCCTTTGAGTTGAGCATTTAGCCCATTTACATTCAAGGTTAGTATTGACAGGTGTGAATTTGATCCTGTCATTATGATGTTAGCTGGTTACTATGTTGGCTTGTTTGTGTGGTTGTTTTACACTGACATTGGTCTGTGTGTTTAAGTGTGTTTTTGTATTTGCTGATAGTGGTCTTTCCCTTCTAGATTTAGCGTTCCTCTCAAGATCTCTTGTAAGGCAGGTCTGGTGGTAATGAATTCCCACAACATTTGCTTATCTGAAAAGGATCTTATTTCTCCTTCACTTAGAAAGCTTAGTTTGGCTGGATATGAAATTCTTGGTTGAAGACTTTTTTTTTTTTTTAAGAATGTTGAATATAAGCCCCCAATCTCTTCTGGCTTGTAGGGTTTTGGCTGAGAGGTCAGCTGTTAGCCTGATGGGGTTCCCTTTGTAGGTAACATGCCCTTTCTCTCTAGCTGCCTTTAACATTCTTTCTTTACCTTCGACTTTGGAAAATCTGATGATTACGTGTCTTGGGGATGAATGTCTTGCGTACAATCTTGTGGGAGTTCTCTGTTTTTCCTGAATTTAACTGTTAGCCTCTCTAGCAAGGCTGGGGAAGTTTCCATGGACAACATCTTGAAATATGCTTTCCAAATTGTCTGCTTTCTCCCCCTTTCTTTCAGGGATGCCAGTGATTAATAGATTTGGCCTCTTTACATAATCCCATACTTCTTGGAGGTTTTGTTCATTCCTTTTTATTCTTTTTGCTTTATTTTTGTCTGACTGTCTTATTTCAGAGAACCAGTCTTCAAGTTCAGAGATTCTTTCCTCACCTTGGTTTATTCTGCTGTTAATACTTGTGATTGCATTGTGAAATTCTTGTATTGTATTATTCAGCTCTGTCAGAACAGTTAGGTTCTTTTTTATACCAGCTTTGTCTTTCAGCTCCTGTATCACTTTATTGTGATTCTTATTTTCCTTGGGTTGAGTTTTGCTGCCCTCCTGAATCTCAATGATCTTTATTCCTCTCCATATTCTGAATTCTATTTCTCTCATTCTAGCCAGTTCAGCCTGGTTAAGAACTCTTGTTGGAGATTTGGTAAGGTCGTTTGTAGAACATAGGATACTCTGGCAATTTGAGTTACCAGAGTTCTTGTGTTGGTTCTTTCTCATCTCCACATGTGGATGTTCCTTTAATTGCAGCATAGATTGAGCACAGACTGAAGGTCTTAGTGGAGTGGGTTCACAAGGAGATCTCCTGACTGGAGGGTTGCAAAGATCCATCAGAGAAGCGTAGTATTCTGGGGTCACACATTCATTCACTACTGCTTCCCTGGGCAGGAAGTTTTTTTTTCTTCTTCTTCTTTTCTGGATGTTTTCAACAGGCTGAGGTTTTGTGCAGGGTCTTTATTTGAAGCTGACTTCTTGTCTCTGGTTTCAGAGGGGGGTATGTTAGTGAGGTGTTTTTGGTGTTGAAGCTTTGGGGTGTGATCCAGCAGGTGGTGCTTAGACTTATTGGTCAGTTGGTGGACTTTTGCTTAGTTATGTGGCTCCCCTATGTTCTCTCAGTTGCAGCCACGTTCCCTTTCAATGCTCTGAAAGTGTGGATTCCTTTCCTCCTTGAGTGCTGGCTGTAGACTGTGACTTGGAATTCCTGGGCTGCCCACTGCAGCTCTGGGGTGATCTCAGTATTTATGTTCCTTCCCCATCTTGGAGGCAGCGAGCAAGAGACTTTAGTATGATTATGGCCAAGGGGTGTTTGCTTGTCTCCTGGGGGCTCCAACTCAGGGAGATGCAGGTCAGTAATCGCTCAGTGCAATCAGCCCAGGATGAAGGGTCTGTGCTGAGGGCCCCAGCCAAGGTTTTCCTGTCTGGTGTCAAGCGGTGGAGGGTACGTGGGACCCGTGGGAGATGGACTGGCTTCTTCTCCTTGGGTTGGCTGCAGTATGTTGGAGGTGTGGATAATGCACTTTGGGTCTTTGCTCCTTTGATAGTCTGAGGGTGGCAAGGACAGTTCTGCTGCAGAGGCAGTGGCAGAGGAGGCTTTCAGTTGCCCCTGGAGGCTCTGTCCATGGAGTTGCTGAGTTGCTACTGGCTCAATAGCTCTACTGGTGGATCCGGGGGGTGATGGCTGGAAGTCCAGGCCTGGAGAACCTGCCTGGTGAGGAGATAGGGGAATGGGCACCCATATAACAGTCTTTCCACTTTTCTGTAGGGCTGCTGTGGTATGCTAGGGGCCCACTCCAGTCCCTAGTCACCTTAGATTTTCCAGTACCTGGAAGTATCACCAGTGAACCTATGAAACAGCAAAGATGGCAGCCTATCCTTCCCTCTGGCTTTGTCCCAGGGAGGTACAGGCCTGTTGCCATCCCAAAGGTACCTGTAGGAGGTGGGTAGAGATCCTGTTTGGGGGGTCCCACCCAGTGAGGAGGAATGCAATTGGGGACTTACTTAAAAAAGCAGTCTGGCCACATTTTGGTAGAGTACCTGTGCTGTACTGTGAGTCTACTTCAGTCCTCAGTTTCCCCAGACACTCTGAAACCCAAAGGCTGGAACAGCTAAGCTGCCCAAACAGCAAAGATGGTGGCCTGCCTCTCCCTCTGGGAACACTGTCCCAGGGAGAACTCAACTCTCTGTCAGCTGGAGAACACTGGCAGGGGTTGCTGGAGGCCCAGTTTGAGAGGTCCTGCCCAGTGAGGAGAAGTGGATCAGGGACCTGCTTAAAGTAGCAGTCTATGTTTTGGTAGAGCAGCTGTGATGTGCTGAGGGATCCCTTTCACCCCCAGTGGGCTCAGACTCTCTGAAGCCTGAAAGCTGAAACGTCTCAGGCACCCAAACAGCAAAGATGGCAGCCTGGGTCTCCCCCTGGGAGCTCCTTCTTAGGGAGGTACAATGCCACTACTTGTGGCTGGCTGGAATTCCAAGCCAGTGAGTCTCATCTTGTGAGATGCCATGGAAGTGGGGCCTGCTGACTGTCACTGCTCAGCCTCCTGGATTCAGCCTCTTTCCTATGGGTATGTATGGGGGTCTAACATCCCACTTTGCCAGAGTTGCAGCTACTTTTGCCAGAAAGCTCAAGTAGCTAATGCTCCAGGGTCTCCATGCATGCCTGAGTGGCTGCTTTGCTGAGACTCCACATAGCTCTGTCTGTCAGACAGAAGGCCCTAGTGGAGTAGGTTCACAAGGAGATCTGACTGGAGGGTTGCAAAGTTCCATCAGGGAAGCGTGGTTTTCTGGTGTCACACATTCACTCACTACTTTCCCGGGCAGGGGAGGTTCCCCTGGGTCCATGTTGCTTCTGGATGGCCTGTAGTCCTTTTTTGCTTTTCTTCATTCTCCATGGGTCAAGTTGTTTCCTTGATTAGTCCCAATGTGAGTACCTGGATATTTCAGTTGCAGATGTATTTACTTGCCTCTTCCATTCCTCTCTGTGAGAGCCATGCACACTAGCTGCTTCTAGTCGCCCACCTTGGCCACTCTCATCAAGATTTATTGTTAATTTCTTTATGTCTTCATTTATTCTTCAAAAGGAAGTCCTTGTCCTATATAATCAATTTGCCTTGCTTTTTTGGATTACATGGTCCAAGCATATTATGATTTTGCTCTTCTTGCTGAGGAGGTTATATCCCTTCAACATTCAAATTGTTTTAGACCCTCCATTACCAGCAGCAGTGAATGTCTATTCTTGTGGGCCAGTGGTGAATGAATTGGCCAATCATTGTACTTCTGCTGAGATTCTGAGAGAGGGAGCTTTGCTAATGACTAATGATGGTGAGCAACTTTTCATATGTTGATTTGCCATTTGAGAGTCCTTTATTTATTCTAAGTACAAGTTCTTTACGTGATTGGCAAATATTTTCCCCATTTGTGTCTTCACTTTTCATTTTCTTCTCTGTAACTTATAAAGAGCAGCACTTCCTAATTTTGATGAAATCTCATTTATAAATCTATTCTTTTATGTTTGATGTGTCATGTCTAAGAAACCTTTGCCTAAGTATTTTTCAAAAATTTCCCCTAAATTTTCTTCTTAAAGTTTCAGTAGTTTAGGTTTACTTTCAAGTTATTTTTGTATATGGTACAAGTTATACATCGAGGCTTATTATTCTGAATAAATATAGTCAATTGTTTCAGCACCATTTGTTGAAAAGACAATCCTTTATTCACTGAATTGCCTTTGCACTTCTGCAGGAAATCACTTGTCCAATACTTGGCTGTATTTCAGAACTCTATTCTATTGAACTATTTTTCTGTCTTTATGCCAATATTACACTGTTTTGATTACTTTGCACTATTAAAGTAAATTATTGTAAGTTCTACAGCTTTTATTCTCTCTCTCTCTTTTTTTTTTTTTTTTTTTTTTTTTTTTTCTGAGAGGGAGTCTCACTCTGTCACCCAGGCTGGAGTGCAGTGGCACGATCTTGGCTCACTGCAACCTCCACCTTTGGGGTTCAAGCGATTCTGTGCCTCAGCCTTCCGAGTAGCTGGGACTACAGGTGCCCGCCACCACACCTGGCTAATTTTTGTATTTTTAGTAGAGACAGGGTTTCATCATGTTGGCCAAGCTGATAGCGAACTCCTGACCTCAAGTGATCCACCCTCCTCGGCCTCCCAAAGTGCTGGGATTATAGATGTGAGCCTATAATCCACGCCCAGCCTTACCCTCATTTTTTAAAGTTTTAGTTTCTTTGTATTTTCATAAATATTTTAGAGTCAACTTGTCAATTTCTACAAAAAACTTCTACTGGGATTTTGATAAGATTGCACTGAATCTGTAGATTAATTTGGGGACAACTGACTTTATTTTATTTTATTTGAGACAGAGTCTCGCTCTGTTTCCCAGGCTGGAGTGCAGTGGCATGATCTCGGCTCACTGCAACCTCTGCCTCCTGGGTTCAAGCAATTCTCCTGTCTCAGCTTCCCTAGTAGGTTGGATTACAGGTGCCCGCCACCACACCTGGCTAATTTTTTTGTATTTTTTAGTTGATACAGGTTTTGCCATGTTGGCCAGGCTGGTCTCAAACTCCTGACCTCAAGTGATCCACCCACTTCAGCCTCCGAAAGTGCTGAGATTATAGGTGCGAGCCACTGCCCCTGGTCTACAATTGACATTTTAAATGTTGAATCTAAGTATTTCCTATTTTTAATGGTATTGTAAAATGATACTTGGTTTTATTTAAATTTTGGATAGTTTGTTGCTACTATAGGGGAATTCAATTGATGTTTATGTTGACTTTGAATTGTTCAACCTTATTTAACCCACTTACTTGTCCCAAGAGTTTTTTTGTAGATTTTATCTACAAAGATAGTTTTATTTTTCCTTTTCCAATCTGGATGCCTTTAATTTCTTTTTATTGTCTTGCAGTCTCCCCTTTGAAGTGAAATTCAGAGGTCAGCCAATTACTTAAAAAAAGGTTTTGTTGTTCTTGTTGTTGTTTTTTATCTTACTAATTTCAGGGCTTCCTCCAAAGAATGACTTTCTTATTTCAGATTTTTTTCCCTCTCAATTTTTAGCCATTCTGGTGGCCCCCAATTCTGTCCTTTGGCAACTTAAACCAAGATGTTTTCTTCTTGAGTTCCAGTGGCTGTGCTAAAGTGGGCTGAAGAGGGCCCTCAGAGAAAGTCTGTCTAAACTTGGGTCTTATCCAATGCACATCTTTTTTTTCAAAACTTGAATTCTTTCAAAATTTTGCCTGCTTTTGATCTCTCTCCAATGCCCTCAAATATTTTGTTTAATTTTTTACATTTTGTTTAGAATTTATAATTGTTCTTTGCAGGAGGATGTTGGAGAATAATTCTCCATGATGTTCCTATACATCTTATGATAGCTATTGTCCCAGAAAGTCTTTACTAGGATGTTTGAGTAGAAAATGGCCTATTGTGCCATGAATAAGAAAGTTGGTTTTGTTTTTGTTTTTGTTTTTGTTTCCCAGAGTCTTGTTTCTTCTGCTAGTATCTATGAAACTGTGGCAGGCTAACTTGTTACCTTGCAAATAGAATAAGGCTAAGTGCCTCTGCAGCCCTTGATAGAGGGCCAGTCCTACATCTGTTACTTCTCTATTACCAGAACCTAAACCAATTTCATTTTTATGTAGTGGATATGGTATCCATGATGTGATAGTTGTGTAAATATATTTCACTGAACCATTCCCATACTGACGGGCATTCTATTTGTTTTTGGTTATTTTTTTCTGTCTTTCTCCTTCTGCCACTGTAACCAAACCTAGGTTTGGCTGATAGCCTCTCAAAAGCCAGACACGAGAGATGAGTGTTGGTGGGAGGAAAAGCAGGTTTATCCAGAAAGGCAGCAAAACTGAGAAGATAGTGAAATAGTGTTCTAAAGTACCATCTTAAATTTTTTTCAGTCTGGCTGGAGGGTTTTTATGGGAGAGAAAATATGAGAAAACTAAGTTCAGGGGTTGGGATGAAAAGGAACCAAGGACCACAGACAACTGAGTGCCAATGAGGGTTTGTGGAGACTGGGAACTTCTTTGTCCTTGGTCAGGTCACAGTGCTCCTGTAAATCTTTAACAAAACACAGTTAGTTGTTTATATCCTTCCCTTTAATCCCAGAGTTCATTTCAAAACTACATGATAGCTGTTTTTGAGTTTTATCTCAGTGCTTTAAAATTATCCTAGCCTATGTGCAGGAATGGGTAAAGGCCACTTAAACAAATATGGAGCTAGTTATGTTAGCTCTTTTGCTCTTTCACTGTTACACAACTACAAATAGGGTAGCAGTAAATATACCCTCATTAAAAAAAATACTGTTTTGGTTTGGGTTTTCTTTTTCCAGTTGTATAGATTGCCATGAATATAATGATTTTGTCCTTATTCCAGTTCTGTTGTTTGTCTATTGACTATGTGCATGTTCTTTTTGGCCATACAAAGCATCTTTATGTAGCCAATTAAATCTATCTGAGCTGGTTATTAAATGATTTTTTTTTTCCAGTTCTGAAGCCACTGAAAATCCTAGAGCTGAAACTCTATAAATCACTTTTCTTCCTTGCAACTCACTTCATACTGGATTTGAGGTTCGGGTTTGCAAGACTCGTAAGTTCCTATGTTTTGATAACATCAACCTCTTCTCTGTGTTCTTCCAGCCCTGATTATGGAGTTGCAGTAGTAGTGGTGGTAATAGTGGTAGAGAAACTGCTTTCTGCAATTACTGACTCTAATTACCTCCCTCTATCCTTTCATCTTTTATTTCCTTATTTTTCATTGGGAGTTACATTTTCTGTTCCTGTTATTTTACTTAATATTCTGAAGATTTAAAGTCTAGATATAATAAACATATTTATGCTGCTCTTAAACCAGAGATTGGAAAAATAATGTTCTGTAAATAGCCAGATAGCAAATATTTTAGGCTTTTCAGGCTATAGGATCTTTTTGCAACTACACTACATAAACAAATAGATGTAGCAGTGTTCCAATAATTATTTATAGAAATAGATGATAAGCTGCCAGGAGGGCCCTCAGGGTGGGTCCTCCACTGCTGAGGGCCCAGGAGGGGGAGTATGAAGCCATGGACTTCTCCAAGTACAAAAAGATCTGTTGATGTCCTAAGTTTCAGGACCTGTGAATGTTGCCTTATTTGGAAGTAGAGTCTTTGCAGATGTAATCAACTTAAGATGAGGTCACACTGCATTAGGCTGGGTCCTAAATCTAGTGATTAGCTTTTTTTTTATAAAAAGGCCATGTAAACACACAGACAGACACACAGAGGAAAGATAGCCATGGGAAGACTGAGGCAGAAATTGGAGTGATGCAGCTATAAGCTATGTAACACTGGAATTGCTGGTAACCACCAGAAGCTAAGACAACATAAGGAGGGATTATTCCCTAGAAACTTCAGAGGGAGCATGGCCTTGATAATGCCTTGATTTTTTTATTTCTAGAATAAAAAATTTTTTATTCAGAATTGTGAAAGAATAAATTTCTGTTGTCGAAAAATAAAAGGAAATAGATAATGGGTAAGGTTTTGCCTAAGGCCTGGCATTTGCCAATCCCTGTCTTAAACATCAATGACTTTAGAATGGTTCAATTCTAGTCATACCACCTGTTTCTGACTTACTTTCAAATGTTGCTAAGCAACTTAGCTATATTCTTTAAAATTCTACAAATTGGACATAATTTTATTATTAATTTTTTTCTATATATATATTTTTTTCTTTTTTTTCTTTTTTTAGACAGGGTCTCACTCTGTTGCCCAGGCTGGAGTACAGTGGCATGATCTCGACTCACTGCAATCTCCACTTCCTGGGTTCAAGTAATTCTCCTGCCTCAGCCTCCTGAGTAGCTGGGATTATAGGTGTTTGCCACTATGTCCAGCTAATTTTTGTATTTTTTGTAGAGACAGTGTTTTGCCATGTTGCCCAGGCTGGTCTCAAACTCCTGGCCTAAAGTGATCCACCCACCTCAGCCTATCAAAGTGCTGGGATTGCAGATGGGAGCCACCACACCCAGTCCATAATTTTATTATTAATTTGTTGTTTTCATTTATCTATTTGTTGTTTTAAATTAACATTCAGATGTATCCACATGTTTATTATTTTCTTTACTCACTATTATTTATTTCCCAGATCGTACTTGTGGATTATTTTCTTTATCTTGAATTACAAACTTCTGATTTTCTTTTACCGAATACCTTTTGGTGAAAACCCATTTTATCTGCAAATGTTTTGATTTTACTATCATTCTCAGAAAGTAGTTTCACTGCGTACAAATTTCTAGGTTAAAAGTTAAAAATTACTCTACTGCCTTCTGGTTTCTATTGTTGATGTTGAGAACTCAACTGTTTACTAGTGCCCTTTCTCTCTAGCTGCTTCCAATGTCTTTGGCCGTTTCACTATGATGTGTCTTGATGCGGATTTCATTTATTTAATAAATATGTACTGTACCTACTCTTTGCTGGGAACTCTTAGGAATTTGGGATAAATCAGGAAAGAATGATAATAAGACATTAAAAAATGTACTCTGTGAGAGTACAGGGAGACACAAAATAAAAAACAGCATGTCAGAAAAGTGCTGTGGAAGGAAAAAAGTAGATCATAGTAAAGAAGACCAGGAATGCTGAGAGGATGGGTCAGAGGTAGTCAGAGTATGCTTCATTCAGAAGGTCATAATTGATGAAGGAAGACATAAATGAAGGCATTGGATAAATAAACATGTAGGGGGAAAACATTCTGGGCAAAAGAAAGAACTAGACGAAGGCCTCAGGCCAAAACATCCTTATTCTATTGGAGTAACAACAATGAGGTCAATGTGGCTGGAGTCGAGAAAATACGGAATGGCATAATAGGAGATTAGTAGGTTAAAGAAGTGCAAAGGGCAGACTACGTAGGGCCATTACAAGAATCTGAGACTTGGGAATGGTGTGGTGGCTCACGTCTGTAATCCCAGCACTTTGAGAGGCCGAGGTGGGCAGGTCGCCTGAGGTCAGGAGTTCGAGACCATCCTGACCAACATGGAGAAACTCCGTCTCTACTAAAAATACAAAATTAGCCAGGCATGGTGGCACATGCCTGCAATCCCAGCTACTTGGGCGGCTGAGGCAGGAGAATCGCTTGAACCTGGGAGGCGGAGGTTGCGGTAAGCCGAGATCACACCATTGCACTCCAGCCTGAGCAACAAGAGCGAAACTCCGTCTAAAAAAAAAAAAAAGAAAAAAAAAGGATTTTGAGACTTATTCAAGGTTCTACACAAAGGAGTGACAAGAAGTGATCTGTTCTAAAAGAATCACTATGATTGTGGTGTTGAAAAATAGGTGTTGGGGCTGAGGGTAGAAGTAGGAAGAATTGTAGTAATTGAGTACAGTAATTAGGTGAGAGATGATGGTAGTTGCTGCAGTGATAATGATGAGATGGGGTCAGATTCTGGATATATTTTGAAGGTAGAGCCAATAGGTTTTCTATCAGATTATAATTGGAGTGTGAGAAAGAGAGAAGAGTTGAGGATCTGAGTAATCAATCAGTAGGATGGAGTAGTATATCAATCTCCCTTGGAATTCATGGACTTCTTCAAGATGACTAACACTGGAAAATAATTCTGGTACATCCTCAGCCATTACCTTATTTCTTCTTTCTGGAACTCCAGTAAAAGGTATTTTAGAACTTTCTAACTGTTTTCCATGTTTTTACATCTCTTTGTTCATATTTTTCATCTGTTTGAGCTTCTTTCTGGATAATTTCTCCAGATTCATTATTTACCTTTATTAATTTTGTCTTCATCCAGGTGTAATTTATTCGACCTATACACTGAGTTTGAATTTCATTAGAAAATTTTCATTCCTTGTTTTTTGAAACTCCAGGAAGTGAGATGGGACGATTTCAATTATCTCCATTCGTTTTCTGGTTTTCAGAGATAGCTGTCTTTCATTACCTAAAACCAATACCTTAAAAACCAATGTTAATTTGTCTGTTTTGATTTTTAGTCATCTCTGTAGAAGGGTAAATATGGTCCCTGTTAGTATGACTTAGAGGCAGAAGTGACCTCAAAAATGACATTTAACCTCCCTTAACCGTAAGTGAAAGCACATGAAAGACAGCAAATAAAAAGGGTTGGGATGGAAAGGAACTTGATGTGTTCTAATGACTAACAGAGGGGGTGTTCTAATAACTAAGCAAACAGTCAGTAAGTGGAGAAGTGGCTTCTGATGAGGGTGAAAAGGAATGCAGGGCCCCGATCATGCAAGGACTTTCTTCTTGCATTTTTAGAACTGTATATAAATTGGTATGTATCAGTTTGTGATTATTGTATCATCTTTATAAATTGTGCCTTTTACTTTTTTATAGTGTCCTTTGATTCTGCTTGGTCCTTTAAACTTTAGTTCTACCTAGTCTGAAATTAATATAATAACTACTTTATTTTTGTTGCATATGATGGAGATCTCTTTACTTACCTCTTTATTTGTAATACAGTCATACTTTGGTCAATGATAGACCTCATATGATGATGATCCCATAAGATTATAATACTGTATTTTTACCATATTTTTTCTATGTATAGGTAAGTTTAGATACACAAATACTTACCATTGTGTTACAATGGCCTACAGGATTCAGTACAATAACATGCTGTACAGGCTTGCAGCCACAATAGGCTATACAGCCAGGTGTGTAGTACGCTATACCATCTAGGTTTGTGTAAGTATATTCTGTGATGTTCACACAATGACAAAAATCACCTGATGACATGTTTCTCAGAGTGTATCTCTCTCATTAAGTGACATATGATTGTATATCTTTTATCATTTTGTTTTTACTGTGGTTTTTATAAATCATACTTCACCTGGGTTTCTTTTTTAAATAAATCTGACAATTCATTTATTTTTAAAGGCAATTTATTTTATTTGCTTTTTCCCTAAGAATGGAAATATGTTATTTGATGATTTGTTCTGTTTTATGATTTGTTTTCTGTTGCTTTTCCCTCAGTTTTTCTTTGCTTTATTTTTGTAGTTGGATCATGTATGGTTTGATTCATTTTTTTTTGTTTGCTAATTTGGAAAAACAACTATACTTTTCTATTCCATTAATTATTACCTTACTTTTTTATATACTTATAATCTTCCATCTATTTTTCTGCTATTATTTAAAAATACATTAGCGGTTATTTAATCTGAGGTGTTCTATTACCCTCCAAGTTATTCTATTTTCCCCTGCTCCCACTCTTATTAGGTGAGACCTTTAGAATATCTTAATTTCTAAATTAAGAAACTTAGTTTCTGTCTACCTATTCTATAAATAGATGTCTACCTCACTCTCAACTACATGTGGAAAAATTTTATCTTCCTCTTTCCATATCCGCTGTATCAATTATTAGATTTTGCTAAACTAATTTAGTATTTTTTAGGTGTAGGTCATTATTGGAATTTCCATTGAGATTATCAGAAATTTCTCTGTTTTAGATGCTTGTTTTACATTTAAATAACATTAACAATAATGTCATTATTTAATATACAATAACATTACATACATTTAAACAACACTTTCTCAGAAAATCTAAGAGACAAATCCATTCAGACTTACCTATCTTCTCTACTGTTTCCTTCTTTCTCATCAATGCTCACTTTGAGGTCTCTGTTTTGCATCAGTTTTTAGTTTGAGTGAAGGTTTTTCTTTTTTTTTGTTTGTTTGTTTTTTTTAGTTGGGGTATGTGATCTGTTCTTTGAATTTTTGCATATCTAAAATATCTTTCAGGCTCTCTGGTGAATAATTTTTTGGCCGGGTAAAGAATTTTGGATTGCAGTACATTTCTCTCATTAGTCTCCCATAGTCTGTTTAAAACTCACTTTATTGTTGAGTTCTCTTAAGCGCCACTAGTGATAGGAAAGATGTGGACTCTCAGAGCCAAGATTTATTTTATTGCTTTCTCCGACTACCAATGTTATATATGAAAATCTGATGCTAACATGAGTCTTTTCTCTTCTAAGTAACTTACTATTGTGTTTAAAGGTTTTTATTTATTGTTCCTAATAGCTTAAAAGTTACCAAAATATGCCTAGGTGTGTCTTTTTCACCATCTTGCCGGAACTCATCAAGTCACTTGAATTTGCAAATTCAAAATTTCTTCAGTTTGGATAATTATTTTCTTACTACATGTTTAATCAATTTCTTATCCTCCATGTGTTCTTTTTTCTCTTACTGGAAACTCTTATTACTTTCATGTTATATCTCTTGACTCTATCATCCAACTCTCTTATCTTTCCCATTGCTCCTCTCAAAGATGTCCAGGTCCTAATCCCTGGAACCTGAGAATATGCTACCTTGCAGATGTAATAAAATCAAGGATCTTGAGATGGGAGAATTATCTTGTATTACCTAGGTGGGTTGAGGTGATAACAAAGGTTCTTTTGTAGGGATGTTTCCTTTTACAAGGGAAGCAGGATATCAGGGAAGATGGGGAGGATGCTACACTACCTGCTTTGAAGATGTAGGAAGGGGCCATGAGCCAAGGAGTGTAGGTGGCTTCTAGAAGATGAAAATGGCAAGAAACACATTCCCCCTTAGAGCCTCCAGAAGGAACACAGTCTTGCAGACTACTTTTAGACCTCTGACTTCTAGAACTGTAAAATACATTTGTGTGTCCTTAAGCCACTATGTTTGCAGTAATTTGTTACAGCAGCAATAGGAAATTGATACACTATCTTTTTATATTTTTAAACTGTGGCTTGAAATTTTTTTATGTACTGATCACTCATGCCTCTAATTTGAGTATCAAAAATGTTAGCCTCTTCTTCATGTCTGCTAGTAAAGTGATGTTTTTTTTAACTCCATAATCTTTTTTCTATGTATTCTTGAGTCTCTGAGTGTCCTCATGGTTTTATTTATGTTGTTGTATGCCTTTTTTACTGTGTATCCGGTCTTGCCTAATATTCCTCTTTCTGGTTGCTCGGCCCTATGTGATGTGGTACTATTTTTCTTTGCCAGCCCACTGGGAATTGTGCAGGGTATGGGAAGTACAGCTGTCTCTCTCCCTGGTCCAACTGTTTGGAAGCAGGAAAGGGGTTGTTCTAGCCAAGACACCTGGAGGAAGCCTCTCTACTTTCTGGTCTCCTTATACTCTTCCAGGCTCCAGGGCCAAAAGGACCCAGTCCACCATTGCAGCTCCTCCTTGGTCTCTTTGGAGCCAGAGAGATTCTTCACATGCTCATCCAGGGTTGCATCAAACTTTCCACCAGGCATTCAGAAACAACTTTCGTTATGATTGTCTCCCTGGGGCTTGCTGATGCTGGTTTCCAGAACTAACTCCGACTTCAGGGGTTAGCTCCATACCACTTCTTCCACCTAGGATGTCTACTGAGCACGAGGCTTCACTTGGATTTGGTTTTTTCTTGGCATCAGCAGCTATTTGACTCAAGTGGAGCAGAGTGATTGGAATTAGTACAGGAGACGAAGAATGCTACACTATCTTCCTGGAACCCCAGGGTCTAGTATTATTTTTTTATCCTTTTGAATAATTATAATTTATGTGTCCCACTTTTTCCCATTAAGTTTAATTTATATAAGCACAATTATAATTTTTCAATGCTGTCATCTTCATTCAAAAATTAATCTTTACTCTGAGATCTATCTTCACTTGGCTCCTCAGAGAAGGTTAATACATTTTCAGATATTTTGGAGATCTAGGAATTTCATTTAAGTGACGTTCCACATAATCAATGTCTTGAATCATTCTTTTTGACCATTTATAAGAGAGATTGCTTCAGATATAACTCCTTCTTTCTGGCCTTGATTCATCCAGAGGAGAAAAAATGTCTCTGATTGTTCATTTTCTCTCCCTTTAAATATAATGCTCATTTCAGATTGTAAGTTTGCAAAATCATTTTTACTTGTTGCCAATTATTTTTTAAAACCTGATACATGGTGATGCCTATTTTTAATCTTAGTTGCTGTTTTATTTATGTTTAGAGCTTTTTTCTATTTTACCTTTTTATCAGTGATCCTAACATCTGTTCCTTCTGTGTTCTTTGCAATGTTGTTATTTGTAGGCTAGATTACTATGATTTGCCCTCCTTGATTGACATCTTTTGCAAATTTTTAATATTTATATTTATTCCTTCAGTGACCAGAATATGATTGTCACTTTTGTCTTCTATTTGCTGATTCAGTGTTTTGTCTTAAAGCCTGCATTTTTATGTGAAGTGAAATTTTATGTTTATATGTGAAGTGCATTTTATGTTTCAAGTGAAATGAACGTGTTTGAAGTGCCTACTATGTGCTAGGAATAGGTATATAATAGATTTTTTTTTTCATGGTAGGACTTTAGCCTATTGTGTTATTCAACTCGAGGGCACCATCTACTTTGTATTTCTCAGGGATGTACAATGAGATGTTTCTGACCACCCTGGAACGTACCATTAACCTCATTTTACATATGAAGAAATTTATACTCTAGAGGTTGATGGATTTTTTCATGATCATATAGTGAATAAATAACCAAATCAGTTTTAATTCAAGTATGTCAGAATTCGACTTCCACACTCTTTCCATACCATCATCTAACAGCTTCTCATAATAACCAGCTCTTGGCTGCTTTCAACAACAAATTTAGTGGGTCTATTGTGGATTTCATTTTGTTTTTATTTTATCCTGAACTGTTCTTGTTTAATAGTCTGTCCCATTTTATCTTTTTGAGAATAGATTTTATACCTTTTCTAAAATTTTCTTGCAGCAAATCTATTTCTGGGGTGTGCTTATCTCTGAGCTCCTGCAGTTTTGTTCTGCTTTAGTATAGACAGAACATTGCAGTGAAAAACAAGTTTTTTGATGATCCAGATTATTTTTTTCTGTTTACTCACACTACCTTGAATTTAACTGATGGAGCTTTGTGTTTCTGTTGAAAACAGTCTTTGTGTGAGCTATTTTGCAGTCATATATGGTTTTTAAAGGCAAGAACTGAGATGTAGCTATCTATAGTTTTTGCGTGTTTATTTATTTTGAGAAATCCACATCTGCATAACATGACAATTCCCCAACCTTATATTAATATTTCAATGTTTTGAAAAGGATGGTTGCCCCTTGAAGAAACAATATTCTTTTTGCTGTGTATCCCTGAAATTTTCCAACCCCATCTAAGGTAGGGCTACTTTCCTACAGAGCAATCAGCATCCTGTGACTTCCAACAAGTTCTACTAATATTATTATTTATTATGATAATTTTTGAATTCTGTATTCTAAAAAATACCCTTTAAATAATGAAGGTTGACTTATTTTGGAAACTAGATTATTCTCAGTAGATGTTCTCAAGTTACCACGCATAAAAACCTGCCCTGTACCTGCAAAATGTCCACTTACTTGACTTTTCTTCAAAATGGATATGAGTTTATTTTATTAAATTTCCTGCTTGTCTGATAATACCAGAGGAATATTCTATTTGTTCGTTTAAACAACTTCGTTCTTAAGTGTTTGGCTTGGAGCAAAGAAACTAAATTAATCAGGGTTGCATGTTCCTGTCCAGTGACTTATCTGAAATGAAATTGATGGCCTGGTCTTAAGTTATACAGGTGGCTCTTGCTATTAAAATAAATTCCACATATAAAAATTTACTTTAGCCAGACATGTAAGGAAGGAAAACATTTGTCTATTGTTTTCAAACGCAGTTTGGTTTTTAAGGTGTCTTTAGTCCAACCTTACTTCTGTTGTTAAACTGTTCTGCTAAAAATAGTTCAGAATAGTTCAAAGCCACATCTTCGATGTTCCCATTTATAATCTGTTGAATTTACTTCGTTGATGAATAAATGGATTAAATTTTATGGGTGAGTACTTTTCAACAAAGTAATTCAAACGTTATTAAGCCCTTTCTAATTGTATCTGTGACTTCAAACAACATTTCAATGTTTCATTTAAATAAGTTTTTAACCAAGATCAAATTTTGGTGTTTAGATTCCTCTTTCTTTCCGTCCAGGAGCAATGAAATAAAGGTTTACTAAATCTACTAAGCTACATTACCTGCTAAATACATGAATCAGGTCACCTAAAAATGTCAACTAGTTGGCCAGGCATGACAGGGATCTTGAATAGATCTATTAAAAGATGTGATGGGTAGTAAAGGCAAAATAGCAAAAAAGGTATGAAGAGTTGAGAGATAGAGAGTGACAAACCTCAGAATGGGAGGTTTTTTTGTTTTTTTTTTTTTTTGAGATGGAGTCTCACGCTGTCACCCAGGCTGGAGTGCAGTGGTACAATCTCCGCTCACTGCAACCTCTGCCTCCTGGGTTCAAGCAATTCTCCTGCCTCAGCCTCCGAGTAGCTGGGACGGCAGGTGTAAGTTACTATGCCTAGCTAATTTTTGTATTTTTAGTAGAGATGGGGTTTCACCACATTGGCCAGGCTGGTCTCAAACTCCTGACCTCAAGTGATCCACCCACTTTCATCTCCAAAAGTGCTGGGATTACAGGCATGAGCCACCGTTCCTGGCCAGAATGGGAGTTAAGTGATTGATAATGTGCTCATTAATAATGATGTCTGTAAGAGGCTGTGCCTATCTCAACCTCAGCTGACCTGGTCTTGTGAATCACCACACCGGGCCAAAGCAAATGGGTCTCATAGAAATGAATGTGCACATCAAAGACATCAAGTATCAATAAGCTAGGAAACCTCTGGTACTTACACATATTGGTAGGGGCAGCTTAGATAGAATGGAAAGAGTAAACAAAATTGAGGAATTCCTAAATGTGTAATTAATTGGGAAGAAGATTTCTTATAGGAAGTTTTAGTTTATCATTTATAAGAAGCTATAAACCACCTTCCTTACAGCAGTGGGTTTCCTTATGCAAAACTACACTTTGTGCAGCTTTAGTAAATCATGCCCCTTAACAGCACTGGCTACAGTTCATCACTCTTTGGGGATAAACAGGAAAAGAAGAATGAAAATTTATGAATAGGAAATAGAAATAAAGCAAATGGTAAGAAGAAAAAATATTCCCTTAACAAAATATTGGCAAGATGAAGGAAGCTGAAGGTCCTAGAACTTAGATTTAACAGTACTGCTAGGATGCTTTCACGGAGACAGCTAAGCTACATAACCCTGGGGTTTACAGAAGACCCTCAAGAAATAACTCTTAAAATATCCTGAATATCTAAAATGTTACCCCAATAATCTCACTATTTGTTCATTTTCCCAGTGGTACCTATATTTGACCATTGGGACAGGCACTCCTCACCCCTAAAGATGTCAGTAAATTAATAAAAATTCATGCAGGTAGCAAAATTCCCATAGGCCCTTTCAAACCATGACCACTTTTGCTTTTAAATTTCCCTTCGTAGTTCCTGTTCTCATTAGGTTTTGGTCAACCACTCTCAGTTTTGGCAACATCCTTATTCCTTTACACCAGAACTTCAGCCAGAAATCCTCCCTCTTCCTGGTCTTTATCTTGGATGCTAAATTTGTGTAGAGGAAAAGCGAGTTCACAACTAAGACATCAAATCAGAAAGAAATTGCAAGTTTGTATGTAGAACCAGATACAGAAAAAATATCTCTCAGTATGTATTTTATTTTGAATTAAAAGTTCCACTTGTCTTAGATCCAAAATGTTAAAAGAAAAAAAAAAGTTTGAGAGACATGAGTTGTATAGTTCTCTGTCTCCAAGATGGCCAGAGCCACATATAAAACTCTCAGGACCATGAGATGATACTTTTGGAGGAAACCATTGCTCTTATCCTTCCAAATCTCCACGATCATTTAGGTCTATAACATACTAAAAACAAAATCTTTGCTGCTTTTGGGAAAAAGAAACTATTTTTTTCTGCTTAGAGTTCTCTGGCTTTCTCTTGGATGACTCCCCTTAGCTGGGTTCTTTCTGGGGGTATTTCTTCACAGCCTCTTATGTAAAATTGATGATAGAGGATCTCAAATTTGCCCAGAGTGAAAGACTTGACATTCATTGTAGAATTAATAGCCCTACATGATTTTGCTCCTGCCTGTGTCTCCTACCTCATCACTTACCTTGCTTGGGCCACATTGGCCATTTTTCCTTTCCTCAAAAATGTCACTTTTCCTCGTGGATCTTGTACTTGCTGTCCCTTTGCTTGGAATGCTGTCTCCAGCTCTTCACATGACTATATCCTTCCCATCATGTTGTCACCTCTTCAAAGAAGCCTTTCCTTATCACCTTACTGAAACCAGCATTTCCTCACCCAGCAGCGAGTTGTTTTCTGTAACCACTATTCTAATTTATAGTCTTCATAGCAGTTATCAAAATTATTAGGCTTATTGATTATTTTCTGTCTCTGCCCACTAAGTTGTAAGCTTCATGAGAGCAGGGCGCTAATCTGCCTTGTTTATGGCTGTATCCCCAGCATCTAGCACAATGCCCAACACATAGTAAGTGTTCAGAAAATATTTTTGCACGAATAAATAAATAAATAAGTGAACAAATGAGGATAGTCACAACCTTTCTGTCCCACCTCATAGAAGGTGAGGTCTTATGTGTTGGAGAACTCAGATGATCCTGAGAGCCTGGAGATACAGTCAGGAAAGAGCATCAACACGACCCTTTAGTGAAGATGAGCACTTAGATGCCGTGTCTCCTCACTGCTGCCTCACAAATGGTAAATACAAAGAGAAGTGGGCTGCTGGCACTCCATCCATCAAAAGGCCCCTGCATCTGTCTGGGTTCTTGCAGGAACCTGATGAAAATGGCTTAATAAAGGGAATTCTTCACAAAGAAGGGGGCCATATGTAAGAGAAGCAACAGGAGTGGTAGAAGCTCAGGGATTGAGAACCACACCTGTCATTACCACCCCAGGCAAGAAGGCACAAAGAAATGGTCATTGAAACCTGACAGTGCCTGAGGCCTTCATTAGAGAGAAGTAGCTGACCTCCAGGGACATGGCGAGGGGGGCGTGGAGGTGGTGGAGGAGAATACCTTACCCTTCTTTTCTTGCCTCCTGATCTCAGGACGGCAGGGGAGCCTGCTGAGGCATCAAACAGGATAAAGTGGATCTGGAGGAGCTAATGAAAGATCCAGAACAGCACCCCTCACTCAAACTGTCAGTGAAAGCCAGGAACTCTGATATACTCACAGGGTATCTGGCTTCTGTATTAGATACATAATTTTTCCTGGCAAAAGCTAGGGAAACACAGTATATTGACCAAAAGCCTGGGCACTGGAGCTGGACAGCTGTTGAATGTTGGTTCCTTTACAAACTAGTTGTGTAACTGAATGTATCAATTCCCTCACAGGTAAAATGGGATCAGAGAGATTCGTTGTGGGGATTAAACACCTTGAGTAACTTAATATGTATAAATGCTTAGAAGAGTGCCTGACAAATAGTAAGTCTTTAATAAGTGTTCATTTGTTTTGTTTATTTTGTTTTTTGTTTTTATTTTTAGAGACAACATCTTGCTCTGTCACCCAGGCTAGACAGAGTGCAGTGGTACAATCATAGCTCACTGCAGCCCCTAATTCCTGGACTCAAGCAATCCTCCAGCTCAGCCCCCAGAGTAGCTGGGATTACAGGTGTGTGCCACCATGCCCATCAGTTTTGCTATAGGCTTCTTGACTTCAATGTCTTGACATAGTCTAGTCCCTAAGCTCTCAGAACTAGCATCAAGATATATAACAAATTGTTTGGCTGAGTTGGTAGCTTAGTTATAGGACTTTAAACTGAACATTTGTCAAATCCTTCAGTTTGGGGTCCTAATTTGGGATTTCTTCTTTATTAATGCCTGTCTTACACTGTACAACATTACGTTTGATTAAAAAAAGGTGACTGACTCTCTTGGAATGTTCTTTTACAAACCTCCTATGAACATTGAATCCAGGACTACCTTTGACTATCTAAATTAATAGCTTGGATTCCATCTTTTCAGAATTGAAACTCATTTCTTGTAACTTCCTAATGTCCTGTAGATTTTCCTCGAGGCTTAGCAGAATGAGCATTTTTCAAAGGACAAATCCAAGGAAGCCCAGTGCCTTCAGGAGAGGATGGTCAGGCTCTTCCAAGGTCCTGATGAGGACACTGATGTCATCTAAATTAATTAGCACGCCCATGAATTAATGTCCAGGTCTCCTTTTTCATTAACAACTAGAAGGCAGCAGAGTCCTCTAGGATCCTTTGTAGCATTCTTTCATATTCCCCAAAGCGAGATGAAAGCTGTCTTTTCTTGGCCTCTTCTACTCTAGACATTCGCTAATGACTTCTCATCAGGTCGAGCACTAAATCCACTAAATTTCCAGCAGCCCTAGCATACATTGTAGAATGCCATTCCAGTGATCAATGATGCACACATACCTAGATTTTATCCATTTTTCTCAATTGTAAAATAAAAGCACTTGAGCATATACATTTTTAAAAAACACTATAGTTTCTCATATGTGTGTATACATATACACTGCAGCAGCCAGCCCCAAATACCACTTTACTTAACATCACATTGGAAGAAGATTAAAATTTAACAATGGATGGTAAATTGGATGTCAATTGTACAGACCTATTGTTAATTTGTGTGAAGGGTCTGTTTTGCCTTTTTAGTTAATATAAATATTTAGTTAAAATAAATAGTTCTTGAATTCACTTCAAACAGCAGACCGCTGATGTTGAATTCAATTCCAAAATCAGTTCAGGAGACTGATGTTGGAAGTAAATTCAAGAAAACCCTACTATTGCTGTCTTCTAATTTAGGGGTTTTCAGGAATCTATTTGGGTACTGGGATTACTGTTCTTTCACTGGATAAACACAAGAAACCATCCTTCACAATTGATGGCTATAGGTCATAAGGACAATAGCCACAGAAGCCAAGAATCACGTGTTCATCAAGCCGTGGGATCACCTGAGATAAGCATGAGAGGTGGGATGGAGCAAAGAGGATTAAAAATTCTTGAAGTCAGAGTAAGACAAAAACAAAGATAATGATCCACAAATATCATTAATTATCAATATTTTAAACCCCTTGAGTTACAAAAAAATAGAACCAAATGTTCATTATCTTGCCAAGGAATTAAAACATAATGTGGCTAGAACAGGAAATCTTGGGAAACCAAAAATGTCAAATATAAATGAAACTTTGGTATAAATGTGCGCAGTATTTATATCTTCAGAACGGACAATGTACATGGTATTCTTTAACGACACATGAATACATTTCTTACCCCAAAATACGAGACCATAGTTCAATAAATACAAAAGTGTACATGTTACTCTACTTGCAATTTGTATATAATGCATATTTTTAAATGTCAGCCTACAATTTGACTCAACTTTCTAAAATTCACAATTATGCATATAATTACAGTGTAAAAATACTTTTCAAAAATATAAAATTTATTTTTATTGTATAGGACAGATTTATTATTTTGGATTTAAGTGTAAGACCGCAGTTTCTTTATAAAAATACCAGATTCCAATTTTACAAGTTATTCTATTGTCTGGAAGTAAGTAAAAGTTTGTCTTTAATGAGATGTTTGATACCGAAGTTTTAAAATTCTTCTTAAGGCTTCAAGAAGCTACCTTTCTACAATATAAAACAATATATTATTTTGATAGATTCTGAGAAAATAAGAAGATAGAGATTAAAAGCTGAATAGTTTCTTTTCCCAGGTCTTAGCATTTGCCAAGCAACTGCTCTCTGATATTGACAACGATTTGAGAAAACTACATCTTCCTTTATATTTCTTTTCATCATAGGGATCCTATACACTTTTCTGAGTTGTTAGAAATTCTTTTTTGATCAGGGGCTTATTTCCTGTTCTGCTATGAGCACATACACAAACATCTACTCTTTTCTCTAGAATAATTAGAATCATTTGCTAGCTGGTAGTTTCAGCTGGGCTTTAGAGTGGGGACTTAGGACACTTTTTATTGTTATCTAATTAGTTGTCTGCAAATTAAAGTGTGGATTTGGGTAGTCTTGCTTGGACTTCCTATACTTTTCCTATAAAGTGAGAATTCATTAATCTTCCTCTTTGAACATAGGGTCTGGTCATTTCCAGCAGGCACAATTATTTTTATGTGTTCAGTTTGCTAGAAAAATGCAAGCATGGGCCCTTTTAATGCATCTTTTTATTCTAATTGTTGAACTGGGGTGCATCGAAAGTGGTGAGCCTGTATACAGTTAGTCAGAAATAGTCTAAACCTAGAGTGTGTTAATAGAGAAGAGGAAATTCAAGTTGACATTTGCATCACCTTTTTAGGATTTAGGTATTTAAAGATTTAAGGAAGTAGTTAGTGTCTTCTTCGCATTATGACCTTCCTAATGCCTACTACCAAAAGAAAAGGAAAGGAAACAAGAAGGAGAAAGAGGAAGAGGAGGAAGACAACGAGGAGAAGGAGGAGGAGGAGAAGAAGAAAAAGCACTTCCTCCTATCTGGGATGAGAATCAGCACAGAGAAGTAGGAGTAAGTGATTTTGGGTTAAGAAAACCAGTCTGCTCAGGGTAACATTTCCCAAAGTGTCTGCCTTTTGAATTTGTTCAGAGAAAAAAGATTTCACGTCAATTTAATGACCTTGGAACCTGGGCAATTTGCTTGACTTCTCTAAGCCTCAATTTCCTAATCTGAAAGATAGAGATAGTTTTCACCTGTGGCATTAGATTGTTCTGGGGATGAGATGAGATAAGGGGCTGAGCATGAGCCCCACACAGCATCAGCTTGAAAAATGGTAGAATTTTCAGGATCCTTGATATCCAATGGGCACTATGAACTTTCAGTAGACTGATGTATAATTTGCAGTATGTCTCTACTGCATTTGACAATAGCATTTCCTTTTTTTTTTTTTTGAGACAGAGTTTCGCTCTGTCGCCCAGGCTGGAGTGCAGGGGCGCGATCTCGGCTCACTGCAAGCTCCGCCTCCCGGGTTCCGCCATTCTCCTGCCTCAGCCTCCCAAGTAGCTGGGACTACAGGTGCCCGCCACCGCGCCCGGCTAATTTTTTCTATTTTTAGTAGAGACGGGGTTTCACTGTGTTAGCCAAGATGGTCTCCATCTCCTGACCTCGTGATCCGCCCGCCTCGGCCTCCCAAAGTGCTGGGATTACATGCGTGAGCCACCGAGCCCGGCCGACAATAACATTTCTTATTTTATGTCATGCATTTGTGGGATTATTATCTTGTGTAAAAGTCTTTAGAAGATGCTTCTCAAGTAAGTGTTTTATATACAACATAAACATACATATTCCAATAAAAGAAAGTAATTTACAGATAAAACAAATACATTTAAAAATAAGTTATGAAACATTTAACAATAATATCAATTTATCTTAAACCTATTCCCAGTTATTTTAAACACTTACAGTACAACCACTAAAGTAACATATTAGTATTTATTTGCCAAGTCATCAGACAACATTCTCTCTTGCTTTGATTCCTTGTTGGTTCTCATAGCCCTAATCTCTATCACATACTGGCTTTCATTCTTAGCCGCTTACAAAATTGACTATGGGCTTCCTTTTCAAAAAGGTCTACAAATCTAGACTTTTCTGACATTATCTCCAAGGCTGTACAAATAGTCAATGTGATTTTGTGTTTGTGTTTATGAAAAGCATTAATATATCATATAACTTTAAACTATGTTCTGTTTTGATATTTGTCCATGTTGTAATATACTAGCAAATGGGGAGGGGGCGTGGAAGTGCTCAGCTCTGTGTCACTCTGAGTGGCTCTGTGCCTTCGATCAATTGTGCTAATATGCTAGCCCTGATGAGATCTCACCATGTTGCCTTCTAAACCTAACCTTCCTCCTTAGGGCCAATAGTGACTCCATCATCCTTGTAAGTTTATTCACTTTTCCTCTAGGATTAAACAGAGGCCAAATGCTGTTGAGTCTGTCCTCCTATCTGCCTTTCCATCTGCATTGCTAGTCACTGGGCTAATCTACAACCTTTTCCACCCCTCACCTGGCAATAACTTCCTACTTGCTTTCCTTGTCTCTAATCTCTTCCTACTCTTACCCTGTGTAGTGCTGATAGATTAAGATCTGAAAACATGGCCCTAAGCTTGCTACTTGCCCTGCTTAAAAGTTACCTGTGACTCCTCACTCACTACAAAACAAAGCTCTTATAAAGTCAATGTAAGTCCCAGTACTTCATCATAAATATTGTTTCTCCCATATCTCCACAGATGGAAAAAAATTCATCCCCCATTATCCCGCTAAAAGCCATTTTCTCTATAAAAACCACTTTGACTCTCTTTTCTTCTGCCACAAGCACTTTATCTTTACCTGGAAACACACACACACACACACTATATATATGTGTGTGTATATATATATTTGTATTTACCTGGCACATGCTGGTTTATTCTTACCTTTATGTATTTACCTGGTGTGTGTGTATACATATGTGTGTATATGTATTTACTAGATGAAAAATACTTACATATATAAAAGTATAATGTGTATATATATTCACACAATACATATACTATATATATATGGTCTTACATGTATATATAAGATACATATATAAGATGCATATATATATATATATATATATATATATATATATATATATAATCTTCTTAACTTTAAGCATCTTAAAGGCAAACTCTTATCCAAATCATTTTTGGTCTCCTCCATAGTGAGAAAGGTAAAATTTAGTCACAAGTAATTATATAAGGGAGAACGGACAGGCAAGGGAGAAAGCAAACTGGAGTGCTATATTATTTGATTAAAGGAACTAACATAAAAATATTTAATATGACTTTTCCAATGTTGTCAGTTTAGACAATCACAATGCAGAGAGAATGTGCATGCTTGCCTCCTCCATTGTATGTTTTTTAAAAATCTCTCTTAATGACTCGTTATACTCTGGAAGCTCCAAATCTGGTTTTGGGTATCCTGAGCAAGCAAATTAAATGCTTCATATGTCAAGGCTTGAATCAATATTACTATTTTAGGCAAAGATTCGGAAACTCCAAATTGGGTTGAGTCAGCTCTTTTCACTGGAAGGGACTTTTTACACCTAGAAACAGATGAAGAATTGAGGCCCAGAGACCTAACTAACCCAAGGCCACACAACTATTTAAATTAGCATGAGATGCAGCACTAGTATCCAGAACTAATGATTCATCTTTCAGTGGTCCTTCTCAGTTGACAAACATGGCAGAAGCCATCTGCTTTGGATTTGCCTAAGCCTACCTTTTCTTTTGTTTGTAATGCTAATTCTGGTACTAGTGCATCACCTGTGACGTAGATTGGACATGGACTGGAACACTGCGCTGTTTCTTCAAAAGTGAGGCTCTTGTCCCTTGACTGGTCAAAGTTGTATTTTTTTTTTTCTTTTAGATTGAAGGTGGTTTATATTCCAAGTGGTTGAGGCCAGGTAAGAAACTATAAGACAGAACAGGAGAAACAATACTAGGTCCCAATCAAAGCACCAAAGAGAAAATGTTAGAAACTAGACCAAAAGCGTTTTTATTTTAGTTATATGAGGAAAGGAAGATTATTCAGTCTACATGGTAACTGGCCAGATCTGCTTTAATTATGAATTTTGAATCACCTTCTATGCCAGCCCAACCTCTGATTAATGAACTAAATGGCACTAAAATTAATTTGCCTATATTGAACATGGCTTAATGAGATTTCTTTATATAAAAAGATATTACTGGCCTCCCTCTTCCAAGAATTTAAAGAAAATCTTGAAGTCATATGATCAGTAGCCATATTCTGTTTTTTTGTTTGTTAAAATATTACCCTGGTTTCTTTTTTATATTCCTTCATTTATAATCTGTTGAGCACCTACTGTGTAACAGCTACTCTTTAAAGAAGCACACATCATCCTTTTTATCAAAACTATGACTGAACAACTGCATTCAAGCTGATGTCTGCTATTTACTGACAAACAACTAAAAACAGTCACATCACCTCAAAGCTGGTTTCTCTTCCTGCATCTCCATGGGTGACACAAGTAAGCCTGCATCTTTCCTCTTTTTCTATCTCAACTTCTTTTCATGGTCTGCTGTGTTTTCTCTGTATCCCTTGCTGCTTTTGGTTCCAGGCCCTTCTTTCTTAAGATGAAGTTTCTGAATCACTGCTATCAGCAGGGAGTCAGGCAGCATGCAGAATAGTCAGAGGCAGATCGTTGGAAACTCGTGGCTTTTTAATTTAAAGGTTGACTAGGTTACCCTGTAGCAAAGAGGTGTGTTTTCTCATTTGTTTGTTTGTTTCTTTTGTGATTTTTCTTTTCATAGGTTCACAAAAAGGAGGTGAGCCAGATGGTTCCTGGAAAGAAAAGAACAAAGAAATTGCAGTAATCACAAGCCCTGGGCAGAGATAACCACAAAACCTCACCTTAAGAAGCAGATCTGAGCCACAGGAGTGAGGTTTTTCTTTTCTTGGATGATTTGGCAAGCCTCTCCCTGCAGAGCTTGTACTGCAGCCACAAATGTCTGCAGATCGGCCTCCAGCCCTCAGTGAGCAAATGAGAACGTGGGTCATCACCCTTTCCATTTCTGCTCCACTTTTTGCTTCCCAGGAGTTCAGGCTGGGCTCACATTCTCCCTCAGCAAGGACTCAATCAGTCCTCTTCCTTCTAAATGGTGCCTTGTGTGCAAAGCTGAAAAAGGATAGCTCTCTGTAGGGACTGATGGGGCATTGCCCTCAAGCCTGCCCTAGGCCCAGGATCTAGAGACTGTATGGTGAAATGTGTGTGGGAATAAAGGGAAGAAAGAAGTCATTGAAGAGAGGAAATAAAGTGGTGGGTAGGGAGTGGGGCTTTGGGAGGCAGTTATGGGTGACAAAACCTACTGCATTAATTAACGTATTACCTGTTGCTACAACAGATAAATCCATACATTTCAGTTGCTTAATCCTAAGAAAACTTATTTCTTGCTCACAGGAAGTCCAAAACAAGTATTTCTGATTGGCAAGCAGCTGTCTTCCTAAGCTATAGTTCAGGAACCTAGACTCCTTGAATTGTGTGGTCTACCACCTTTAATGTGTGGCCTCTAAGTTCCTCTCCATCAAGCCAGGGGAGGGGCAAGAACCTGGAGGGTCAAGTGTGAGGGCTTTTATGATTCTGGACTAGAAGTGTCACACATCACATTTTCTCACATTCTGTTGGCTAGAACCCAGTCACATGGCATGCATAATGGATAGAGAGGCTGGGAAATGTAGTCTAGTTGAGTGCCCAAGAAAAAAAAAAGCGGTTGGTGAGCAACTAGCCAGTTTAACATTGCCTATTTAATTTTGCACAAGGAAAACCCTGAAGATAGTTCTAAAGTACAGATCTACAGGTTGGAGTTGTCATATTCCTGGAATTAAAGGAATTCTCAAAAGTTGAATACAATATGGAGAATCCTTGGATTGTATAGTTGACATTGATGTCTTTTGATTATCTTAGTGTTCTATGCCAAGATATTTTGGCTTCAACTACTGGTCATCAAAATGTTGCTGAATCAAAGACCTGAACTGATTATATTGAAATTTGCTTGTGTTGTTTGCTAAGAGGACCAAACACCCTGTTTAATTATGAGCAACAATGGACTTTTAAATATTTCCTCTTCAAGACAAACTATCACCACATATCTTTACAAAATTTTGACTTATATTATGTCGCCCTGCTTCCAGCAAGATATACATATTACCAATGTATATCTTTTTAAAGTTATTTTAAAGATAAAATGGTAAAAAGTTCTGATGCTGTACCCCAGAACTTAAAGTATAATAAAAAAAAAGTTCTGATGCCCTAGGAAAATTAATTCATCATCAGATTTAAAGATGTGCCTCATTATGTGCCAAGAATTGTGTTAATAGAGATATGTTTCTCTGTCATTCAGTAAGTTTGCTTAGTCCAGGACAGAACTCAGGAGTCTATTTCTAACTAGACATTTTTACTGAATGTAGAATTTTGGGTTGAAATGTCTTTTCTTTCAGCACTTGAAAAATGTGTCACTTCCGAGTGGTCTTCATGGTTACTGATGAGAAATCTGTCATTGATTCAAATTTTTTTTCTCCTGTAAGTAAGGTGTTATTATTCTCTGGCTGCTTTCAGGATGTTTTTCTTCATATTTAGTTTTCAGAAGTTTAATTTTGATGTGTTTTGGTATGGATTTCTTTGGATTTATTCTTTTAGAATTTTCTCAGCTTGAATCTGTAGGTTAATGTCCCTTGCCAACTTTAAGAGGGTTTCAGCCATTATTTGTTTGAGTAGTTTTTTTAGCCCCGTCTTTCGTTACTTTCTCCAGGACTCTGATGACACAAATGTTAGAGCTTTTATCTTTAAATCTTTTATTTGTGCAATAGTCACACAGTTCTTTGAGGATCAGTTTACTTATTTATTTTTTATTTTTTTTTGAGATGGAGTCTCGCTCTGTCGCCCAGGCTGGAGTGCAGTGGCGCGATCTCGGCTCACTGCAAGCTCCGTCTTCTAGGTTCAGGCCATTTTCCAGTCTCAGCCTCCCAAATAGCCGGGACTGCAGGCACCCGCCACCATGCCCGGCTAATTTTTTGTATTTTTAGTAGAGACGGGGTTTCACCGTGTTAGCCAGGATGGTCTCTATCTCCTGACCTCGTGATCCGCCCACCACGGCCTCCCATAGTGCTGGGATTACAGGCGTGAGCCACCGCGCCTGGTCCAGTTTACTTATTTTTTTTTATGTCTTCTATTTGTTTTTCATGTTGAGCGATTTTTATTCTTGTATCCTCTAGCTCATTGATTCTTTCCTCTCTCCCCTCCGTTCTGCTGTTGTGCTCATTCTCTGAACTTTTTATTTTGGTTATTATATTTTCCATTTCTAAAATTTCTATTTGGTTATTCTTTACGTCTTCTAGAGATCTTTCTCTTTGTTGTTACAAGTGAGTTTTCATTGAAACTGGGACATTTTCGTAGTAAGTTATGAGACTCTCAATCTCATTTGAGCTGGCTTTCTTTGATGCTGCTATGGCAGAGGAAGTGGGTGGTGGGGGAATGGAGGAGAATGCTGTCACCAAATGTGATCACAAGTCCAGGTATCCCATTCAGTCTCCACTGACACCTGAAGCAGGAGCTCCTCATTAGTGTTGGACAAGGGTAAGAGTTCCAGCCTCCACGTAATTCCCACTGATGCCATGTTGGCATTGGCTGCACTATCAGTGGGCAATGCTGAAGTTCCTGACTCTCCTACAAGCCTCCTGTGACACCCCCCAGCAAGGATACCTCCCAGAAGGGAGGGATGAACCCTCATTACTGCTGGGAGGCAGTGGAATCCAAGCTGCTAAGTGTTCTCCATGGATACCATGAAATGGGGGTTGTTACCAGATGATGAGGATAAAAGTTCTAGCTCCCTAGTAGGCCTTCTCTATAAAATCTTAGTAGGACTGTTGAGAAGTCTTGTTGATAGCCTTTTGAGGGTAGAAGTCCCGGCTCCCATTTTGTTCTTGCTGAGTGAGTAGAGGTAGGGAGATATAAATATATACATGTTTAACCTGTGGTGCTTGCCTGAAGTAGAACAGTTATTGTCTGAAAGTTTTCTGTCTTCCTAGACTGGCTATTTGAAGCAGGCTCCTTTTTTTTTTTTTTTTGGTTTGCAGCTTACGGCATTTCTGAGTTACCGGCTTCTTCAGCACCAAGTCTAGGATATATGAGGCAAAAGGAAAATCCAGGGAACTTACCACTAATTCATTTTTCAAATCAAGGCCCCTAACCTTTCTACCTTCTTCTCTCCATCTTTTGCAGTCTTAAGTTTTAATATATATAACATACAGGGATTTTAGTTGTACTTAGTAGGGGAATAGGAAAAAAATTTGTTTACTGCATTTTCCCAGAAGTGCAAGTACAAGTTTTATGCACCTTTTAAACATGATCAGATTTATGTTAAAAGGACCACTCTGGTTTCTCTTATGGAGAATTGACCATGAAGTGGATGGGGGGTGGGGGAGAGGGGTGGGGAGCAGTAGAAGCAGGGAAACTAGGAAGAAGGCTATCATGGGCTTTTGGTCTAGGGATGATGGTGTCTCCTATTAGGATGCTTATGAAGAAGGTGGTGAGAAGTAGTCAGATTAAAGATATACTATATTTCAAATGTGGAGCCAATATGGAAAAGCTGGTACAACCACACAGAGTGAGAGACTGTATGTCCAAGTTCCTACAATTCCTGGGTTTACATGGAATACTTTGGAATATGTCTAACAAATTACATTTTTGACACATGTGGCAGGATGGGGTTTTCTTTCCTCCCCCTTCTTCATCCAATCTCTAGAAGAGTTTTAGTATGACAGAAAATAGAGCTGAAAACCTTGTTTACAAAATGATGCAATAGTTATGCATTGAAAAGAAGGTCAACATTAGCAAGAGAAATTTGACTTGTAGATGCTTCTTCTCAAAACTTGGAGAGATTCAAGGGCCCCCTTTGATTGATAGGAGAGACAAAAATCACGGTTCCATCAGCTGCATTTCTAGTCTGGGTCTGGAACATGATGAAGACTTTGTGGCTCTCTTTTAGGATGTAGAGCCAGGTTGTGGAGATGGGGAAGAGGACAGAGAGACAGAAAAGAAGGGATTAAAAAAAAATCAAAAGCAAGACCAGTGATACATACCCTTTTGAGGTATGTTCTGGATAAGTGTCTGCAAAGGTAATAATATGAAAGGTTTTGCAACATTTTCGGAATTCCATGTAATATGTTATCTTCATATAGTAAGAGTGTCCCTGTTCACTCTTCTGATATTGTAAGCAAATTGAAGAGACATTCAAAATTTGAAGTGGTCTTCTATAATTTTCAGTCAAAGAGTTTTAAACTACAACAGTGCTTTGAAGTAAGACCAAAAAGTGTAATTCAAAGAAGGAAATAGAATACGAGTATAAAGATCAATACCTCCTAATGAGATACAATAATTGAGTCACAAATTTGGCTCTAAACTTTCTGGTAACAGAAGTAAAAGGGTAAACATAATCTGTTATAGAGGTCTTATTTCCCATTAGGATATAGTATAACTGGTCCTAAAGAGAAATAAATGTTACCATACAATTTAACTCTGAAGGGTGTTTCTTACACATGCTCACAGAAGGTAAGCCAGTTTATTGGAAGTCAATTTGTCAAGTGGCCAGTGTATTCTTGAATATAGTCTTTTTTTTTTTTTTGAGACAAAATTTTGTTCTTGTCGCCCAGGCTGGAGTACAGAGGCATGATCTCAGCTTACTGCAACCTCCGCCACCTGGGTTCAAGCGATTCTCCTGCCTCAGCCTCCCAAGTAGCTGGGATTACAGGTGCCCATCACCACACCCGGCTAATTTTTGTATTTTTAGTAGAGACGGGGGTTTCATCATGTTGGCCAGGCTGGTCTCGAACTCCTGACCTTAGGTGATCCGCCAGCCTCGGCTTCCCAAAATGCTGAGTTTACAAGTGTGAGCCACTGTGCCCAGCCGAATAGAGTCTTAAATGCATTTTTGACCATGAGGCAGTCTTAGGAATGAATGAAATGGTATATTCATAAGTGTTCTGCAACATTTTCTGAGAACATTTTTAAAGAACATTTAAACAGTTAATGTTTAAATGTAACATTTAAACATTAATGTTTCTAAGAACACTTTAAAGAATATATTCCAAGAACATATTCTTTAAAAAATTATTTGTAATAGACAAATAAAATTTGTATTTTTGGTATACAACATGATGTTTTGAAATATGTGTACACTGTGGAATGGCTAAATGAAGTTAATTAACACATGTGTTAGAGTAGGCAGATATCCAGACATGGGCAGGAGAAAGGAGCCCCTGAGAAGGGAAGAGTCTGGGAAGGCTAATGCCTGAGGGACCACCCAGAATTCGCACACTAGTAGCTTCTCTAATTCTAGAGTGTATGGGCTCTTAGTCAAATGTGAGTAGGAAGGAGAGGAGGTACCTATGCAGAAAGGGACGCCTCTTAAGATGCCCCAATAATCATTCCTCAGCAGTTAAAATGTTAGAATATTGCTAGCTACAGGCTGGGCACGGTGGCTCACGCCTGTAATCCCTGCACTTTGGGAGGGTGAGGCAGGCAGATCACGAGGTCAAGAGATCGAGACCATCCTGGCCAACATGGTGAAACCCTGTCTCTACTAAAAATACAAAAAAAGTTAGTGGGGTGTGGTGGCGCACGCCTGTAGTCCCAGCTACTCTGGAGGCTGAGGTGGGATAATTGCTTGAACCCGGGAGGTGGAGATTGCAGTGAGCCGAGATTGCGCCATTGTACTCCAGCCCAGTGACAGAGCGAGACTCCGCCAAAAAAAAAAAAAAAAAAAAAAAAAAAAAAAAAAAAAAAAAAAAATCGCTAGCTACATGCTAATAAGAAGGGCAAAGGGTGACATTCCTAAGAAAAACCTGGTGTCATAAGTACAGACTAGGGCAGAAAAAGAAATTCCAAAGAAAGATGCAGGCACAATAGATACAGACTTGGCTGCAATACAACCTTCCTGAGTTGGTGGTAATGAGCAGGGCTGCCATCGGGCAGGATTTGTATCCAGCACGGGGCACATACATGCACACCAACTGACAATAAAGGAGGGTCCCACAAACCTGGGATAAGAGCTAGGTGGAGACAAGGCAGGGACTTAAGACAGGCGTGGGAAACCTAGACAAGAAAAAAAGGTAGAGACTTGAGACAGAGGCAGAAACTTCAAGAAAGAGTCCAACACAATAAAAATCCAAGGCAGAACTCTCGAGCTGCTGCTGGCTTACCTCCTTCATTTGCCCACTCTGCTTCATCTTTGCAGAATGTACTGTCTCTGTAAGTAACTCTCTGCTCTCTATTTTGCTTCAGTAAATTCTCTTTTTGGCTAAATCAGTTGCTTGGCAGAATGCTTTCTCCAAATAAGACAAAGAACTGAGGATCCCTGCACTTCCCAGTAACATGCCTTACCTTACATACTTTTATCGTTTATTTGTGGTGAGAATACTTAAAATCTACTCTCAGCAATTTTCAAGTATACAATACATTGCTGTTAACTATAGTCACCATGTTGCGCAATATATCTCTTTGAATTTATTCCTTCTGTCTAAATGAAATATTGTATGTTTGACCAATATCTCCTCAGTTCCTCCCCTCAACTCCAACCCCTGGTAACTATCATTCCACTCTTTGCTTCTGTAAGTTCAACTTTTTTAGATTCCTCATATAAGTGAGATCATATGCTATTTATCTTTCTGTGCCTGGCTTATTTCACTTATCATAATGTCCTCCAGGTTCATCCATGTTGTCACAAATGACAGGATTTCATTCTTTTTAATGGATGAATAGTATTCCACTGTATCTATCTACCACATTTCCTTTATCCATTTATCCATTGTTGGACATTTAGGTTGATTCCATGCCTTGACTGTTATGAATAGTGCTACAATAAACACGAAAATACAGATTTCTCTTCAGCATACAATTTCATTTCTTTTGGATATACGTCTGGCAGTGGAAGTTCTGGATCATGTGACAGTTTTATTTTCAGTTTTTTTGAGTAAACTCCCTTCTGTTTGCTTTCCATAACGGCTGTACTAAGATGTGAAGTAAAGGGAAGCCCTTTATTTTCTCAACATTTACCATCTTTTGTCTTTTTGATGATAGTCATTCTAACAGATATGAGGTAATATCTCATTGTGGTTTTAATTTGCATTTCCCTGATGATTACTGATGTTGAGTGTTTTTTCATATAATTCTTGGCATTTGTTTGTCTTCTTTGGAGAAATGTCTATTCAAGTTTGCTCATTTTTCAATAATATTGTTTTCTTTCTATTGATATGTTTGAACTTCTTATATATTTTGCATAGTTACCTCTTATCAGATGTATGGTTTGCAAATATTTTCTCCCATTCCATATGTTGTCTTTTCATTTTGTTGGTTGTTTCATTTGCTGTGCAGAGACTTTTAAATTTGATATAATCTCATTTGTCTACTTTTGCTTTTGTTTCCTGTGTTTTTGGGGCCATGTTAAAAAAAAAAAAGTCATCGCTAAGACCAATGCCATAGAGATTTCCCCCTATGTTTTTTTAAAGTAGCTTTGCAGTTCCAAGGATGTATTTGTATGCCCTACATTCTCCCCTCTCCTTGTTCCTCAGTCTTCCTCCCTCCAAACTTGAGTGTTTCCACTCTCTGATCCTCAAATCCTCTACAACAGTGGGAACTAAGCTGAAGACAATAGAAATATTTCTTATAGTAATTTTGTAAACAAACATGAAATAAAACCTGGTAAATGAAAGCTAAACAGTTAAACAAGCAAGTTATCTTGCAAATTAGACATTTCTTGAATTGACTGTCAGTGAATTGATCTATAACTGTTTTATGTAGGCCAAACAGTGAGATTTAATAGCTATGGTCTTTAGGAAAATCCAATAACTGATTTCGTGAGACTCTTTCTTGTCAATTCTCAGTACAATTTGATATCTTAACTCTAAAGTTTAACTCATGGAAAGCAATTTTGAAAAAATAATACTCATAACCAAACAATGATAACACTTATCAATCACTAAATATGTTTAGTTACTGAAGTGCATGGGTTTCCATTGTCTGATATGATCCATTGACAATGGTCCAGGACATTTTCTGGGTCACTGACTCCTTTGAGAATCTGATGAAAGTTAAAGAAACTCTGGAGGAAACAGGCTCATGATATTTTAGCTGGGGCACATCATGTTTGCATAATGGCTGTCAGTTGATTAGACCGATCAGGCATACATTCTGACTGGATGATATCTGAGCCATACTGGTTGTTAAATATTTTAAAAATCAGCCCTGCATTATTGTTACAGACCACAGGCTGTTAGGCTCCCCATGTAATGGAAATTAATGCAGGGCCAACTGGATTTCCCAGACAAGGCTTTATTGTGGGGCTTGTGCTCAAGCACAAGGGAGACAGCAGAGGTACAAGGATTTTTTTTGGCTGGCTGTCCAAAAAGAACCAATAGGAATTTTTCATTAGGCAAAGTGAGGGAATTGACATCAGGAGTAAGGTGTGCCGGCTTGGCTGCAATGGTTTTCTTGAGTAATGGGCCACCTGGTGGTCTGACCAGAAGCAATAAGGCTGTAAATCAATTGCAGCATTCCTTCCCGAGGTGGGACCCTGAAACCTTGCTTCAATATTTGGATCTCCTAAGGCCAGTTTCTGGAATTCTTTAAGTAAAAGGCATAGCTAAACATTATGAAAGCATAGAAAAAGGACTATTTTCTTTGTGTAACTAGAGCCTCAGGATCAGCAGGTATAGTGTCAGTTAGGTAGTAGTGTGGGTTTTGTGAAAAGAAGGAAAAACAATGTGAAGGAGGAGACACGTTTCACTCTTATTCTATCTTATTATTAGCGTCCAATTGTGTGTAAAGGGTCAGGAGATTCTTGAGCTTCTCCAAAAATCTATTTGGAGACCATTCAGGCACAATGGGCCTCAAGACACGGGCTCCTGATCCATAGTCTGAGATAAGTGTGTGGGTTACTTGGCTTTCAAACTGATATAGGAGTTAAGAAGAAATTATTTGGGCAGATAGTGAGGGTTTGGGAGTTCTCGGTAAAGTTTTATTTTAGTAAAAAGCAGCCCCCAAAATATTTTCTTTTCTAACAAAAAGCAGCCTGTAAAATTTAGCTGCAAACATAGACAAGCAAGTTGGAAGCTTGCCTGGGTGGATGCCGGCAGTTGTGTCAATAGGAAAAGGCCACCTGGGACTAGGCATGCTCAAAATGGCAGTTTCATCTTTCCTTCTCTTTGCCAGCCACGTGTACAGTAAGGAGCAGGCAACATGGCACCAGCCAGGCATTTGCATAATAAGATTAGGGTGGGGGCAGCCAGCTTCCCTGTGCATTATGTAAATATCACACCTGGTCCAACCAATCTTTGGGCCCTATGTAAATCAGACACTGCCTCCTCAAGCCTGTCTACAAAATCCTGTGAACTCTGTTGCAGGCTTGAATTCCCATTTGGGCACCCCTTTCTTTTGCAAGAGAGAGAGGTGTTCTCCTTTCTCTTTCTTTTGCCTGTTAAACCTCCGCTCCTAAACCCACTTCTTGTGTCCATGTACTCCTCAGGTATTTACCCCAGACGACAATGCTGCTTCAAAACCATTTTTTTTTTTTGAGATGGAGTCTCACTCTGTGACGCCCAGGCTGGAGTGCAGTGGGGTAATCTAGGCTCACTGCAAGCTCCGCCTCCCAGGTTCACGCCATTCTCCTGCCTCAGCCTCCGGAGTAGCTGGGACTACAGGTGCCCGTCACCACGCCCGGCTAATTTTTTGTATTTTTTTAGTAGAGACGAGGTTTCACCGTGTTAGCCAGGATGGTCTCGATCTCCTGACCTCGTGATCCTCGCGCCTTGGCCTCCCAAAGTGCTGGGATTACAGGCGTGAGCCACCGCCCCTGGCCTCAAAACTGTTTTCTATAAATACCAATATTTTGACCTAGGTTTTTATTACTTATTTCAGGCAAAGGTTATGTACAATTAGAAACAGTTTCGGTATATTCTCAGTCAGTGCTTAATCAAATTTTGGCTATATTCCCAGTTTAAGCATAATTCACTTACCTGATTCTCAAGGCTCTTCTGAGACTTGAGTCCTTGACATTCAACAACTTTTCTTGGTATCAAACCTTGCACAGATTCACTAATATGGATTGCTTTACTCCAGTTCCTTGCTTATCAAAGAGTGGTATATGGACCACAGCAGTGTTGGAATCACCTGGGAGCTTGTTTAAAATGCAGAATTCATTC
Source organism: Homo sapiens (assembly GCF_000001405.40). Classification (NCBI taxonomy): domain Eukaryota; kingdom Metazoa; phylum Chordata; class Mammalia; order Primates; family Hominidae; genus Homo; species Homo sapiens. The sequence goes on along the minus strand of NC_000006.12, from coordinate 69,621,423 downwards.
CTGCTTAACCAGAATCTGCATTTTAACAAGATCTTAAAGTGATTTGCATATTTTTAAAGTTTGAGAAGCAATTCTCTAGTAAAGGTTACTTTGATTTTTTTTCAGCAAGATTGTGGTTACTACAAGTCACAGAGAAAAGTTAGTGACACACTTTGAAATAGGATGTCAAGTTTCCCAATGACTTTCTTCCCAAATAAATCTACTTATAACATCAACTAAGCTGTTCTGTCTGTTGATTTTGCTTTTCAGGTGAAAATTTGTTCTTGAGCTTGATGTTGGAGAATGTGTGTAGCTGAGTATCTCTTAACAACAATCCCCTTGAGACATTGCATGAGAATATTGCAGTTTTCCATTTGGCAAAAATAGAAGTAACTGAAATGATGTAAAAAGGCTCAGCTCTTTTGTAAGCTTCAGAAGCAGTGTCTCTAATGCTGATGTTGGGGAGGGCTAGGGTATCCAGATAAAATTCAGGACACCCAATTAAAATCGAATGTCAGATAATTAGCAATTTTTTTTTTAGTATAAGTGTGTCAGGAGGTTAACACCCCCAATTATTGCATGAGACACACTTACACTAAATAGCCAAGGACATACCTATACTCAAAGCCAAACCAAACCAAACCAAACCAAACCAAACCAAACCAAACAAAGAAAAACCATTCATTGTTTATCTAAAGTTCAAGTTTACTGGGTGTCCTATATTTTTATTTACTCAGCCTGGCAGCCATAGGGAGAGCAAAGCTTGGATGAGGCATAATTAATGGGAAATCAGAAGATAGTATTTAAATATCAGTACTTACACTTTGAAATAAAACACAAAGGTAACTTTTGAGACTTCTGAAATCATTTTCTGGGTGTTGGGACAGCCAAATTTATTCCTATCAAACTGAGAAAGAAAGCGAATGAAAAAAGACTTTGATTTTGCATTAATACGGGTTTTACTTTTTAAGAATGCATATACCTTTGATGCAATACATCAAGCACCAGTCCAAATCTCAAATCAATTGCTGTGATGTTAGAAAACCAGGTATGCCACCAGGCAATTAGCTGTTGATAGCTGCTAAGTTCAGTAGATATTTTTGCAGCTATGTCCTTCGAGATGTTAAATTTTGGTAGCCTTGACTGCACAGCTGGAGAGGGTAGGATTACTCTGACACGTTACAATCAACTGTCCTGTAGAAGACACACCTGTGGCTCTTTAGGCACAAGAAATAGGAAAATGCTTGTTAATTTTGCCTTACAATTCAACCAAATTAAATTTGACAAGTATTCAAAAAATACATAATTTTCCAGGTAACCAGTTTCTTCAGAAGCTTAGATGATATGAGGAGTAATAAACTGAATGGTAATTAATTCCTTGGGTAACTTATTCCTATGAATTTAGACTAGCTTGGGCTATGAAGTGCTCCTGGGTAATTGTAAAATGAATTATGCTGGAGCAGTGTTTCACATCAGCAGGTTTTTTTAATATATAAAATTAAATGCTGCAAGCAAACTGTTAAAGAGACTAATTCATTTCAGTGGACTGTGTTTAGCATCATCTAAAAATGGGGAAGTTTTGTCTATTGTAGATGTAGAGTTGAATACTTGAGAAATCCATACTTCAGTGTGTATTTCCCCTTAGGTATTCATTTTTGTTTATTTCATCATCATTATTTTCATTGAAAAAAATTTACTCCTGTTTTTAAAAACTCTTCAGTGTGAAAAATACAAAACAATCACAAAAGTAGAGAATTACATAATAAAGCCACATATACCCATGACCAATTATCACAGCTTGCTCTCTGTCTTTATTCCTCTTCCAATGTGGGATTACTTTGAAAAAAATTCCAGACATATTTCACCTCTTTATATTTCAGAATGAATCCATAGGAGTGCCTAATAAATTTAAGGCTTAAAACCAAATAGCTGCTGGATTTGAGTCAGCACTTTTCTGGTGGTCCACTATTAACAAAAATGTAAAATAAATGGATTACATATATTATAATCAACAAAGTTTTATCAGTTATACTCAAGATGCCCTTAAGGGTATAGCCAGCCAACTAGATGCCACCAGCCAAATGGCTTGGGAAAACAGAATTGCATTAGACATGATATTAGCAGAGAAAGGTAGTGTATGCGTTATGTTGGGCAAAAAATGTACTTTCATTCCCAAAAATACTGCCCCAGATGGAACTATTACAAGGGCACTACAGGGACTAACAACTCTGGCCAATGAGCTGGCAGCAAATGCAGGAATAGATGACCGTTTTACTGATTGGTAGAAAATTGGTTTGGAAATGGAAATAAATGGTAGCTTCAATTCTTACATCTCTTATAATTGTGGCGGGGGTCTTAACATCTATAGGATGTTGTATCATTCCTTGTGTGAGGGGTTTAACACTAAGGTTAACTGAAACAGCTATCAGTAAGCAGATGCCCCTAATGACCCAACCCAACAAAACATTCTACCATTACTAGGAACCAAAGTAAACTCATCCTCCTATGAAGAAGAAAGTAAACAACTTCTAGAACACTTTAAAAAACAAAGTAATTTAAGTAAAAATGAGACCAGAGAGGGTAAAAAGAAAAAGAGGAGGGAACTGTAGAAAATAATCTATATGTGGTGGTCCATTTTCAATTCTAAGTGCCTTAGTGTAGGTTTAAGCAGGCTACATGGAAATAAAAATAAAGAAGCAGAGTGTACTGAGCCATCACCACCCCACCTTCTCCTTCCTGCTTTCCTTTCACACAGCTGCCAGGTGTCTATCGGTCAGGTCCCTCTTAACTACCCTCTCCCCACCCCACCAAAGAATTTAGTTTAGGCTAGCTTGCAACATAAATAATTGTACCCTTTCTTTTTTTTCTTTTTTCTTTTTTTTTTTGAGATGGAGTCTCACCTTGTCGCCCAGGCTGGAGTGCAATGGCGCGATCTTGGCTCACTGCAACCTCTGCCTCAGATTCTCCTGCCTCAGCCTCCTGAGTAGCTGGGATTGCAGGTGCCTGCCACCACACCCAGCTAATTTTTGTATTTTTAGTAGAGACGAGATTTCACCATGTTGGCAAGGCTGGTCTTGAACTCCTGACCTTGTGATCTGCTTGCCTTGGTCTCCCAAAGTGTTGGGATTACAGGTATGAGCCACAGCACCTGGCCAATTGTACCCTTTCTTATCAGCTAAGTGCAGCCGCTATGGCCAGAAGTCAAATATATGGAAAGTCCTAAGACAGTCACGATGCATGGTGGGCTGCAATAAAATGCAGCAGAGAGACCCTAAAGAACATACTTAAAACCTTAATCCAACTACCAATAGGCAATGTCCAGGAAGATTGTAACCCCATAGTACTCAGCTAACAAGGAACTGGGGTAGGGACCTGTGCACTAGGGAATATAAATTCGTTGTTAAAACTGTGCTGGGTGTGCCTGCATGTCAAACACCCAATCTTGTAAGACTGTCATTAAAAGTCTCACTTTCACTGTTCTCTGGGTCTCCAAGTCCATTCTTTGGGTTTGGATGGGTGAGTTTGTTTCTCACAAACCCACCACCTCTCCTGCTGATGGACAGCCAGTACCAACCCCTTTGGACTAAGATAAAAGCCAAGGCCTTGGAATTCCCATAAGAGCAGTGGTGGTCAGCGTGGCCAGGATCAGAAGCTACATGTAGAGCTAACTATTTATTGATATTGGTTACCAAGGAATAAACAGACTATGCTTGCCCTAGTGGACACTGGAGCCAAATGCACTGTCATATATAGTGACGTTCATTAGTCCCAAGAGTCTATAACAGCAAAAGGTAGTTATGGGGAGGTGGGGCATGAAAGTCAGACAGGTTGGACTAGTATTTCAAGCCGGAAGACTGCCACCAAAATCCTGGTTAGAAAACATAGCTCCCATCCTGGAATATATCTTGGGAATGAATTTATTATCAGGCCTGAGCCCTCGGATAACTTGCTGGGGAACTTCAACAGAGGCTGGTGAAACTTGTGATCAGGGGAATGCAAAATGGCCACTGGTACTGTTACCCGCGGGTCTTTGTTCTTAGATCTCCCAAGATGGTGGCTGACCACTCCCAAGATGGTGGCTGACCACTCCCAAGATGGCGGCAAGCCTTTTGTTCTCTGACCTGGGTTCTTGGCCTCACGAATTCTGAGGAATGGAACCTTGGGCCATGCAGTGAGTGTTATAGCTCTATTAGAAGCTGTGGGTCATGGAAGCGAACCATGGAATCCAGCTACTAGTGTTCAGCTCGATTGGGATGAACCCAGGCACTTAGCCATGCAGGAACAATGGCGAGCCTCTAGCCCGATCAGGAGCGGCAATGGGTGCCTTGCTGGATCAGAAACGCAGCTGACACCCTGCCAGATCCAGAGGGGTTGAAGTCAGCGGCAGGTCTGGACAAGGGTGATCAGCAGTGGTGGACGGCAAGCGAAAGCTCAGCTCCAGCCGGAAGAAACATGGACCAGAAGAGTGTGCAGTTGCAAGATTGAATACAGTGAAACAGAGCTCCCATACAACGGGAGGGGACCCAAAGGGGGTTGCCCGATCCAGCTCGAATGCCTGGGTTTACATCCCAATCATTGTCCCTCCCGCTGTGCTCTCAGGTGATAGATGATTTGACTATTTCCTTACCTCCTGCTTTTAGCCTAATTGGTATTTTAGTGAGTTCTCTTTACTACCTGATTGGTCAGGTGTGAGCTGAATTACAAGCCCAGCGTTTAAAAGTGGGTGGCGGTCACCTTTCCCAGCTAGGCTTAGGAATTCTTAGTCGGCCTAGGAAATCCTGCTAGTCCTGTCTGTCAGTACTGTTGCCAGCCCCACAGTGAGTAGTAGCACTGGAGCAATAATGAATGCTGGGGGTGCTTGATGAAATAAATCATGGGGTTGTTAAGGAATTAGCCAGGGTAGGCAGAATAAGACCATTTCCTATACAATGGCTCTGTGTGGTTCATGCAGAAGCCTGATGGGACATGGAGAACGATGGTAGATTACCAGTAATTAAATAAGATGTTCCCCTTAATGTATGTAGCTATTCTCAATATCATCTTCCTTCTGATGAGGGTAGGAGAGGTGCTTGGCACATACCGTTTTGTTACTGACTTAGTGAAAGCAATCTTCAATGTCCCCATTGCCACAGAGAGTCAAGACCAATTTGCATTCACCTGGGAAAAAGAACAATGGATCTTTTCTGTCTTGACATAGGGATATTTACACAGCCCCACTATCTGTCATGGCCTAGTGGCTGCAGACCTCAGTTGATGGACCACCTGAGAGGGGTAATCAATGTTTTACATTACATTGATGATATCATGCTAATTTCTGAGTCTTTTTCCAGCTTATAAACTGCAGCTCCCTCTTTACTTTCTTACTTGGGAAACAGAAGCTGGGAGGTCAACACAGAGAAAGTCCAGGGTCCAGGCTTGTTAGTCAAACATTATATTTGGGTGTCATCTGGTTGGGTAAGAATAAAGTCATTTTGTATGCTGTTATGGATAGGGTGCAGGCCTACCCACGTCTTACCACTCCAAAGCAGTTGCAAACCTTTAGGCCTCCTAGGATATTGGCATCCCTCTATGCCCCATTTGCCCACCTCGAGTTCCCTAAACCACTTACTTAAGAAGGGGGCCCATTGGGACTGGTCTGAAATAGAGGATGAGGCCTTTGCCTACACTAAAGTCAGAGTTAAAGGAATACAAACTTTGGGGGTTCTAGTGCAGGGATAGCCCTGTGAATTGGACATAGCCAGTTACCCCAAAAGGTTTGGGTGGGGCCTGTGGCAAAGGCAAGGACATAAATGTGTGACTTTAGGATTCTGGTCCCAACTATGGAAGGGGGCTGAAGTTACATACAGCGTCAGCATCCCATCCTTCCGTTCCTTCTTCCTTTTTAACTTACTTTTTGTTGTTGCTGTTAATAAACTGGGTATTTGTCCAATAAAATTTGCTGCTTGCATGCCTGCATTATCATTTGTCATGTTCTTCTGTCCCGTATTTTCTGTAAATTGGTAGAGCTAGAGGCTTCATCAGAGTTAGGCTTAATTATTTTGGCAAAATTACTTCATAGGTGATGTGTACTTGTATCAGGAAGAATCTCAAGTCTGACTGTTTATGTTTGTGTCATAGTAGGTGTAAAATAGGGCTGTGAAATAGTGATATGAAAATTCATTTAATAGCTAGAACAGTTCTATCAAGAGGAACTTCTCATTAGCCATTTGCTTATACTGAGCTATAGTACATATAGAGGAAAGCACAAAAATGCGAGATTCTTTCACTTTATTTACCAATTTTCAAAATATATATTTTTGCAATACTCCAAAGGAGATCAATGAGAATTTTTTAACTTTATCATTATGTACCCATAGATTTAAATGTATGTCATGTGTTTTAATCTATTGTGGTTAGTATCCCTATTGATGTTCTAACTGTCCCAGTGGGAGTCTATCAAAATTGACGCTGGGGTCCTTTTGACATGATCCTAGTAGTTTTTATTTACCTCTTTTTTCCTCCCCCCAGGATACCAAGATGTTCCAACACCATTCTAATACATTTCAAGCCCCATACCTGAAACAAACCATTTCCCCAGGGATCCCTGATTTATTTTAGTGGAAATGTTATTTAGAGACGACAAGATGGGCACTAGAGTTATTCTTTGCTATCACATTTCTTAAGATATTTTTAAGAATTATGAAAGGTCTGATATTTTACCCATCTGAAAGATATTAATAATAAGTTAGCTTTCCACAGTTTCATAGATATTGGTGGAAGATGGGAGACTCCTGGCCAAAGATAAACAATTTATTACTCTGAAAGTAGCCAAAAGTGAGAATTTTTGCATCAGTATCTCAAACCTCATTTACCAGAAGTGTTACGAAGAAGGCCAGTGATACCTGCACGTGAAGTAAGTGTGGAACAGGAGAGGAACCCTGACTTTAGGAATCTGAATGTTTTCTCATGGGCAATAAGCATGCCTGCCCTTTGCTCTGAAGGGAGAACATGTCTATCTTCCAAGGCTGTTCTCTGTACAAATATCCTTGAAATGATAGCTGGGAACAAAAGGCAGTCAGTTCCTCTGCTCATAAGATGTGAAGAACCATGAGATACCTACACCAACAGGGGTTTTCAGTGGACATTTAAAATTAAATAATAAATTGGCACGGACATTTCCAATTCAAATTCAGAATGACAAGGTTTTAACTTAACTTTGTTGATGCTGTATCTGCATTTTCTTTTTTTCCATGCCCCATTTCCCAGTTCTCATTGTACATAATTATCCATTTTCTTTATCCAACACAATAGTGTCAGGGTAAAAACAACAATACTACCATGGAAATATAATTAAATATGATTACCATAAGAGTTAAACTATTTTTTTTTCATTCAAAAAGGTATATCCTACAAGGCATATACAGTCAAATTACTATGCACTAAAGTCATTTGGATTAGTCCCTCTTAGTATGATTATTACATCAACTGGATACACAGTATGTTTTTATGTTACTTTCAGTTTTTAGGGATTGCTCTTTTGAAATTTAATTTGGACTTTTAAATATGTAAAACATTTACATGGCTTCAAAGTAAAATGTACCCACAAGGTAAATTCAAAGATGTCTAGCTTCTATTCCTGTTTCCTTTACAACAAATGTCACGGACATAAAAAGGCCTGTAGATTTATCTTTTCAGATTTTTGCCAGTCTAACTTAGGATAGATATCTTGAAGTGGGATTGCTGAGTCAATGGGCAAATGTATATACAAAGCATCCCAGAAAGCTTAGTATGTTTTAAGCTTTAATGTCAACAATAGAAATGTTAGAAACTTACAAAACCATACCATTTGCCAGTTTAATTATTTAATTTTGAGGAGTTTGAAATAAATATTTTTAATTTTAAATTTTAAGTAAATGCTCACCTTATTCGGAGGGCTTAAAAAGTAAATAAAAATTATTTAAATTTTACAATGCTAAGTGGTTATATAAGAAATATAAACATTCAAATTATTTTGTAATCTTTTGCATGTATACTTCTGAAACTGTCAACACTTTAACTGCCCTAACACTTCTGGAACATCCTTGTAATTTTGTTTGTGTATTAGTTTACTAGGGATGCCATAACAAAATACCAGAGACTGGATGGGCTTAAACAACAGAAATGTGTCTTCTCACAGTTCTAGAGGCTGGAAGTCCAGGATCAAGGTGTCTGCAGGTTTGTTTTCTTCTGAGGCCTCCCGTTGGCTTGCAGATGGCTACCTTCTCTCAATGTTCTCCCATGGTCTTTCCTCTTTGGGCACATCCCCCAGTGTTTCTCAAATTTTCTCTTCTTAGAAGGACACCAGTCAGATGGGATTAGGGCCCAACCTGTTCACTTCTTGAAAGATCCTATCTCTAAATACAAACATTCTGGGGTACTAGGGGCTAGGGATTTAGCCAATGAATTTGGGGGTGTGTTTGTAGGGGTGCACAATTTAGCCCACAACAGATCGTGACAAATTCTCCTCCAAAGGGGTTGAGACATATAGCATTCCCACCAGCACTGCTTGGGAAGGCCCCTTTCTCCACAGCCTCACCAACATAGTACATTGTCCAACTTTTGAATTTTGACAAAACATAGGAGAAAAACAATATCTCAGTGTACTTATTTCTGTAAATTATTTTATTGAAGTATGACATGCATAGAGAAAAGTATACAAATCTAATGTACAGAACCCCACTAATTTTTCCAAAGTAAAAACACATGTATATTCACTACCCAGATCAAGACAGAATATTCCATTTTCCCAGAAATCTCCCCTGTTCTCCCACTCATTTACCTCTCCCTAAATGATACTCATCTGACTTCTGTCATCACAGACTCTTTTTGCCATTTTTTTGTACTTTATATAAATGATATCATATGGTAGGCACTCTTTTGTGTCTGGCTCATTTTGTTTATGTCTGTGAGATTCATTTACATGTTTAGGTAGCAAAAAAAAAGTATCTTCATTGTTGTATAATATCCCATGATGTGGATATGCAGAAAGTTATTTATCCATTTTATTTGTTGATGGCATTTAGGTTGTTTCTACTTTTGGACTATTATGAATAACACTAATCTTAAAACACAAGGATGTTTAGCATTAATAGGTAATAATTAATTTTCCAAAGTAGTTGTACTGATATGCTATTGGGACAACAGCAGTGATGATGACTTCCAGTATGTGTACATCCCCACCAACACTCTGTCCTTCTGTTTTTTAAAATTATATCCATGTGGGTGATTGTGAGATGATTTGTTATTATAGTCTCAATTTACTTTCTCTTGATGAATAATAATGTTGAGCACATTTTATATGATTGTTCACCATTATCCTCTGTGTGAAATACTCAAATTGACAATTTTTCCTCAGCAAGTTGTCTTTTTCATTATATATTCTGGATGCAGGTCTGTTCTTTACATATTCTTTATGAGTTCTTTCCTGAATATAGGTACTGCAAATATTTGCCTCTGTCCTGTGCTGTAAATTATTTTTAAAATAAACTTTTATTTAGAAGCATTTTAAGATTACAGAAAAATTGCAGAGCATGGAGTTCTCATATATTGCTACATAGAGTTCCCTCTATTATTAACATCCTATAATAGTACAGTACATTTGTTATAATGAATGAATAAATATTGATACATAAACATTAACTAAAGTCCATATTTCATTCAAATTTCCTTGGTTTTTACCTAATGTTCTTTTTCTGTTCCAGAGTCGCATCTGGGTTATAACATTACATTTAACTGTCTTGTGTCCTTGGGCTCCTCCTGGTTCTGACAGTCTTTGTGTTTGATGACCCAGAGAGTTGCATACTACTGGTTACATATATTGCAGGATGCTTCTCTACTGGAATTTGTCTGATGTTTTTCTCATAGTTAGACTGAGGAGGAAGACTACACAGATAGTGCCATTTTCAACACATCATATCAAGAACACCTCCTATTAACATGACTTGTTGTTGTTGATGTTGACCTTAATCACCTAGTTGAGGTAGTGTTTGTCAGGTTTCTCCACTGTAAAGCTTTGTCCCTTAGGAAGGAGGACACTATGGAAGGAGGTCACTATGTGCAGTCCACACTTAAGGAGTGGAGGGTTATGCTTCCATCTCTGAGGGTAGAGTATCAACATAAATTATTTGGAATTCTTCTGCATGGGATAATTGTCTCTTGTCTCTCATTTATTAATTTATTCAATCAATATCAATATGAACTTAAAGATATTTATCTTATACTTTGGATTACAATCCAATAGTATTATTACTATTATTATTTTGCATAAATTGTTCCAGCTGTGGCGATCGGGAGCCTTTCAGCTGTCTCCTGTCCCTTTGAAGTGCCCCCAGTTGTATGGGCTTTGTTGTTGTTTGACCACTCCCTTAATTTCTGGCACTGCAAAGATGCTCCAGTTTCAGCTCGTATATTTCCTGGCCAAGTCCTGGAATCGCTCGTTTCTCCAGGACCTTTTATTAGAGAATGGTATTAGAAACCAAGATCTGGGTTTCTATGCTTGCTCCCAGGTTTCTTAGCTGACACAGCAAATAAATATATATGTATATAGTAACCTATTATATTAGTTAATTCTCACACTGCTATAAAAAACTGCCTAAGATTGGGTAATTATAAAGAAAAGAGGTTTAATTGACTCACAGTTCCACATGGCTGGGGAGGCCTCAGGAATTTCATCATGGTGGAAGGTGAAGCGGCACCTTCCTCGCAAGGTAGCAGGAGAGAGAGCATGTGAAGGAGGAACTGTCAAACACAGAACCATCAGATCTCGTGAGAACTCACTCATTATCATGAGAACAGCATGGGGGAAACCACCTCCATGATCCAATCACCTCCCACTAGATCCCTCCCTCAACACATGGGGATTATGGGAATTACAATTCGAGATGAGATTTGGGTGGGAACACAGACCCAAACCATATCAATTATGTATACACAATTATCCATAAATATTTCCAAGTGTAAACATTTGTATCTGTGACATGAAAGACTTCATACCAATTAGTTCACACTCATCTAAATGAGTTCATATTCACACTTGAATTCATTACCACATTGATCATTCTAGCTTCTTCCACTGGGTTGTCAGTAACTTCCTACTCCAGCAGTGAGAAAGCAGGCTCTACCACCTGCTATCCATTTATTTAATTGTTTAATTCCAATATACATGTAAATATGATATCAGAGTTGTTAACTTGTTACCCCTGTGGCATACACTTTATCAAATAGAGCACGTTTTCTTTTGCCTTTAGTATTACAGACTTCACTCATTTCCAAAGATACTTATTTCAGCACCCAGCTCCTTCAGTAAGGCTGTTTCATACATGGGTAATACAGTTAAATTGTTTTGTGACAGTCTGCAATCCATCAGTTTGTCACAATCACCATTTAAGTTTATGGCTCCAGTGACTTTTCTAATGACTTTTGCTCTAGGAAAACACATCTCAGGTAATGTATCTCTCTGCCTGGTTCTGTTTATCCAGATTTTGGAGTGGCAATTTGCCCTGCTATCCAATTTCTCTGATGGGTTCAAGAAAATTTGGTGATATATAGTTTATTCGCCTTTTTCTTGTTTAAGGATGGAGATGATGACTTCCAAGTTCTTTAAACATTGGAACTTTGGTTTGACTTTTTACACTCTCAGTGATATCTTTTGACGAATTAGTGTACTTTTAAAGGAAGTCTGAATTATCAATTTTTCACTTTATTGTTATTGCTTTTTTCTTAATAAAACATTACTTTTTCAAGCTTATAAAGCCATTTTTTTACTGTGCTTTTGTCTAACATTTTTACTATTTTGTCTTTCATATTTTGGTCTATGATCCATTTGAGATGGATTTTTGTGTGTAGTTGAGGTGGAGTTAAGCGTCATTATATTTTTCATGTGGATTTCATTACCATTTATTGAAAAGTCCTTCCTTTCCCTACTGCATTGCAGTAGCAACTTTGTTGAAAATTGGGTGATGATTTATTTAAACTCTGTTTCTAGACTTCTTATTTCATTCCAATGGTTTATTTGTTTAAATAATATCACATTGTTTAATTACTGAAGCTTTATAATGTCTTAATGTTTAGTAGTGTAATGTCTTCATATTTAGTAGTAGAAGTCATTTAATTTTATTTTTCATCAAGATTGTCTTCTCTATACTTGGTCCTCTAAATTCCCCCCAAAAATTTAAAATCAGTTTGTCAATCTTCACAAAAATTTCTGGTGAAATTTTGAATAGAATTGCACCGAATCTATAGAGCAAATTAGGGGAAACTGATATTTTAAAAATATTGAATCTTATATTCCATGAATATGGTATATCCTTTCATCTATTTTGGTCTTTAATTTGTTTTTTTATTTTTTTTGTATAGTTATTTTGTGTATCTCTCAATAAATTAATTCCTAGGTAATTAATATATTTTATGTTAACATACTTTTTTAAAGTTCATTTGATAATTGTTTTTGGCTACTACAAAGAATAAAACTTTTTTAGTAGACTTTATTTTTAAAAGTAGTTTTATGTTTACAACAGAACTGAGCAGAAGGTACAGATTGCTCACCAATTTTTTATAATGCCTTTATATCTAGTTACATTGTTAATTTTACCTATTAATTTTAATAATTTATCATAGATCCTTTACATTTTTCCATATACGCAATCATATCATTTGTGAAAATGGCATTTGTATTTCTCACTTTCTAGCCCTTCTACATTCTCTTTGTTTTTCTTGCCTTATACGGCAAAGAGGACGTCTATTATATTGTTGAATAAAGTCATAATAGCAGACATCCTTTTCCTAATACCAGAGGATAAAGCTACAATATTTTAACTGTAAGTAAGAAGTTTGCTACGCAGTCTTTTTTAATGAATGATATATATCACTGACTGTATTAACTAAGGAATTTCTGTTCCATTTTTAATTTATTAAAATTATATGTAACAAATTTTAAGTTTTTATTAAATATTTTTATTTAGATGATCCAAATAGTTTTTCTCCTTATCTTGTTGTTGTGGTTAATTATATTAATTAATTTTATATTTAAAAAATAATTATCTAAATACAACTTGATCATGATATTTATTTATTATTAATTTGATTTACTAATATTTTTAGATGTTTTACATCTAAGATGTAAGGAAAATTATACTTGAATTTTCCTTTCTTGTTATATTCTTACCAGTGTTGGTATCAAGCCTATGTTGGCCTGGCAAAATAATTAGGAAGTATACAATCTTTTAAAACCTCTAGAAGAGTTTGTTTAACATTGGTGTTATTTCTTTCTTAAATATTTGGAAGAATTCACTAAGGAATTCTCCTGGCCCTGGGGTTTTCCTTGTGAAAAGGTTTTAAATTATGGACTATTTAAATTATGGACTCTTTAATAGATATAAGAGTATTTAGATTTTCTATTCACTATTGTGTTAGTTTTGGTAATTTGGACTTGTAAAGAAATTTGTTCATTTAATATTATCTTTTTAATATCTGTAGGCTCTTTAGTGAATTCCTTTTTAAAAAATTCCTAAAATCAGCAATTTATGCCTTCGCGCTCTATTGTTTTGTTTTGATCATTTTTTCCAGGTGTTTACCAATTTCATTAGCTTTTCCAAAAATTGATTTTTTGCTTTTTTAAAATCTTCAATTAAAAAAATACTTTATTTCTGCTTTTTTTTTTTTTTACCTTTTAAGTTATCCTTTCTAACTTTGGGGGTCTTTCACTTTTTCTGTCCTTCTCTGTGTCCTTTTTCTTTCGTTTGTTTGTTTAGCTTCCTGATTTAAGTCTACAAATAACTTTTTTCTCATTATCAGGAACTCAAGGAATCAATTCCCCATCAAGCATTAAAGAATGATCTGGGCCATACACACACACACACACACACACACACACACATACACATACACATACACACACATACACATACACATACACACATATGCATATGAATACACATATACATACATATACACATACATACTGAAACAGGTCTTGAGACCACAGCAGTTAGGATCAATTTTCTTAGGATCATAGGGGTGATTACCTGTTAAATATTGTCATAAGAGAAACCCAAATATTTTAGGGTGAGAGGCAAATTTATAAAATGTTAATTTTTTCACTTAATGATATATATCAATATTTTTACATAACAATACAGTAATTTTTACTACACAATTTTTTAAAAAATATTATACTTTAAGCTCTGGGATACATGTGCAGAATGTGCAGGTTTGTTACATAGGTATACATGTGCAATGGTGGTTTGCTGCACCCATCAACCTGTCATCTAGGTTTTAAGCCTCGCATGCATTAGATATTCATCCTAATGCTCTCCCTACCCTTGTACCCCACCCCCAACAGGCCCTGGTATATGATGTTCTCCTCCTTGTGTACATGTACAACACAATTTTTAATGGTTGAATGGTATCCTAGCATATGACTAAAATATAAACTATTGGTACATTTAATAAATAATTCTCTATTACTGGACACATAGTTGTTTCTAATTTTTACCACTATACATAAGTCTGATATCATTACAAAAACTGATTTGCATCTTTATCTTATAGGGATGATGTACATATCGTGAAATCACCTTCAGATTTTTGTTTGTTTGTTGTTGTTGTGTTAGGTTTTTTTTTTAGAGATGGTCTCGATATGTTGCCTAGGCTGGAGTGCGGTGTCTATTCACAGACATAATAGCACACTATAGCCTCAGACTCCTGGGTTCAAGCAATCCTCCCACCTCATCCTCCCAAGTAGCTAGGACTACAGTATTGCACCCCCATGCCCAGCTTAGTTTTTTTTAAATATCATTTTTTAAATTGTAACTTGACAAATTATAGCTGTTGTGAAATAATTTAATCAAGTAAATTAACATGTCTATTACCTCAAATATTTATTTTTTGTGGTGAAAACAGGTAAAATTTACTCTCAGCAATTTTGAAATTCACAGGACATTATTATTTACTATATTCTCTATGTTGCACAATATATCTCAAAGAAATAAAAATCTAATTGAGGCTTTTTACCCTTTGACTATCTCCCCATTTACCTCACTCCATCAGCCTCTGATTAGCACCATCCTGCTCTCCTTCAGATGCTTTCTTAAAAAGCAGTTTAGAAAGCCACAAGCAATTTTAATGCGATAGCTCAATTACCTTTCTTGGCCAACTGAATACATCCTTATTCTCTGACCTGAGAGCATAGCTATTGGGTTCAACATTGCTTCTGTGGGAAAATGTGCTCAAGTGTTATCAAATTTAAACAAAGGGTTTAGTATGCATGAAACTCCTTAACAGATATGTTGATAATAATATCATCTCTGTGATCAAAATGCCCACAAGTTTTTAGAAACACTTTTGTACACGTTTAACTATAATACAAGGAAATGCCATAGATGTTTAAAGGAGATATGGTGTTTAGCAAACTGTAGGTGTTCAATTAATGTTGAAATAAATTGTGTTAAACACAATTCTATGATATCCTAGAGGAGTGAGTGAATAGGATAGGGAGAGAACCGGTAAACATTTTATGCAGCACCTGACCCTGAAGCTCTTCAGTTGCAAGAACTCCACAAGGGAAACAGTGTGACTGAAGCCAGGAATGGAGGCTCCCAAGAAAAAGGATCTGCTGCAGCTGTGGATCATGTCAAACACAAGCCCTGAGACACGCTGTGGATGTATGAAGGATTCTGTTCGGTCAGGGAACTTCTTACAACCTATGTACAGATGTGTCTGAATTTAGTAAGTAAGTATGTTCCTAAAAAGTTATGTGAAACCAAAGTTTTTGTGAATTATATACTAAACGTAATATATAGAGAAAAACCTTAGTAACTCCTTGTGTTAAAATGAAGAATTGGTTTTTTAATATGTCTGTACAGAAATCTAAATGTATACATAATGGTTTGGCCTAAAGTTGGCTACCTCTTTATTATGCTCTTCAATGCATTGAACAAGGTTGGTGTTTGTTTTTTTCTCTCTCTCTCTTGAATACAACGATATACACTGATTTATATTTTTGAATTTGGGATATTTACTTTATACACAATGATGCTACACTATAGAAGACTTGAATTATATTCTAGAATTTGTGAAAGTTAGCACTTAGAAGTAGGGATAAAATGTCATCAATTGTAACAAGAAAAAAAAACACAACAGAAAAGAAAGTCTTTGCTGTTCATAATGTTTACCTCCTCCAACTCAGCCCCTCCTGTGGTGACTGGCAGGCCATTTGGTTTGGAACCTGCTGGTTTCCCACTTTTCCCTGTGCTTTGGGAAGCATCTAACTTTGCCCCTTTATGGAAAGTTTCTATAGTATTATTCCATGGGGTATGAAATCATCACCCCGTTACCTGATACCATAAGGTCAGTGCCATTGAAGGGTTAATTAGAGCATATTTATAAAGCACTTCAGAAATTAAAAAGTGTTCTACAAATGCCAATGTTATTAAGATTTTGGCAGAATATATCAAAAAGTGGAAATTTTTATGCTGGCTTAGGTTTTACTTCATGTTTAAAAACGAAGGTGTCGAGCACTCAAATTTCAACTTGAGTCACCAAATGTTTATTGAACACATGATTTTCAAAGTTTGTAGAGCAAAGATGAATAAAACTTGTTCTTTCCCCTTAAGGAGTTTGTTCAGTAGCTAGATAAACATATATACAGCTTATTATAATTCATGATAAGTTCCCAAAGTTCCTCAGAGAGGCAAAACTGGGTACTGTGGAATATCAAAGTTAGAGGCTATTTCCAATCGGAATTAGAGATTGGGTCATGGAGGAGAGGATATTTGATCTGAGCTTTGGGGGATGGTAAAATTTTAATAGAGCAGGATACTAGGAAAAGTGCATTTTAAGCAGAGGAAACTGTGAGTTGAAAAGTAGGAAAGGCATTTCAGGGAAAATACAAGTAGCTTGGTTTTGTGCATCAAGAGCAAAGGTGAGGCTGAGAAGGCAGGATGGGGGTCAGACAAGAGAAGCCCTTTGTTACCAGGCTAAGGAGGCAGCAGAGATCTGCTGAAGGGTTTTGAGAAGGTGGGCTGGTGAACAGGGTGATACACTGGGCAAGGCTGGACACCAAAAGTAGGTACTTAATAATTATTCATGCAGTAATCAATGAATTACATTTTCTTAGGTACATTTTAATGCTAACAATGGTTTTATTTTTTTTAAGATGATTCCTATTTTTCTGCAAGGCCTTAGGCCAAGTTTTTACTCAAATTCAAATTTTGTCTTAAATATATTTATCTCTTTCTTGAAGAAATACCTCTTTTATCTTATGGTACCCTCCAATTTTGATCCCTTCTAGTTTGATCTCCTGCTAGCTTCTCTTAGCCCTATCTCCTCCCAACCCCCTTGAAGACGGGGCCAATTTCCTACTCACTGAAGTGCTGGCATCTCTACTTAGTTCATTTTTCTTCCTGATTCTAGGTTCTATTATTTCCCTTCAGATAATGGAGAGCTAGATGTACCTGTGTGTGTGATTCTTTTCAAGTCTTCAATGCTTAGCATGAATCAGTGTAGAGAAAAGTGAGAAGTACTAGAGGAACAAAAACAAAGCCCTGAGGGAGCATGGAGTAGGAGAGATATCTTTGAAAGCATTTTTTCCCTGACTAGTTATTTAACAAGATAATATCACTATGTCTCAGCTTCTTCATGTGTCAAAGGAGTATAATAGTATCTATGGCATGGGGTTGTTAACAAAGATTAAATGAGTTAATATTTTGACAAAATGTTCTCAAAGTGACTGGTGCATGGTTACCACTCAGTAAAGGTTAACTTAAAAAAATAAAGACTAGGCCAGGCGTGGTGGCTCATGCCTGTAATCCCAGCACTTTGGGAGGCCGAGGCAGGCAGATCACTTGAGGCTAGGAGTTTGAGACCAGCCTGGCCAACACGGTGAAACCCTGTTTCTACTAAAAAAAAAAAAAAAAAAAAAATAGCCGGCTGTGGTGGCACATGCCTGTAATCCCAGCTACTCAGGAGGCTGAGGCAGGAGAATTGCTTGAACTCAGGAGGCGGAGGTTGCAGTGAGTGAAGATTGGGCCACTGTGCCCCAGCCTAGGTGAGAGAGTGAGACTTTGTCTCAAAAAAGAAAAAAGAAAGATTAACATCCCTTAGATACTCTAAAACAACTTAAACATAAAAAAAGTTTACTATTTATACTGTCCCATTCTAGTTACCCTGTTTTCTTTTTCCTCCACTTTGTTCCAGATCCTTCAAGTATTCGCAACTTTGAGAAAATAAAACTTAACCTGCTGTGCAGAGCCCCTCTGCTCTCCCAGAAATCAGCTGGTGGACAAAAAAGGGACAAACAGCAGCAGAAGAGACAACCACCTAAATTAAATAATTGCATCCTACAGAAATCTTTCTTGCTCATCTCCTAATATCATCGACTACCTCTTTTAGATGAAGCATTGAACATCTCTGCATATGTTTTATCTGGTAAGTCTCACGTATTTTACTCAGCCAATTTTAGTCATAATATCTCAGATCAGTGGTCCTCAACCTAGGATAATTTTGCACCCCAGGGAATAGTTGGCAATGTCTGGAGACACATTTGTCACAGCTGGGAAGTTCTAATGGCATCTCATGTGTAGAGGACAGAGAAGCTGCTCAACATCCTACAACTCACAGGATGGCCCTCTCCAACAAGGAATCATCCAACAGCAAGTGTGGATAGTGCTGAGGTAGACAAACTGTGGCTTAGACTGACTCAGTCTATTCCATTAGATCCAGGTGACAGGGAAGTTTTGACGAGATAGCCCTGGAGGATGAAGAGATGGAAAGGCCAGCTGATGACTGGGCACACCTGTGTGGGGAATTGGGGCCTGTGATCCAAGGAGAAGTGCTGGCTATCGGAGTCTGAAACAAACTTTGTTTACTTGTTAATTTGGTCAAAGTAATGGGAACAGGATATTCAGGAAATCACATGGCAACAGGGCAGGGCTCAGGCAAGAGACTATTTTCGTGTTTCTTCTGATGGTGAGCCTCACCATAGGGATGAATGATTACTTGGAAAAGCTGAGACAGAACAGGGATGCCTCTTAGGGGCCTGCCGGCCTCCTGGCCCAAAGATGAAAATAAAGGAAAATCTTGAGTTCCTTCAAGACAAATTCCGGGCACCTAGCCCTGAGAAGTAAATGAGCAACTTTATAAGCAAGAAGGTAAGTAGCTTCAAACAACAGTTAAGGTCACAAGATGTCTGCTTCCCTGCAGAAACTAAAGACAACGTATGTCCCTAAGTTGTTTTTCAGAAACCTGGACCCCCACTAAATGGATTCACTGGCACATAGACCTCTGATAAGGGGGAACTGAAGACCACTGTTCTTTCTTTTAAATGTTTTCCTGAGAGGCCTGGAGGAAGTCACACCCACGGGCCGGAGCTAGCAGTCTTTTCTGCTGATTCCAAATTTTTAGACAAAGTTTTGCTTCCCTAACCAATCACAAATCAGGAAATCTTTCAGTCCACCCGTGACCTGTGGGCCCCCACTTTGAGATGTCCCACCTTTTAAGTCAAACCAATGTATAGCCTCCATGTATTGGTTTATGATGCTGCCTGTAACCTCTGCCTGCCTGCTTTTAAAAACTTTACTGTGAGCCATTGGGGTGTTTGGGTCTAAGCATTAGCTGCCTGATTCTCCTTGCTTGGAGCCCTGCAATAAATGCTCCACCTTCTCTCACTGCATTCCCATTGTCAGCATTTGGTTTTGCTATGCCAGGTAGGCAGACCCAAGTTTGATTCAGTAACACAGCGGCAAGGTTCAGAGATGTACTTTGGTTAAAGAATAGACTGAGATGGATATCCAGGCCTATATGTCTCAACAAGTTAGACACAAAGACACACACCTCCATTTGTTACATAACCTGTTTGTGTAAGTTCATACTTGTCTCTGAACCACTATTGTGTGTAAAAGGTATAATTGCCCTATTGTCACTGTGCACGGGGCTCAACATGACTCTTTGGTACAGACACTAGTGTCCAGAGAAAGAAAGAAAGCCAAAACTGTCCATCTTACAGATGGACAGAGGTGAACCACAACACAACTCACACTAGTGCCCTGAGAGAGAAAGAGTTAAACTACTGATCCTGAAGACAAGGGAGAGCTGGCAGTGCAGCTACAGGCGTGGCGGTGGCCGGTGCCGCAGAGTCGGAGCAAACAGCCGAGATAAAGATCGACAGTGTGAAAGAACTAATGGGAGTAAACTACTAATGAGAAAACTACTGAATAAAACTACATTTCACCTGCCTGTGGACCCCCGAGTGTTCTTTCTACCCATCCACTCACTCCCCTCGGATTTCAACATGAGCTGGACCCGGACCCAGACCCGGACCAGGACCCTGACCCTGACATTTAGACCTAACAACAGCCAATCAGTTTCCAGCCCTGATGAGCTCAGCATGTTTGGGTACATTGTAATGGAGTCAGAATAGCAGAAAGAAAGGATGACATAAAGCCAGAATCGTTTAGAATACCGGGGGTAAGATAAGATGTAAGTAAGTAGACAGTTTTGAGAATTGTAAGATAAAATCAAAATTTGGTAATAGACAATTGGACAATGAAAAACAGAAATTCCTCCAGCTGAACTGGATTAAATGTTGTGGTAGGCTTAAAATATGCCCAAAATTCTTTGACACTCTTTTCAAGGGTAGAGACTAATTTTCTTCCCCAAGATTGTGTTGGACTTAGTGATCCATTTATAATGAGCAGGATAAAACAGAACCAATTGCCTGTGATCTCTGAGGTTAGGTCAGAAAAGACATGGGGCTCTGCCTTGCTCTTTCTTTCTTCTTCTTTTTTTTTTGTTTTTTTTCGGTACAGAGTTTCTCTCTTGTTGCCCAGGCTGGATGGAGTGCAATGGCGCAACCTTGGCTCACAGCAACCTCTGCCTCCCGGGTTCAAGTGATTCTCCTGCCTCAGCCTCCTGAGCAACTGGGATTACAGGCATGCGCCACCACGCCAGGCTAATCTTGTATTTTTAGTAGAGATGGGGTTTCTCCATGTTGGTCAGGCTGGTCTTGAACTCCCGACCTCAGGTTATCTGCCCGTCTTGGCCTTCCAAAGTGCTGGGATTACAGGCATGAGCCACCACGCCCAGCTTGCCTTGCTCTCTTTTTTGGATCACTTGCCCTGGAGGAAATTAGCTGCCAGATGACTTAGCAGCCTTAGGAAGAGGTATGTGTGGCAAGGAACCAAGGTTGTGTGAATGAGCCAGCTTAGGAGCAGATCCTCAGCCCCAGTCAAGCCTTCGGAAGACCTTGAGCCAGAACCACCTGGTAATATACAACTAACACATAAATATATAGAGGTGAACTGCTTGTTAAGAATTGCTACAAACAGCATGGATGAGGTTTGGGTATCCATTTTAAGGATGGGAGGTCTCATTATCTGTGTTAGAAATAAGATTTTGATCACAATTGTGTGGTTAAGATATGGATCTTTGAAGGAGACTTCCAGGATTTCAGTCCTTACTTTCTCACTAGTTTTGCTACCCTGGACAATTTGCTCAAGCTCTCAGGCTTCACTCTTCCCATTTTTTAAAACAAAGATAATAATTAGGCTGGGTGCAGTGGCTCACGCCTGTAATCCCAGCACTTTGGGAGGCCAAGGAGGGCGGATCACCTGAGATCAGGAGTTCGAGACCAGCCTGGCCAGCATGGTGAAACCCTATCTCTACTAAAAATACAAAAATTAGCTGGGCGTGGTGGCAGACCCCTTAATCCCAGCTACTTGGGAGGCTGAAGTAGGAGAATCATTTGAACCCAGGAGGTGGAGGTTGCAGTGAGCCGAGATCCAGCCATTGCACCCAAGCATGGGGGACAAGAGCAAGACTTCTCTCAAAAAAAAAAAAAAAAAAAGCAAAGATAATAATTAATAATTGAAAAATGCTTATTAGAGTGTCTGGAACATAGGAAGCGTGAAACAAGCAGTAGCTGTTATTTCTATTTCTGCAGTTATATCACCTTAAGTTTACAAAACAATGCCTACATTATCAGAAAACATGAAGCCTGGTTTGTAATGGGCTCAATGAATGAATTCTCAAATCAAACATTAAGGGTTATCTTCCTCTGGGCCCTCAGCACACACAATTCAGGGGCTGGTCTTGAGGCTGAAGCGCTTGGGGCTAATTGTCTTGGGACCGTGGTGGTGTTTGCTGTTAGATATTGCTAAAAGAACAACCTCAAATGTGTTAGGGTGAGAGGCAAATTAATAACATGTTCATATTTGTTGACAGCTTAGCTCTCAATGTTATTTTCCCTTGAACTCAATGAAATTTTATAGAATTTTAGTACCAGATAAATTAACTTCTCAAAGAAGGAGATCTGGTCTCAAATGTCATATGCCCTTGCCTACAATAAACTTTTGCCTGCTGGTTAATCCTGATGACAATTCTTATATGAATGTTAAGCATCTGGTACATAGCTAGAACTTGAAATATAAAAACACAAAATAAAACTTAAATTCACAAAACTTTTCACCTTTCTGCTCAGACGAGGAACATCAGTCCTGCTCCTGGCCCTTTTCTGTCTCTGTCACTTGCACCCATGAACTTTCAGAACAAACCTAGGCATAGTTTACTAGACCATATCACACTTGGGTTAATTGTGTGCCTTACAAGGTGTGAATAAGGCAGAACAGTTTACCACTTTGGAATATTTTTTCCAAAACTTTTTTTGGCCTAACATTGAAAAAGAAAAATAAAAGAGAAATTTTAGAAAAATTTCCTGGAGAAATCTTGAAACAGAAAAATGAGAAATTTTAGAAAATTTTCCTGGAGAAATAAAGTGTGAGAAAATATATCAAGAACATGTCTTTCCTGCTAAGAGCAGGGAATGGAGCATTTTCATTTTGTTTATTAGAAAGTGGTAAGAATAAAATCAAAGTATTTTTAACTGTCTACACTTTGAAACTAGAGAAAAGAAGTACACTGTTCAAGAGACATAGTGAATCAAAAACAAAAAACTTGGTGCCTTTTGTATTGAGGAGAGAAAGCTTTCCTTCATTAAAACTTATGCTATTTAGAAAATCACAAGGGCATCTCTAAAAACAGAGCATTTTGTGTAGGGCTAATCCATTTGCTTCAAAGATTTGACTGAAATCAGTCTGTTTTGTCATTTGTACTAGGATAAAGCCTTTAGCCATTGCATTTCCAGTTCTTTCTTGATGTAAACTGTAGAATGATGAAATAAAGAGAGGAAGCTCTTTGGGGAAAAAAAGCCCTATTTTGTTTTAGAAGAAAAATATTTTGAAATAAATTATTATAATTAGGTTTTTCTATAGATAGGAATAATAATAGTTTCAACTTTATAAGGTGTTATAAAGATGAGTTATCATTTTGAGTTAATATTAATAAGGAGTTTGGAATAGTACCTTGCACACGTTTCATGATGTATAAATGTTCGTTAAGTGCATAAACAAAATAATTCTCATAGAAATAAATGTTAGTGATAATGTTCCGAGAGAGATAGTGGCTAGAGGTGTAATAGGAACATAGTAGGTGCCTGAACACTTGTGAGATTACTTATATTTGCTGACCTAAACCACTCAGACAATTCTGCAAAGATCTTCCAGGCACAGTGTGACAACAGATGGCTTATTTTCTTGAGTGATGAAAATACTTTGTTTTTCTTTCCTCTGTTAGGGCCTCACTTCTTGTTGCTTGGTTCTAGGAGAGTCTTTCAGATTTTTCTCTAAGGTCTTGGTGTTAGATTCCTTTCATCAGAATGGGACCTTGCCTTATGATGTTGCCCATTGAATTAGTATGATACAATTTTTACATGGTGCATCCTCCTGAAACACACATTCATGCATATACAGGAATACCCCCTAGCAAGAATGCTGGATAAGCTTCTACTGAAGTTTGGATTTCTTGCTTGTCAGAATACATTTTTCTCCCAGGGTAATTATTTTGTTGAAGGAAGGAGTAATTGGGTTCTCTTGTTCTTTCTGAAATAGAAACTTTCTGTGACAATTTTAACATTTCACATTTGCTTTTGACTTCACAGCTTACAAAGCACTTTCTAGAAATTATCTCATTTGATTCTCATAACAACCCTACAAAGCATTAATATTATTCACTTTTTATGTGATGATGACACAGGTAGGAGAGAAAATGGAGCCTGAGAGTGGCTGAATTATTACCTACCCCAACATCACCACTAATTGTGGAGTTAAGAGTCCCAGACCTCAGCTCTTCCCATCTCACCTTTATTCCATCAGTTAAGGTTTTAATTTTAAAGCCAGAATCATGGCAAAAACATTTAAGATGGTTAGTGTATTTTTACTTTTTTTGGATAATGTTTTATCCTTTCTTCCTAGTTGCTTAAAATAATGTTTGAATATAACTTATCTACATATTAATGCCTTTAGTCTGAGGTTTTAGATCTTACAGTAGGCAGACTTCCAAAGATGCCACCCCCCTCCACCCCAAATTCCCATTCCTTGGTTATTCTATTTAACACTAATCTAATTACTGGTGTGAAGGGACTTTGCAGATGTAATTAAGGTTACTAATAAGCTGACTTTAAAATAGTAAGATTATCTTGTATTTTCTGGGTGGGCCTGGTGTAATCACATGAGTTCTTTAAAAGCCAAAAAGGAAGTAGAAAAGGAAGCCAGAGGAATTCAAGTGAGGATCCAATGCAGTGTTACTGGCTTGCAGGTGGAGGGGGTCATGTGGAAAGTCTGAGAAGGAATTCCGCTAACAACCAGTGAGCTCCAGGTGGGAATTGTAGCCCTGGATGATACCTTGGTTTTAGTATATGTACAGTTTGAATATGCTTTGTTTGTTCCCACCAGATCTCATGCTGAAATTTCATCCCCAGTGTGGTGGTAGTGGGAGGTGGGGACTAGTGAGAGGTGTTTGGGTTATGGGGGTGGATCTCTCGTGAAAGTCTTGGTGCCCAAGGTACTGAGTGAGTTCTCCCTCTTGTGAGACTGGATTGGTTCTGGAGGAATGGATCAGTTCCTGTAAGAGTGAGTTGTTATAAACCCAGGACATCTGTCAGGTTTGGTCCCTCTTTGCACATGCCTACTTGCCCTTTGACCTTCTCTGCCATGATTTGATGCAGAACAAAAGCCATCATCAGAAGCTGAGCAGATGCCAGCAGGTGCCATTCTTCCTGTATAGCCTGCAGAGCCAGGAGCCAAACAAGCCTCTTTTATTTATAAATTACTCAGCCTCAGATATTCCTTTACAGCAACACAAAATGGATTAAGACAGTGTGGTGAGATCCGAAGCAGTGAATCCAGTCATGCTGTGCTGGACTTTTGGCTGACAGAACTGTGAGACAGTAAATGAGTCCTGTTTTAAGTCTCTAAGGCTGCAATAATTTGTTATGCAGCAATAGAAAACCAATACAGTTCGGTACATTTAAAGTCTATGGAATTCAAAGAGAAATTTTTGGTCTTTTTCTATATCACATTCTTGACCTCACTTATGAGATCCTTTTCCTGGACACTGAGATGAGAGAGTGGCAGAAATCTCCATTTATCATTGTCAAACAAGTACATGGCTCCAGGGGATCCTAAATGGCTTCTTCACATCTTTATCAGGAGACTTTTACCACTCCCTGTGCAACAATAACATTTCTCTATTTGTAAACAAAAGGAGTCTGAACCACTTCAGATGGGCATGCATTTGGGTATTTCTAATAATGATAATGGTATCTACCAAACTGTCTACATACTCTTTCATCTGCCTGCACTTTGACAGGGGCCATGCATTTCTAACGATAGGGGCTCTGTGGCCTCAGAATCCCGGTTTTTTTTTTCCCCTTTGTGTGACTATAGCTGGCTTCCTGACAGTAGGCCAAAGATTCCTTCATACAATTAAAAAGTACAGTCAGCATCCATGTTTTATCCATTAGACATTTTGTCTGGACCAGGAGTTCTATTCCTAGGTGTTACGGGTTGAATTGTGAAGGAATCTGAGGGAGAAGCTCATGTATCCTGGTCCACTGTGACAGACCTGTCACAGCCCCAAAGTTATAGACCCCAAGGAGCCTACATTATTTGGAATTGACTAATTGGACTAAATTTTGGCAGGTCATATTGAACTGCTAGATGGAGAATGGAGTTTAAAGTTTCAAGCATTTTCAAAATATTGTAGGTTTGGTGGTGGAACTTCTCAGTCTTTGCTGTTTGCCTAAACTTGTCTAAACACATTCCTCAGAATGAAATCTTAAGTCATCATTAGTTTCCACTTTCTTAATAAAGATGAAGCAATTGTTCCTGGGATGGTGGTAGTGGGTGACATTTGTATTTAATTAAATTCAATTTAAATATCAAAAACAACAGCAATGACAAACATTTATATGTTGAATTCTGAGCCGCCAGTATTACAGGATGTGATCATATTTGGAATAGGGTTATTGCAGATGTAATTAATTAAAATGAGGCCATACTGGAGTAGGATGGGCCTCTAACCCAATTTGACTGGTGTCCTTATAGAAAAAGAAAGTTTGGACACAGGAATAACATTATGTGGAGATGAGGGCAGAGACTGGGGTGATACAAAAGAAGTCAAGGAAAACCAAAGATTGACTACAAAGTTCCAGAAGCTGAGAGAAAGGCCTGAAAAGATCCTTTTCTCACTGCCTTCAGAAGGAGCTAACCCTGCTGACACCTTGAGCTCAGACTTCTATCCTCCAGAACTGTGAGACAATACATTTCTGTTTTTGAGTCACTCAGTTTATGGGATTTTGTTATGGCAGTCCTAACAAAATAATAAACTAGGCAAGGTGGAACTATTCCCAGACTGGCCCTTATTGCAGCTGAAGGATGGTAGGTATAAGCTGTCTCACATCCTCATGTCTGTTTTACAATGTTGACCTTTGTGGCAAAAATTGTTGACATTATCAAGGTGTTCTACAATCTGGTGTCATCTTTGTGTCTTTTCCAGGTCAAGTTTACCTACAGAACCATACACTTATCAAAGCCGCAGATACTCCACATAGAGGAACATCAAGTGACAGGTTCTAGTATAAAAATATGAGTCATTAACATGTGATGGGTCAAATGTCTGAGTAATGTTTTATTGCTGTTAATAAAATGTAAGATGGAGAGAAATATTTTCAAAGAATCATGAGTTTCATAAAAAAGCGTGTCAACGGGTTTTCTGGAGTTAACAAAATCAATTCACTAGTCCTTTATATCAACATAAAAGTATAGAACAGGAAAAATACTGAGGACTAAGTTCTTACTAGTTCTTATAGCTCCATTTATTAAAAGTAAAAAAAAAATAAAGTTGGGTATGTTTAACAGCATGTATCTTTCAAATAGAACATCATCTTAGCAAACAAAATGTTATTTTTCTCATCTATGAATTTAGTAACCTTGAGAGTCAGTGTTTAACCAGAGTGAGAAAAGTAAAAAATCTAAGATTTGGAGAATGTAGATTTCATGAAAAATATGTTCAATATACATTTTCCCAAAGCAAACATGAAAACGATTTTTGTGTATGTGTGTGTGAAAGCTCGTCTTTCACTGTGGCTTCTGAGTCACCGGCTTATTGGAATCCTTTTCTACCAGGATTTGGTTTAAAGTGGAGGAAACTGAAAAGGGCATGTCGGCTAGAGAGGATTAGACTAGCAATGGGGCAGGGCCTGCATCAAGGCACCAAGACTGGAAGCAGATAGGAGGAGCAATTTGACTATTCTGAGAGTCTATTTAGCACTAATATTGATGTTATTAACATCATATGCTATTTTGCAAAATGCTGAGTTTGAGGTGATTTTACATAAGTGTGTATATATATATTTTCTTACTGTGTGATTTGTACATATATATGTATGTGGGGTGATTTTATGTATGCATCTATGTATGCATGCACACTATATATACCTATACATATATACACATACATAGATTTGTGTGCATATATATGTACACACAAAAATACATTGAAGCTTCATAGAATGAGATCATGTATAAACAAGTACTTTATGTAAAGACTGGAGCAATATGTGGAAGATATAAATAAGAATTTCCAGTTTTGGAAGATTAATCTAGCAACATTCACCTTTACATTTCTAAAATTGTATTCATAGATTCAGAGCCTTAAGAAACCCCTAAAACACAGGATTGTGACAAGAAATTCAAGTAGGATAACTGGGGCACATTGGTCTAAAAACCTCATTATAAAAACTTACTCATTTTTCAAGGCTCAGTTACTTTTTCTTTGAAGTATTTCTGACCTCCCACTTTCCCTTTCTGATGCCCTCTGCACAGAATTTATTCATTACCCTGAAATAAAACTCATAATTTTGCATTCTTTCTTCCTCACACAAATACTTTTGAGGTTTGGTGCTGAGGCCACAGCAGTGAGTAAATATAACGGACACTGGCAAGAACTGGATTTTCATCTCCAACTCCAAGCAGAGTGTCTGGTGCTTACAGGCACTCAATGAACATGTTTGGTTCGACTGAATTCCTTTGTATGTGTGGAACGTTTACTTGTGTATGTCTTCATGTCAAGTCCCCACTTCTGCCTGAAGTCACTTGCAATGGCTTTACTTCCCTGACTTCTTGTATTTGTGGGTTGAATGATCAGGATCCCTAGCACAAGGCCTTACTAGAGTCAGTGTCAATAACTATTCACTGAATGAGTAAATGACATCTCCAGATTCTGCTGCTATGCAGTGTTTAGGAACTTAGCCTTTTGTATTAGTCTGTTTTCACACTACTGTAAAGAACTACCTGAGACTGGGTAATTTATAAAGAAAATATGTTTAATTTACTCTCCATTCTGCATGGCTGGGAAGGGCTCAGGAAATTTACAATCATAGTGGAAGGCAAAGGAGAAGCAAGCATCTTCTTTGCAAGATGGCAGAAGAGAGTGAGTTGGGGGGAAATGCCACACTTTTAAACCATCAGATCTTGTGAGAACTCACTCCCTATCACTAGAAGAGCATGGGGCAAATCCACCCCTATGATCCCATCACCTCCCACCAGATCCCTCCTCTGACACATGGGGATTACAATTTGACACGAGATTTGGGTGTGGACACAGAGTCAAATCATATGAGCTCCGCAGAGAGATTTGGATTTAAACCCTGGATTTTTCAATGGCTGCATAGTATTCCATGGTGTATATTTACCACATTTTCTTTATACAGTCTATCACTGATGGGCATTAAGTTTGATTTAATGTCTTTCCTATTGTGAATAGTATTGCAATGAACGTGTGTGTGCACGTGTCTTTATAATATAATGATTTATATTCCTTTGGTATATATATCCAGTAATGGGATTGCTAGGTCAAATGGTATTTCTGTCTTTGGGTCTTTGAGGAATCACCACATTGTCTTCTGGCTAGTCATATGCAGAAGATTAAAACTGGACCCCTTTCTTACACCATATACAAAAATTAACTCAAGATGGATTAAAGATTTAAATATAAAACCCACAACTATAAAAACCCTGGAAGACAACCTAGGCAATACCATTCAGGACATGGGCACAAGCAAAGATTTCATGATGAACATGCCAAAAGCAATTGTAAAAAAAGCAAAAATTGACAAATGAAATCTAATTAAACTAAAGACCTTCTGCACAGCAAAAGAAACTATCAACAGAGTAAACAGACAACCTACAGAGTGGGAGAAAATTTTTGCTCCACCTTGAATTTTACTTCGATTTCAATGGCTTATTCCTCAGAATCCCCATAAGGATAAGGGAGGAGGATTGCTTGATTTTAAATAAGAGCGTACTTAGGAGCAGAAAATGAGTCTGCTATACATCGAGAACATTTCTGGACTCAAATCCTAGAGGAAATGTGTTCGGATCTATTGATTTATTCGAATAAGTAAGGGTCACATGGATTTGCTCTAAGGGGTATTTCCTGCCAGGGCACGTGCTCTTGAAACTGGGTAAACGTTTCATCTTCCTGCCTTAGGCCAGGTCACTGTGACTGTTAGTTACCAATGAGACAATTTTCTACCAGCCTAAAATCCAAGTCTGTCTCACCTGAGATTAAAAAAAAAAAAAAAGCCTAAATTTCTTTCTCTGAGGGAAAAGGGTATAAGCAAGCTGTGAAATTGCTTCTTTAAGATCAAACATAGGTTCTGCTTTGGGGGCCAGTTCAGTACTCCTCAGAATTTATTGAATTCTTTAAAATGCTATTACCAGGCTGGGCACGGTGGCTCATGCCTGTAATGCCAGCACTTTGGGAGGCCAAGGCAGGTGGATCATTTGAGGTGAGCAGGAGTTCAAGACCAGCCTGGCCAACATGGTGAAACCCTGTCTCTACTAAAAATACAGAAATTAGCTGGGCGTGGTGGCATGTGCCTGTAATCCCAGCTACTTGGGAGGCTGAGGCAGGAGAATCACTTGAGCCTCGGAGGTGGAGGTTGCTGTGAGCTGAGATTGCCCCACTGCACTCCAGTCTGGGCAACAGAGTGAGACCCTGTCTCAAAAAAAAAAAATGCTATTACCAATAGATAATTTTACTTTACAATGAGATTGAAAGTGGCTTATGAAATTGTCAAATGCAAAATGTTATCTTTTTTTATACAATTAAAAAATAATATATATGTTGTATGAACATTAGAAGATATATGAAAGCACAAAGAAGATAATAGAAGATTATAAATATACTAGATATTTTAGATATGTATAGATATGGCATTTACTGAGTCATTCTAAGTATTTGCTGTATTTTGAATTTGTGTCCCATTAAAAATTATGTGTTGAAACCTAAAATCCAATGTGTTGATATTTGGAGGTGGGGCCTTTAGCAACTAATTAGGTCATGAGGGCAGAGCACTAATGAATGGGCTTAATGCTCTTCTAAAAGAGATCCAGACAGCTTTCCTGCCCCTTCTGCCATGTGAGAACACAGTGAGGAAACAGGCATCTGTGAACCAAGAAGCAGAACCTCACCCAACCCCGAATCTGCAGGCACCTTGATCTTGGACTTCTCAGTCTCCAAAACTGTGAGAAATAAATTTCTGTTGTTTATAAACTACTCAATATGTGGTATTTTGTTATAGCAGCCTGAATGAACAAAGACAGTATTATCATATGTATTATCTTATTTACTTCTCATGACACTTCCATGAGCTAAGTGCAATTAGTCTTTCCATTTCACAGATTAAGAGAATGAGATTTAGAAAGGTTAAATGGTTTGATCAAATTCATACAGAAAGTTGTGAAGCCTGAATTTGAACTCAGGCAGTCTGATTTGCAATTCTATTCTGTTAACCTCTATTGTGTTGTGTGTACATGCATGTGT
Organism: Homo sapiens; assembly: GCF_000001405.40. Lineage (NCBI taxonomy): Eukaryota > Metazoa > Chordata > Mammalia > Primates > Hominidae > Homo > Homo sapiens. The sequence goes on along the minus strand of NC_000006.12, from coordinate 69,590,211 downwards.
TAGGAATGTAGGGTCATATATGCTCTATGGATACCTGCTGTTTTCAATTGGTTATAAATATTTGTTGATGTCATTTTTTTCTATGACATAATTTTGGAATATGGCATGGTTATCCACTGTACAGCATAATTTGTTTATATAAAACCTTATGATTAGACATTAAATAAATTCTTTGATAATTATCATCACTCATAAGCTTGAAGGTTTCTACAGAATACATTCCTAAAAGGGAATTGCTTGGTCAAATAATAAGTCTTTTTTAAAGCTTTTAATATATATTGGACAAATCATTCTACAAAAGTGTTGCAACTTTTCCTCTAAATTAGGGGTATGTGACTGTGGCCCACAGGCCAAATCTAGCTCACAGCTTGTTTCTGCTAATAAAGTTTTATTGGAACACAGCCATGTCCTTTTGTCTATGGCTGCTTTTATGCTACAACAGCAGCATTTAGTAGTTGTGGCAGAGACTCACATGGCCCACCTGCTGGAAATATTTACTAGTTAGTCTCTGACAGAAAAGATTCACAATACTCTTTCTAAATAGATTATACAAGTACAAATTTCCCTCCATTCCTATAAATCTTGGATGTAGATAGACAGATGGATAGATGGATGGATAGATGGCTAGGTAGATATACAGCTGGTACAAATCTGATAGACCAAATTAGTATTTCAGTGTTGAAAAAAATTTGTTTACTGGCCATTTACATTTCTGCTTTTGTGTCCATGATCCCTTTTTAAAATGTATTTATTTGCTATTTTGTCTTTTGAGTGTTCATAAATTAAATATTTACACTTTGCCTGATGCATATGTCTCTTTTAGTTGTCTGTCTTTTTTATTATTTATAAAGGCTCATGATATAAAGAAGATTTTGATTATTTTGTAGTGGAGTCTACAAATCTTTCCTTTTAGGATTCCTTCCTTCAATTAAGTTACTGACAAATTCCTGTCTTCTTTTGTGCTTTGTGCATATTCACATACATTTTCACCTGACTCTTCTATAGTTTATTTGTTTATTCATTTATTTCTTCTAACTGATTCATCTGGAGTATATTTTGGATAAGAGTGTAAAGTGAGGACCTAGTTTGTGTGTGTGTGTGTGTGTGTGTGTGTGTGTGTGTGTATGTGTGTGTGTTTTCTGAGACAGAGTCTCGCACTGTCGCCCAGGCTGGAGTGCAGTGGCGCGATATCGGCTCACTGCAAGCTCCACCTCCCGGGTTCACGCCATTCTCCTGCCTCAGCCTCCCGAGTAGCTGGGACTACAGGTGCCCGCCACCACGCCTGGCTAACTTTTTGTATTTTTAGTAGAGACGGGGTTTCACCGTGTTAGCCAGGATTGTCTGGATCTCCTGACCTCGTGATCCACCTGCCTCAGCCTCCCAAAGTGCTGGATTACAGGCGTGAGCCACTGCACCCGGCCGAAGACCTAGTTTAAAATTTCTAGACACTTAGGCAATTATACTAGCATTATCAATAGGACAATCTTTTTGTTGCTGATACACAATTCTACTGTTATAATACTAAATTCTGATTTACATTAGTGTCTCTTTGTGCCTTTTCTGTGATACTTCACTTATTCTGACTGTTCTCATGTTATTCACTAAATCTTAGTATTTTAGAAAATTTAAAAATTTTATTTTTATGATACATGGCAGTCGTACATATTTAGAGGGTACATGTGATATTTGGATACAAACACACAATGTGTAATGACCAAATCTGGTTAAATGAGATACTGTTTCAAACATTTATCATTTCTTTGTGTTGGGAACATTCTAAATCTACTCTTCTAGTTATTTTGAAATATATAATGAATTATTGTTAACTATAGTCATCCTATTGTGGTACTGAACACTACATCTTATTTTCCTTTCTAAGGAGATTTTTGTACCTTAATGATTGTGCATATTTTCAAATACCTGATGGCCATTTGTATGTCTACCTTTGAGAAATGTCTGTTCAGATCCTTTATCATTCTTAAATCAGACTTTTTTATTTTTATTTTTTGCTATTGAGTTGTTGTTTGGGTTACTCATATATTCCGGTTGTTAATCTCTTGTCAGTTGAATAGTTTGCAAATATTTTCTCCCATTTGGTGGGTCGTCTGATTGTGTTCTTTGCTGTGCAGAGGGTTTTAAGCTTAATGTAATCCCATTTTTAAATTTATTTCTTTGGTTGCCTGTGCTTTTGAGGGCTTACTCAAGAAATCTTTGCCCAGACCGATGTCCTAAAGTGTTTCCCCATTGTTTTATTCTAGTAGTTTCATAGTTTCAGGTGTTATATTTAAGTTTTTAATCCATTTGTATTTGACTTTTGTATATGATAAGAGAGAGGGATCCAGTTTTATTCTTCCTCATATGGGTACCCCAGCACAATTCATTAAAGAGACTTTTTCCCAGTGCGTGTTCTTTGCACCTTTGTTGAAAATGAGTTAACTGTATATGTGTGGATTTATTTCTGGGTTCCCTATTCTGTTCCACTGCTATATGTGTCTATTTTTATGCTGGTCCCATGCTATTTTGGTTACTATGCTTTGTAGTTTAAGGTACTCCGTTTTAACTGATGAAAACAATTCCCTTGTTATTTTATATAAACTTTTTTGACTTCTTCCATTCCACTTATTCTTTCAGCTATATGAACTTTAGAATCATTTTTACAGTCTTAAAAATCTTAATCCATATTTAAATTGAAAGTCATTACAACAGTAATTAGCTTGAGAAGAATTGCAATGTTTACCATATTGTCTTCCTATTTAGTCAGGTTCTTCTCACGTTTCTGAGAAATATTTACTCTATAGATCCTGCAGATATTTTCAGATGTTTATTCCTAGAGATAGTAAATTTTCTTGTGCTTAATAAACTCTCATCTCATTACATTTTCTAACCGGATATTCCTGGTCTTTAAAAAAGCAAGCTATCATTTTTGTAACAGCCATATGTATGTATTCTGTTGATACTTTAAAATTATTCCTCAGTTGATCCATTTGAGTTTGCACATGGATGATCTTTCAAATTACTATAATTTTGATTTAATTTTTTTATTGCATCAATCAGAAATTCCAGATGATGTCAAACAATAGCAGTACCTATATGCATTTTATGTGTGCATTGTTCCTCACTTTAGAATAATTCCTTTAATGTTTCTCAGTAATATATGAGATTGGATTTTCATTAAAATATGTCTTCTCTATTATGTTAAGAAAGTATTTTGTCATTTTTATTTTATTAGGGATTTTGTTACTTTAAAATCTGGAGTATTTGTTGAAAATTAGCAGATAATTTACAGATATCTGTTAACCCAATTCGATAATTGGAGGTGGTTTTTTGCCTATTAATAGTGTATATTTTATTAATAAATCTCTTATTTTAAGCCATTTTTTGCTTTCCCTCTACTTGCCATTGAATATCATTCAATGGCTGAATTTGATTTAATAGTATTTTATGATTATTTTTATAAATGTATTTATGGTGAAAATGAACTGTAGCTTTATTTTTATTTTGTATTTTATAGGTGTTGTTATTTAGTTTACACCAGCATGGTAAGATAAACTTAAAAAGCTGCATGCTTAAAAAAATCCAACAGTTTGGAATAGTTTATTTATATAGCATGAGACTGAGCTTAATGTGTAACAAAACTTACTAATTATTTCTATGGATCTAGTTTCTTTTTAGGATGACCTGTAAAGTTTTAAAGTTGTTTCTCTCCGGTTATTGGATTCTACCAATTTTTTTTTTTTAAGTTTGGTTGGATTTTAAAAGTATGCCTAATCAGAATGTGATGAACTGTCCTGGGCACATAACTTGAAGAAGAGAGAACTTGGTAGACACATTATTTTTTTCTTAACCTTGTTTTAGGTACCATCTTCCCATTCGCAACAGTTCCTGGCACCTGCCAGTCCAGTCGTCTGCTTTACCTTTTCTGGGGGGAAACCTCTAGTTTACTGCTGGGTGAGAGAAAAGCAGTTGGTTGGCTGCAATTAGGGAAGGAAACTGGGGATTTGTTCCTTAAATAGTCTTACAACCAATTCTTTTGCTTTACTCTTGTCTTCAGAGGTATGTGTATATAAGATATGGTATGAGCATCATCTTTTAGGTACTATGGAACATTGAACATTAAGCCACTATAATAGAAGTAACTTAAAGTAGTCTTTACAAGTTAGGTATTCCCTGACATAAAATGGAAACTTTATTATGAGCTATGAATGATTCTTTTAAAATGCTGTCTATCGAGTTATTTCTTTCCAAATAATTTGCTAAATTAAAGAACTGATCCTTAGTAAAATCTGATTAGGATGTCAACATGAAAGAATAATAGACAAAATCAAATCAGGAAACAACAGGTGTAATATTTTATTTATGAATTACCAGAAGGATCAAAAGTAACATTTAGAAACAATTTGCATTTATTTCCCCTGCTTTTTAAAAAGCACTTCTTGTCTGTCTTAGATTTTCTTTTTGACCCCAGTGGCTGATAATTTTCATTTTATATAACATACTGTCCCTTCTCCATCATGGTGGTTTTGAGGTTTATGAGGCTGGGGCTGAGAGGAAGTGAGAGGGAAGTCTCGCGGTAATGACACGGCCTCACCACCCACCACATTTAGGAATCCAGCTCTTTGCTGATCATCTTTTATGCTATAATTAGGTTTAGAAGAATCTGATTGTCACCTGTGAATGCCAAATATGCTTCCACACCACGTTTCACATTTTATCTGCAGAGACAGTGCATCCAGGAAACAACCAGCTTTAAGAATGTGCAAATTCACACCACTGAACTGCTGAGAAATTCTTTAGCTCTAACTCAGTAACTGTCACAGTGAGCTATATTTGCTCTCTCTGACTGACATGTAACAGGAGTTCAAGAAGTCACTTATTTTTCATTTCATTATTACAAACGTGACTAAAAATAGAAATAGAACTCCTGGTTTTCACTCTGCAGCTGAAGAAATCACAGTGAGGAGCATCTGCCACGCAGGGCATGGTTAATTAGCTTGGAGATTCCAGCTGGCCTTTCCTGGACTATTGAGGCCTTCCAGACAGCCAGTGAGGGTTATATTATCCCCTGAGCACGAAAGCCAGTGAGGAAATGCTTTCCTTCGGCTGAGAGACTCACCAGCTAATGTGGGTGTCCTGGATTATTTCATTAAGACAGGCCACTCTTCTGCACAATTTCAATTCAGTCACCATCTACAAGATCTCTCTTCTGGTTTTGACATTTCCCGGGAGTGATTTGAAAGAGTGGAGGCATAATCAAGGAAATGAAATATTTCTAGTTCTCTACTAACTTTAGAACTGCAGAAGGAATAAATGCCAAGGCTGAAACCTTGCAGGAAGGTGGAATGTTCCCAGAAAAGAGGTAGTTGCCACTTGATGAGAACAAGAGGGAGAGACTAAGGAGAATGTCATCTAACCACAGACTTCACAAAATTGAGTACAACATTAGGAACGTTGTGGGTCTCAGCACATAACTTCAACACTGAGTCTGGATTTATTTCATGGCATGCAACGTGGCCAGAATTTAGCCTACAATCTGGAGGTGAATGTGTATGGAAGCAGCTGGATCTTGCAAGATGACTCTTTTTCATTTTATGAGTCTTACTGTGTTGACAACACATATCAGGCAACCAGACTCCAGCCTAAGTAATGGTGGGGGAAAGGAACTAGTGTAATTAAGCTCAAAAGGACACAGGAAAGCAATTATTGCTTCTGAAATAAATGGGTGTTTTTCATAGCAATTACATTGAATTCGCTGCTGGATTACATACTAAAGAAACATTTAAAATGTTCTTCCTCCCTCCTTTCCTTTCTCCCTCCCTTCTTTCTTCCTTCCCTTCCTTCCTTCTTTCCATTGTTCTTCTATCCCTTCCTCCCTTTTTCTCCCGTCTTCCTTCCTTCCTTCCCTCCCTCCCTCCCTCCCTCCCTCCCTCCCTCCTTCCTTCCTTCCTTCTTTCCTTCTTTCCTTCTTTCCTTCTTTCCTTGTCAGAAAAGCCATGATTTGTACTGCTACACTGCTAAGTGGTGATGTGTGTGGGTTGATCATTCGTTTAGTATTAAACTGAGGTCATGCTGGTTTCATTCTGCTGATAAAGGATGTGTCTGCAAGCGTCATATTCCATTCTTTCTACCCTGCCCCTTCCAAATGCAGAATGGTCTTCTACTTTCTTTACTCTTTACCTCCTCCACAGGCTTGATCATTTTACTTATTAGCTGTGACACTGCGCTCTAAATCAATCTCTCTAGAGCAGTGTTTTTCAAACTGCAGGTCCTGACCTATTAGTGGGTATTGAAATCAATTTAGCAGGTTGCAACCAGCATTAAAAAAAAAGTAGGAGAGAACATATGATATTAGAATGCATTGCACATAGGAATGAGTCGTTTTATTTAATGACATTGGTTTAGTAAAACATGTGTATGTATGCTCTGAATACTATGCAAAATATATTACTTAATGTGGGACAAAAATAAGAAAAATTGAAAAACACTGCTGAGGGATGGTAGAGATTCATTGGTGGCCACTGCAAGAATCTTCAGTGACAGTGGCCATCGTGTCCCACAGACATTTTTTTCTGGATGACTTGAGGTGGTATCTTATTCAGATGTTCTGCTTCCTGACCCTCTTGGAGTTGCATTAGTTCCATTCTGTTTTCCAAGCCTTGTCCCTAGATATCTTTTTTTTTTTTTTTTTTTTTTTTTAGATGGAATCTCACTCTGTTGCCAGGCTGGAGTGCAGTGGTGCGATCTCGGCTCACTGCAACCTCCGACTCCCTGGTTCCAGCGATTTTCCTGCCTCAGCCTCCCGAGTAGCTGTTGGGATTACAAGCATGTGCCACCACACCCAGCTAATTTTTGTATTTTTAGTAGACCCTGCAGCTTGTTACTTTCTAGGGTGAAATTTGACCCTTGTTACTTGGACCAAGTATATTTTGGCATATTGTGAGATGGCAGTGACATCTGTTTTATTATTTTGCATAGATTATGACCATTTGTAAGTGTTTCTACAAATGGTGTGTATTTAAAACATAAAGTGTGCACAAATAAAAATCCCAAGAGATGGGGACTCAGTTGTTGTCATAATTCATTGGTGCTTCTGGCATGTTGGCCAAGATGGTCTTGATCTCCTGACCTCATGATCCACCTGCCTCGGCCTCCCAAAGTGCTGGGATTACAGGCGTGATCCACCGCGCCTGGCAGCCCCTAGACATTTTTATCGGCTCCCAATATCCTTCTAGTAATTCTTTTGCTGCCTAAGTGAACCATAGTTGAACCATTATAGTTTGCAAAGGTCTCTGAAATGTGCTCTCAAATAGAGAAGTTAAGTGTTAATCTGCCTAATATTGATGCTCCAAGAGTTCTGAAATAAGAAAGGTCATAAGTGATGCCACAAATCTATAATTAATGTGGTTTACTCCCTTCCGATTCTTCTTCCCCTAGAAAAGACAAAGAAAGCCAAGTTGAGTTCACTAATTAGGGTCAAACAGATCCTCAAATAAAGGCAATATTTTGAATATTGGTAATGTCATTTAGAATTTTGATGAAATTTAATATGCCACATCACCCTTAATTACACTTCACCAAGAACCTACTGTTATACTTGGCAACTGGAGTTGGAAAGGATTGTAAGGGGTAAAATCACCAGATGAAATGGTCTCAAGTATGACAATGTGCTTCTGTGCTATTTCAACCAATATAGTAAATAATTAGAGGGTTTAGGATCTAAGCAGAGTCCTAGGCTAGAAGTATTATATATATATATAGCTTTGTTTGTTCATAATATATATATGTTATATAGCTTTGTTTATAATAGTACAAGATGGGAAGGGATCTAAATATTCATCAATAGGGAATTTTAACAATTAATTGGATACCTATATAATTGACCATTATGCAACAAAAAAGATTTTCCCCATGTACTGACATGAAACAATCTCTGAGATAAATTGAGAAGAGCAAGGTGTAGAATGATGCATTTAGTGAGCCTCATTTACTTTAATAAAAGGGAGAGAGAAGCATATATTTGCTTGCTTATGCATAGGAATGTCTCTGGAGTGATTCACAAGAAACTGATGGCTTTGTCAAAGGAAACCTGCTAGGGGACAGGGGAGGCTATTTTTTTCCTATTACCTTTTGAATATTTTGAATTTTATATTAAAAAAGTAAATTTAAAATGAAAAGCACCTTTTAACATGATGATCTTTAACACTAAGTATCTGGTTTTTTTTTTAAGCTCCGTTTACTCTTTCTTTTCTTTTTTTTTTTTTACCTGAGCCTTAACATGATGAGAATTATAATCTCCAAAACTCCTCGTTTGGGAGAATGTGGAATTGAAATGGAGTAATTAGCCTTGGTGATTACTGAAATACTAGAGACCCTGCAGTTTGTTACTTTCCAGGGTGAAATTTGGCCCTTGTTCCTTGGACCAAGTATATTTTGGCATATTGCGAGATGGCAGCGACATCTGTTTTACTATTCTGCATAGAGTATGACCATTTGTAAGTGTTTCTACAAATGGTGTGTATTTAAAACATAAAGTGTGCACAAATAAAAATCCCCAGTGATGGGGACTCAGTTGTTGTCGTAATTCATTGGTGCTTCTGAAATAGACCATTTTGTGACATCCAGGATATCATTTAGGAATATTAAACTGCTGCAACTACTGTCCACTTCTTGTGACAGACATTGCTATGAATATATGCAGTGAAGAAAACTGTATTTCATATTTATAAAAAGATGAAAAATTCTGGTGCAATATGCTTATTTTTTTAAAGGCCCTGTAAACTACAGCTCGTCAAACAGCACTTGGACTTTGATCTTTTCAAGAACTTAAGAGAAAAGAAAATACTTATGTGACTTTTAGTGAGATGCATATCTATGCATTAGATGAATAATTAAAATGCCTATGCTCCCCATAATTTCTATGTTTCCATTCTTAAAAACTTTTCTAGCACCCAGAGCAATAATAAATACAACGTGGCTCTCTATTTTTTGAGCTCTTATTTAGATGATATTAGCATATTTGTTCCATAGAAATAAATATCATATTCATTCACAGTATATTTGAGGAGCCTGAGCTAAAGTGGTCTAAGTGGGTGTATTAATAATATTCTATATTCTGCAGAGTTTTATTAGTAGAGGTATAAGTGTAAGATAAAACCAATTTAAACTTTCAGTTTCAACCTTATAACATCTAACTCATTATATGCATTTTAAAGAAGTGTCATATTTTCCACTGATACAACTTGCATGCCATCTGTTTGATGAGGGGATATTTGAAGTCATGCCAATTGGCAGAAATGCTTATTGTTGAAGCTGAAATTTGGCACTTAACACCCTCATCTTCTCCTCCCCTTCCATTTATACATGCATCCACAAATAAATGTACCTGAGCTATAGTGGATAGGTTTAAACAGTTCAACCAACCACAGTTTTTCTCCCTTCCATCCTCTATCTTGTTTCCACCACCACCTTCTTCCACTCCACCCCACCCACATTTCTCTCTCTCTCTCTCTCTCTCTCTCTCTCTCTTTCCCTCACTTGTAGATAGTGATTGTGTAGACTCTAGAGTAAAGATAATTACCCCTTTCAACACTGCCTATAAATTTTGGAATAGAAGATGTTGTATTATTATGGGGTGAGGCTTCGGAAGAAAGCAATAAGAGACATAAAGCACTAATATTAGGATTAATGAAAATTCTCAGCTGAAGTAAACTGGTGACTCTAGAAAAATGAGGGAGGAAGAGGGAGGAGAGAGGCCATTTGCAGAGTAACAGATGTCTTAAAACTGAAATAGATCTTGGATTTGTCAAGAATTTATAAAAGCTTCAGAGTTAACCTCTCTCACCAAAGTGACATTATCTTTTCTTCTCTAGCAGTCGGTTAATTCCAGTTAACTTCAGCAGTAATAGCACTTTAGGCCTACAATTTGATGAGGAATCTGATTTAACTAGAATATACATATTAACTTTTAAATAGAAACATCTTTAGATTTTATATGGTTATAACATTATTTTAAATAATGCAAACAAAATTTCAAATTAGATATTGCTAATGCTATTATAATTTCAGTTTCTTCTTGGTAGTAATACATGCCTAGTGGTACTTTCGTAAGTTCAGAATTTTTTTTTTCTTTTTTTTT